>NC_000016.10:27274364-27577395 GCF_000001405.40 Homo sapiens
AGAATCTATAGACCACATTCACAAACCGCAATGTGGTAAAATTAAACATCAACAACAAAAAGAGAGCCAAAAAGGTGTAGATACAATACACCTTAAATTAGTAACTGCAGCTGCTTCTGAGGAAGGGGCCAGGAAGTCAGAATGAACTTTTTTTTTTAACCACGTACATCTATTACTTACGAATTTTTAAAAATTAAAAATTGGGCGGACGCACTGGCTCACGCCTGTAACCCCTGCACTTTGGGAGGCCAAGGCAGGTGGATCACCTGAGGTCAGGAGTTTGAGACCAGCCTGGACAACATGATGAAACCGCATCTCTACTGAAAATACAAAAAAATCAGCCAGGCATGGTGGTGAGTGCCTGTAATCCCAGCTACTCAGGAGGTTGAGGCAGGAGAATTCCTTGAACCCAGGAGGCAGAGGTTGCAGTGAGCCAAGATCGTGCCATTGTACTCCAGCCTGGGCAACAAGAGCAAAGCTCTGTCTCAAAAAAATAAAAATTAAAATTAAAATTAAAAATTATAAGCATATATTCGAGTTTTATTTCTTAAGTGAGGTGTTGAGTACAGGACCATGTACACAGGTATTATATTTTTTATATGTTGAAAGATTTTATCATACATTTTTAAAAGAAAAAGAACACATGTTTAGAAACTGAAAACATTCAGATTAAAAAGAAAACCAATATGGAAATTATAAAATATTTGGAAATAAATGACAATGAAAACCTGACATCATAAAACATGTGGGATCCAACTAAATAATTAGCTGGGCACGGGGTTCACGCCTGTAATCCCAGCACTTTGGGAGCCTGAGGTGGGCAGATCACCTGAGATCAGGAGTTCGAGACCAGCCTGGCCAACATGACAAAACCCCGTCCCTACTAAAAATACAAAAATTAGCCGGGCATGGTGGTGGATGCATGTAATCCCAGGTAATCAGCAGGCTGAGGCAGGAGAACCGCTTGAACCCTGGAGGCGGAGGCTGCAGTGACCTGAGATCACGCCACTGCGCTCCAGCCTGGGTGACAGAGCAAGACTCCATCTCAAAATAAAAATAATAATAATAATAATAATAATTAGAGGGGGACTTATAGCTTTATACTTCTTACAAAATAAGAAAAAATGTAAGGGAGTTAATTGTTAAAAGTTAGAAAAATAACAACTACAGAAACCCAGAGAAAGCAGAAGGAAGGAAATAAGAATGAAAAAGCAGAAATGAGTAAAACAAAGAACAAAAGAAAATGAAGTTGATTATAGAAGCCAAAAGCTGGTGTTCTCTTAATGACTAATAAAATAGAAAAACTTCATGTAAGATTGATCAAGAAAATCATACAAACAATACGATAAATGGCAAACTGAACATACCAGCTAGAGTAAAAATTTTAGAAAGCACAAAAGTATACCACAAACTTTATGCCAATACATTTGAAAAATTAGAAAAAAGGTAATTTTAACAAAAATAAAAATTACAAAACTTGACCCAAGAAGAAAAGTGTTAGGTTGGTGCAAAAGTAATTGAGGTTTTTGCCATTAAAAGTAATAATCACTAATGAAATCGAACTAGAAATATAGGATATGCTTCACCTCCTAAGATGTCCAGAACAAGTAAGTTTTACTGGAGTGATCAGCACACACAAAAAGACTATATTATGCAAAATTCACTGGAATATGAACAAGATAGAGAAAGCTATTCAACACATTCTGAGACTAGTTTAATTTTGACACCAAAAAGAGAACAGCAAAATTAAAGAAAATGTCAGGCTCATCTATATTACAAATATGTATTGAAAAAAATTCAGTCTACCAGTGTATCAAAAGAATATCTCTTCCAAAAGAGAAAATTCACATGGCCAAAAAATATGTGGGGACCAGGTGCAATAGCTCATGCCTGTAATCCCAGGATTTTGGGAGGCTGAGGCGGGTGGATCACTTGAGGTCAGGAGTTCGAGACAAGCCTGGCCAACATGGTGAAACCCCATCTCTCCTAAAAATACAAAAATTAGCTGGGCATGGTGGCAGGCACCTGTAGTCCCAGCTACTTGGGAGGCTGAGGTGGGAGAATCACTTGAACCTGGGAGGCAGAGGTTGCATTGAGCCAAGATCACACCACTGCACTCCAGCCTGGGTGATGGAGCTAGACTCCATATTAAAATATATATATATATATATTTATATATATGTATATTTATAAAATATATATTTAAATATAAATATAAAATATACATTTAAATATAAATATATATGGAAAGATGTTTAACCTCACTATTAGTTGGAAATAAAACAAGAAAAGGAAACCAACTTTTTCCCTATAAGAATGACAAAATGTGGTCAAGGGTAAAGAAAGACCAGTATTGTACGTATATGGTGGGGTTATAAATGTTGTATATAGCCCCTCTGGAGAGCTATTTGGTGTTACTGAAATTGAAAAAGCTTATCTAGCAATTCCACTTCTAGGAATTTAACTGAAGAAAATCTCCCATGTGTGCTTGAGATTTGCTGCAACAATGTGGTGGGAAAAAATGAAACGTCCTAAAGAGCCATTAATAAGGAAATCAAAAAGCAAGATAGTCATGTACCACGGGTGGTCATATAACATGAAAAGGAATGAATTAACTCACAAGTGTCTACATGAATGAATCCTGAAAGCATAGATAGAGTGGGGGAAAAGCAAGATATAAAGATGATACAGCAAGATCACCATTTATGCAAATTTGGAGCAGTGCAAAATGGCAATATTATAATTTGCCAGTAGATAAGCATATGCATATAAAACTATTTTCTATTTAAGGATTGAAAAGATTGTTATAAAGCTCAAGCTAGAGGGCCTCTAGGAAGGGGAAAGGAAGATTGGGATGGGAGAAGAGAATAAAGATCTTGAGGTTTATCTGGAATATTCTAATTTTATTTCTATTCATTTATTTTGAGCTGGAGTCTTGTTCTGTCACCCATGCTGGAGTGCAGTGACGCGATCTTGGCTCACTGCAACCTCTGCCTCCTAGGTTCAAGCGATTCTCCTGCCTCAGCCTCCCAAGTAGCTGGGACTACAGGTGCACGCCACCACACCCAGCTAATTTTTGTATTTTTAGTGGAGACGGGGTTTCCTCATGTTGGCCAGGCTGGTCTTGAACTCCTGACCTCAAGTAATCCGCCCACCTCAGCCTCCGAAAGTGGGATTATAGGCGTGAGCCACCGCTCCCAGCCTGGAGTATTCTAATTGTGAACTAAAATAATAAAACTATGTATTCATATAGCAATGAATTTAAGGATTGAAAAGATTTGAAAATTTAATTTTTCAAATATTGGCTTTAAAAAGGCGTTAAAGTCAAATATGCCAAAATGTTAACAGTGGTTAATGTTGGATGGTAGAAAAATGGACAACTGTCATTTTTTTCACTTTTACTTTTCTGTATTTGAAAACAAATTTCTGATAGGAGTGAAAATATGAAAAAAGAATTAAAAGTGTATTTTTGAAAAGTACATAGCAATGAATGGAGAAGAGAATGGAGACTAGAGACCGGGTTTTTCACAGCCCAGGTCAAGCCCTTTTCAGAGTCGTTTTCATCAGCATTTGTATACTACATCATTTTTGTTTCTTTTTTTATAAAGCTCAGCAGTGTGATAAATACATAATTTTTGGATTCATGAAATTTTAAGTTCAAGCCAGGTGCAGTGGCTCATGCCTGTAATCCCAGCACTTTGGGAGGCCAAGACAATTGGATCACGTGAGGTCAGGAGTTTGAGAACAACCTGGGCGAAACCCCATCTCTACTAAAAATACAAAAATACACACACACACACAAAATTAGCCAGGCATGGTGGCACATGCCTATAATCCCAGCTACTCAGGAGGCTGAGGCAGGAGAATCGCTTGAACCCAGGAGGCGGAGGTTGCAGTGAGCCGAGATGGCGCCACTGCACTCCAGCCTGGGCAAGAGTGAGATTCTGCCTCAAAAGAAAAAGAGAGGGAGGGAGGGAAAAGAAAAGAAAAGAAATTTTAAGTTCAATCTAGCAGAGGTGATGCGCGCAAGTTGGTAGGGAAAAAAAGGAAAATGATCGCCCTCTACTCATCACTCTTCTTAAAAGGAATGGTGACAGCTCCCAAAGGTCAATTTTAAAAACTGTCAATAGGCCGGCCGGGCACGGTGGCTCATGCCTGTAATCCCAGCACTTTGGGAGGCTGAGGCGGGCAGATCATGAGGTCAGGAGATCGAGACCATCCTGGCTAACACAGTGAAACCTCATCTCTACTAAAAATACGAAATATTAGCCGGGCGTGGTGGCACACGCCTATCTTCCCAGCTATTCAGGAGACTGAGGCAGGAGAATCCCTTGAACCCAGGAGGCGGAGGTTGTGGTGAGCTGAGATCGCACCACTGCATTCCAGCCTGGGAGACAGAGGGAAACTCCATCTCAAAAAAATAAAAATAAAAATAAAACCAATTACTAAATTTAAAGGCAGCAGAAAGCTCAGACGCTAAAATGAGAAATACGCACATTGCCAGAGGCAGTGTAGACGGTTCAGTCTCTCCACAGGGCAATTTTGCTGTACTCATTAAGAACCCAGACATGTCTGTGTTCTTTGACCCAGCAATTCCACTTCTGGGAATCTATCTGGGGAAATAATCAAAGATGCTCACAAAATTAATATACAAGGAAGTGCATGAGAGACTTAATTATATTAGGGGAAGAAGGAAACAACTTAAATGTCTCCCAATGTTATAAAAGAGAACAGTTGGAGTGTGTAACAATTCTATGGAATCTTATGTACCCTAAAAATCATGTTTTCAAAGAATACTTGATGTCAGAAAAAAAATTCAGGATATTTTAAGAGAGAAAACTAAACACACACCAGAATATTAACAGTGCATATAAACTTTTTATTATTTTCTTATATTTTCCAACTTTTCTCCAAGAGTATGTCTTATTTTATAATCATAAGAGATACTATTTTTCAGAATAACCGAGTCTGTGTGATCATAAAGATTTTAGATATAAGGAAATAGAGAATATATATAATGGTCTACATAGATATGATTGGGATATAGTTATAGCCATAATTACCCAGCATCATCTGAGAATTGTTATATATAAGATTTTTAAATTATTATTATTATTTTTGATACAGGGTCTTACTCTGTCACCCAGGCTGGAGCACAGTGGCATGATCACAGCTCAGTGCAGCCTCAACCTCTCAGACTCAAACAATCTTCCTGCTTCATCCTCCCAAGTAGCTGGGACCACAGGCATAAGCCGCCATGGCTGGCTTTTTTTTTTTTTTTAATTTTTAGTAGAGGTGGGATTTTGCTATGTTACCCAGGCTGGTCTCAAACTCCTGGGCTCAAGCGATCCTTCTGCCTTGGCCTCCCAAAGTACTGGGATTACAGGTGTGAGCCACCGCACCTGGCCCAGAATTGTTTCACATAACTAGAATATTCCTTCAAGCACCAACATTTTTTAAAGATTTTTTCTATCTTTCTATATTAATTATTCAAAAATATATCTCTCTGCCATCTGAAGCACACGATGACCTTTCTTGATGAGTACAAGGTATCTTTGAGGGCCAGGCACAGTGGCTTACGCCTGTAATCCCAGCACTTTGGGAGGCGGATCATTTGCGGTCAGGGGTTCGAGACCAGCCTGGCCAACATGGGGAAACCCCATCTCTACTAAAAATACAACAACTGTTCTTTTGGCTTAGGATTGACTTGGCGATGCGGGCTCTTTTTTGGTTCCATATGAACTTTAAAGTAGTTTTTTCCAATTCTATGAAGAAAGTCATTGGTAGCTTGATGGGGATGGCATTGAATCTATGAATTACCTTGGGCAGTATGGCCATTTTCACGATATTGATTCTTCTTACCCATGAGCATGGAATGTTCTTCCATTTGTTTGTATCCTCTTTTATTTCATTGAGCAGTGGTTTGTAGTTCTCCTTGAAGAGGTCCTTCACGTCCCTTGTAAGTTGGATTCCTAAGTATTTTATTCTCTTTGAAGCAATTGTGAATTGCAGCTCTATTCACAATAGCAAAGACTTGGAACCAACCCAAATGTCCAACAATGATAGACTGGATTAAGAAAATGTGGCACATATACACCATGGAATACTATGCAGCCATAAAAAATGATGAGTTCATGTCCTTTGTAGGGACATGGATGAAATTGGAAATCATCATTCTCAGTAAACTATCGCAAGAACAAAAAACCAAACACCGCATATTCTCACTCATAGGTGGGAATTGAACAATGAGAACACATGGACACAGGAAGGGGAACATCACACTCTGGGGACTGTTGTGGGGTGGGGGGAGTGCGGAGGGATAGCATTAGGAGATATACCTAATGCTAAATGACGAGTTGATGGGTGCAGCACACCAGCATGTCACATGTATGCAGATGTAACTAACCTGCACATTGTGCGCATGTACCCTAAAACTTAAAGTATAATAATAATAAAATTAAATTTAAAAAAAAATACGAAAACTGGCTGGGCGTGGTGGCGCATGCCTGTAGTCCCAGCTACTGGGGAGGCTGAGGCAGGAGAATTACTTGAACCCAGGAGGCAGAGGTTGCAGTAAGCCGAGATCGCACCACTGCACTCCAGCCTGGGCAACAGAGTGAGACTCCGTCTCAAAGATATCTTGAGGACAGTGACTACTCTAGGGCTTTTTGCCTTTGCAAGAAATGCCCCAAGACGGTGGTGAATTTTTCATTCTAGGGTCAGCTTTTCGTATTATTTCCATCTCTTCCCCTCTGTCGGGCTACCAGAAGTCCTAAGCGCTTATAATTCCCTTCTTCTAACATCCTCTAACCTGAGCAAACACATAGCCAGTCTTGTTAGAAAAAGTGGCCAAAAATTAAAACTAAATCTCAGTAAAGCATAGAAGTTTTAGTGTGTAGAACTTGTTACGCTTGTTCTCGCTTTTCAGACCTCTGTTTCCCCTGCGTCTGTGTTCTTGACTCTTTTTCTAAAAAGATAGTGAAGCTACCAGAGAAGTGATTTCCAGATAAGATACAAGGTAACAGTGATTTCCTAACCGACTTTTAAAGAGAACTGATCAAAGGCTGAATTCAGGGCAAGCTCATCAAAACCCCCAACCCAAGCTTCTGAAGAGTTCTTGAATTGTGTTGGCCGTTCTGATCCCACTAGTTTTCTGCACTTGCTCTTCCAGCAGCCTCAGCACCCCCTGGGAGCTCGAGACATCTAAGGAGTTGACTGAGGCCCCTCCCTGACATACTGAAGCGGAATCTGCATTTTAGCAAGATCTGCAGGTGAATTCTGAGCGTGTGAATGCTTGAGAAGCCCTGATCTGTAACACATTTAGATTCTTTCACATACCGCACACCGCATGCTCTTAAAGATTATTCCAACAGTAATATTTATCTTTCTCTCTCTCCCTCTCTCTTTCTCTCACTGGGAGCAGGTTGTAAGTCATTTCCACTTTGCATGTGTTTCATTTTCTTTTTTTTTTGAGACAGGGTCTTGCTGTGCCATCCAAGCTGGTATACACTGCTGAATACTTGTAAGGCCCTTGATACTATTTGATAGGATGAATGCAAAAATTGAATTTAAAAAATGAATTTTTTGGCCGGGCGCGATGGCTCACGCCTGTAATCCCAGCACTTTGGGAGGCCGAGACGGGTGGATCACCTGAGGTCAGGAGTTTGAGACCAGCCTGACCAACATGGAGAAACCCCATCTCTACTAAAAATACAAAAATTAGCTGGGCATGGTAGCAGGCGCCTGTAATCCCAGCTACTCGGGAGGCTGAGACAGGAGAATTGCTTGAACCCAGGAGGCAGAGGTTACAGTGAGCCAAGATCACGCCACTGTACTCCAACCTGGGTGACCGGGAGAGACTCCATCTCAGAAAAAAAAAAAAGAATTTTTTAAAGAGATAGGGTCTCACTCGGTCATCCATGCTGGAGTACAGTGGTGTGATCTTAAGTCACTGCAGCCTCAAACTCCTGGGCACAAGTGATCGTCCTGCCTCAGCCTCCCAAGTATCTGGGAGTACAGGTGCATACCACCACACCCAGCTAATTTTTTATTTCTTGTAGAGATTGGATCTCACTTTGTTGCCTAGGCAGGTCTCAAACTCCTGGCCTCAAGTGATCCTCCCTCCTTGGCCTCCCAAAGTGCTTGGATTACAGGTGTGAGCACCCAACTGTTGTGTTTCTTTTTAAATGGACAAAAATGGAGAACTTCCTCCTCTCTATGGTTCTTCTTTATTAGTCTACCAGCTCCTTTGAGTCCCCCTTTTTATGATTTGGAAATTATTTATTCCTTTGGGAGCAATAAACAAATAGTTCCAAATTGCTGCTGCTTCTTTTGTCTTCAATAAGATGTAGACACCAGGATTAGGGATGGAGTGTGGTTGGAGGATGAAAAAGTAAAATCCCTACATAGAGTGTCTGTTGCAAATAAAGAGCTTGGTGAATATTGCTGCTGTTCTGATGTTTCCAGAGTGTTTTACTCTTTGTCATTTAATAAGGCTTTTTAAAGTTATGACTACAATTTGATTGAAACATATAGATATTATTATATATATGCCACCGTCATAAAAATAGAGATGCAATCATATTTTTAAATCTCTTTTAATTAAAACTCACTTGAGACCAGGCATGGTGGCTCATGCCTGTAATCCCAGCACTTTGGGAGGCCGAGGTGGGCAGATAACCTGAGGTCAGGAGTTCGAGACTAGCCTGGCCAACACGGCAAAACTCCATCTCTGCTAAAAATACAAAAATTAGCCGATCGTGGTGTCACATGCCTGTAATCCCAGCTACTCGGGAGGCTGAGGCAAGAGAATCGCTTGAACCCAGGAGGCAGAGGTTGCAGTGAGCCAAGATTGTGCCACAGCACTCCAGCCTGGGCTACAGAGCGAGACTCCGTCTCAAAAAAAAAAAAAGAAAAGAAAAAAAGAAACCTCACTTGAAAATGGATTAGAAAACCACAGTTGAAAAGAGAGTAACTGGTTGACTCACCACGTTTTTCATTTTCAGCCAGGCGTAGTGGCTCATGTCTTTAATCACCGTACTTTGGGAGGCTGGGGTGGGAGGCGCACTTGAGGCTAGGAGTTTGAGACCAGCCTGGGCAACACAGCAAGACCCCGTCTCTACGGAAAATTTAAAAATTAGCTAGGTCTGGTGGTGGTACACACTGATGAATACTTATAAGGCTCTTGATACTATTTGATAGGATGAATGCAAACATTGAATTTAAAAAACGAATTCAATTCCTATAGTCCCACCTACTGGGAGGCTAAGGTGGGAGGATCGCTTGAGTCTAGAAGTTCAAGGCTGAAGTGAGCTATGATCACACCACTGCACTCCAGCCTGGATGACAAAGAGAGACCTTGTCTCTAAAAACAAAACAAAAATTTCATTTTCATTCAGTTTTTACATTCATCTTAACAAATCTTATCAAGAAAGTGCTCAGCAGTGTGGTAAGATGCAAAGATGAATCTCCGTAGTCCTTAGGTCAGGTTGCTCTCAGCTGGCAAGAAAAAATAAGATAAATGCACATTAGTAAGTGTAATCAACAAAGGAATTGCTGGCCAGGTGGAATGTCTCACCCATGTAATCCCAGCACTTTGAGAGACTGAGGCAGGAGGATCGCTTGAGCCCTAGGAGTTTGAGATCAGCCTGGGCAACATGGTGAAACCCCGTGTCTACTAAAAATACCAAAATTAGCAACGTGTGGTGGCACACGCCTGTGGTTCCAGCTACTGGGGAGGCTGAGGTGGGAGGATTGCTTGAGCCCATCTGCAGAGTTCAAGGCTGCAGAGCTCACAGGCCTGTGGTCCCAGCTACTGGGGAGGCTGAGGTGGGAGGATTGCTTGAGCCCATCTGCAGAGTTCAAGGCTGCAGAGCTCACAGGCCTGTGGTCCCAGCTACTGGGGAGGCTGAAATGGGAGGATTGCTTGAGCCCACTGTAGAGTTCAAGGCTACAGTGAGCCATAGATTGCACCACTACACTCAGCCTGGGTGACAGAGTGAGACCCTGTCTCAAAAAAAAAAAGAAAAGAGAGAGAGAGAAAGAAAGAAGAAAGAAAGAGAAAGAAGAAAGAAAGAAAAGAAAGAAAGAAAAAGAAATTGCTACTAAGTGCTGTTAGTTTATCAGTTAAGCTGGTTTAGGTACAAGAAACTGATGTGATAATCTAAGCAAAAAAAGTTTATTGGAAGGGTAGGAAGGGTATTGGTGTATATTATTCAGGACAGTCCAGGTCATGCTGCTATAACAAACATTCTCAAAATTATTATTTCTAGGTAGTGGAATCTACCACATGTGGATCAGCAGTAGGCTCTGCCCTCCTTTCACTCAGACTAATGGAGGTTCCACCATCTGGTGGCTGCAGCCCTGAAACATGAAGCCTTGTTGGTGTGACCATGGCAGGGGAAGAAAGAGGCTGGGGGTTTGCACAGGGGGTTTTTACTGCCTCAGCCTGAAAGTGACATGTGTCCTTTCTACTCTAGGATCTCTGGTGAGAACTAGTCACAAGATCTTCCCTAAATGCCAGAACACTGGGAAATGAAAGGGAACAATGGAATCATTGGCGAGCATTACTGTCTCTGCTCCAGGGTGGCTCGTAGACTCAAATGAAAATGCTGGAGCCTCAGATTTGGGACTGAATGTGGACCAGAGAACTTGGCAGACCTTGCCAGCAGCAGCTTATGGAGGTCTGGTCAGGCTGTCATCCATTTTCAGCTATCTGTCACCCTCTCAGGATTTGCACTGGAGAAAGAGTAAGAGCAGAGAGAGAGAGAGAGAGACAGAGAGAGAGAGAGAGAGAGAGAGAAACAACTGATTGGCCCAGGCGGGTTCTACGTCCCACTT
Source organism: Homo sapiens (assembly GCF_000001405.40). Lineage (NCBI taxonomy): Eukaryota > Metazoa > Chordata > Mammalia > Primates > Hominidae > Homo > Homo sapiens. The sequence continues at coordinate 27,285,204 of NC_000016.10, forward strand.
GAAACACAAGTTAATGGACAACTTGATTGACAGAGTTGCACTAAAAGGTGGTGGGGGGAGTTCATCCAAACAAAACTGGGGTGCTGTTACAACAAGAGAGGGAGGGTAGGTGCATAGTGAGCAAAAGTACACACTTGCTGCAGAGCTGGTCCAAATACCCACTCTTCAGAGTTGACATCATCTGGAAGGTTTATAGAAGTGGGGGCTTTCCAGATTAGCTTTAGAGGATGGGATAACTGATGCAGAGGAAAGGTAATGCAGGCTGAGAGGCCCGTGTAAGCAAAGTGAAGCTGCAGAAGAGTGCAATCATTTGCAAGAAAGAGAAGGCTGGCTGGGTGCAGCGGCTCACACCTGTAGTCCCAGCACTGTGGAAGGCCAAGGCGGGAGGATCCCTTGAGCCCAGGAGTTTGAGACCAGCCTGTGCAACACAGGGAGATCCTGTATCTACAAAAAATTTAAAAATTAGCCAGGCATGGTGGTGCATGCCTATAGTCCTAGCTACTCAGGAGGCTGACGTGGGAGGATTACCTGAGCCTTGGGAGGCTGTGGCTGCAGTGTGTCATGATTTTGCCACCACACTCCAGCCTGGGCAACAGAGTGAAACCCTGTCTCAAAAAAAAAAAAAAAAATGAGAAGGCTATTGAGATTGAACAGAGGATATGATTTGCAGTTACATTTTCACCCCAACTTACCCAGCTTATCTTTCCTTCCCGTGGTGTCAACTCAGGGGACGCAAATGGGTGGAGGCTGGTTGGAATGGCTCATACTACATCATGAGATTGGAGCCTGGTCCTCCATGTTGGCTGAGAGTCTCAGTTCTCCTCCACGTGGCCTCTCCTTGTGGTCAGCTTACATTTCCTCAAAACGTGGCAGTCTCAGGGCAGTTGGGTTTCTTGTGTGCTGGCTCAGGGCTCCGGAGAGGATAACATCAGAATATCTTGTTCTTCCTCAGGCTTGGGCCCAGACTAGCACAGCATCATTATCTTTTTATTCTGTGAGTTAACATATTTCAGAGGACCAGTGCAGATTCAGAGTGGAGAGGGCTGCATAAGAACACGAACACTGGGAGGTGGCTTCATTTGGGGCCATCTTTGGAGACCAACTATGATGCATGATGTAACTGACCTGAATTCCCAAGCCCCTACCCCCAGCTCCAGCATAAGGTAGGTAAGAAGTGACTGGCAACATAAGTGGGTCATGTTGGAGGAAAGGTAAGTCTGGAGCTAGGCCTTACAGGTGTTCAGTGCCACAGATGAAAATGATGGTGCCAGGAAAGAGGTAGGGCAGGAGGTCTTTCTCTTCATGGGCCTCTTCCCAGATTTCCCCTGTGGATCTTGTTGGCAAAAACTGAATCACATCAGCACCTCTTACTGCAAGGAAGCCTGGGCAAGTCAGAATCCGTGAAAGGGAAGTGGGATTGTTATTTCTGGCCTAAGTCAACCCTGATTCATTCTCCAGGCATGTGTGGGCCATTGCAGCCTGAATTAATCAGGAGGGAAGAAGAAGTGCGACGATAACTGGCCAGTGATACACAGTGGGAGGTCAGTACAAACCTACCCCAAAGGCCGAGGAAGCTGAGAGGTTGAAGAAAGAGGCTGACAAACCCAGTTTTTCAGAGACAAATTTTTGTTGTTGTTGTCATTGTTGTTTTTAGAGACAGGGGCTTACTCTGTCACCCAGGCTAGAGTGAAGTGATGTGATCAGAACTCACTACAGTTTTAACCTCCTGGGCTCAAGCAGTCCTCCCACTTCAGCCTCCCGAGTAGCTGGGACTACAAGTCACACACCACACCTGGCTAATTTTTTTTTAATGTTTTGTAGAAACGGCCTCACTATGTTGTCCATGTTGGCCTCAAAGCCCTGGGTTCAAGTGATCCTCCAACCATAGTCCCCCAAAGTGTTGGGATTATAGGCTGGAGCCGTGGCTTCCTAGAAAGAAGCATTTAACTGGGACTTGTGAAGAGAAGCCACGTATCCAATGGTTGAGAAATAGTAGTCCCCTGTGCTGCTACCTCCCAGCCCCAAGACCAGGGCTTATATACCATAGGGAAATTGCCTAAGGGCAGGATTTATGATTAGCATGTGTTTACAATAACATCAAGGTTGTTTTGACCTAAGGGCAGGCTTTGCAGTAAGTAGAAATCTTAGAGGCATTCCTGCAACTGTGGTGAATCTTAAGTCAACATGGTGGATCTGCATCCAAAATGGAGTTGCTTTCGCCTCACAGTAGGCGACATACAGAGGATGTCACAAGCAACAAAAAACAGGGAAAGCAGCTTGGAGGATATAGCTTTACTTCAGGTGAGAGGAGGGTGGGGCTGGACCAGGGCAGAAGCAGCAAGGAGTGGGAAATAAGCCAGATGTGAAAATGAACACAGAAGTGGAGGGTACTGCGTGGAATACTATGCAGCCATAAAAAAGAATGAGATCATGTCCTTTGAAGCAACATGGTTGCAGCTGGAGACTGTTATCCTCAGTGAATTAACACAGGGACAGAAAACCAAATACTGCATGTTCTCGCTTATAAGTGGGAGCTAAACATTGAACATGCATGGTCATTAACATGGGAACGATAGACACGAGGGACTTCTAGAGGGAGGATGGTAGGAGGGGGCAAGAGTTGATACGCTTCCTATTGGGTACTATGCTCAGTACCTGGGTGATGGGGTCATTTGTACCCCAAACCTCAGCGACGCACCATTTACCCATGTGACAAGCCTGAACAGGTACCCCCAAAACCTAAAAGCTGGGAAATAAAAAAAGAAGCAGAGTGCACAGCCCATGGCTGCTGTGACTGTCTTTCACAAGCGAGAATGGGAAAGAGAGACAGAGAGGGAAGTCAACAATGACAACATCATTTCCAGCTTGCTTAATTGGATGGTGACACCGTCCAAGCACAGAAGTTAGCTCGCGAGAGACAATGACTTTGCCCTAGGCATTCTGAGGGCAAGAGGTGTGAGAGAACATGCTCAAGGTGTGGATCATGAAACACGAGGGCATGGGCCAGGTCGGGGGGCTCACGCCTGGAATCCCAGCACTTTGGGAGGCCGAAGCAGATGGATCACATGAGGTCAGGAGTTCGAGACTAGCCTGGCCAACATGGCAAAACCCCATCTCTACTAAAAATACAAAAATTAGCTGGGCGTTGTGGCAGGTGCCTGTAATCCCAGCTACTTGGGAGGCTGAGGCAGAAGAATCGCTTGAAACCTGGAGGTGGAGGTTTCAGTGATCCGAGGTCGCACAACTGCACTCCAGCCTAGGTGACAGAGTGAGACCACCCTGTCTCATAGATAAATAAATAAATAAATAAATAAATAAATAAATAAATAAAATACTAGGGCATGGGAGAAAGGACAGGGCTAAATGTGGAGACTTTAAATGACCAACGCAGAACTGTAGTCAATGCCATGCTATGGGCTGGGTGCAGTGGCTCATGGCTGTAATCCCAGCACATTGGGAGGCCAAGGCGGGAGGATTGCTTGAGCCCAGGAGGTCAAGAATAACCTGGGCAACATAGGGAGACCACGTCTCTACAAAACAAAATAAAACCAAAACAAAATCATCACACTATGGAATGATGTGTCTGCTTGTACCAGGTCTGGAAGAATGCACACCCAATGCTCACAGAGGTTCCATCTGGGAAATCGGATTGGACAGGGCCAGAATAGATCCGGGGAAACATTCACTGAATATATATACTTATGTATTGTGGAAGCTTTGATGGTGGTCATGTACCCAAGAAGGGAAAAAGTAAGTTTATAAATGAGCAGAACCAGAAGAATGCTAGAGGAAAAAGGAGAGGATGTGAATGATTACATTTAGAAGGCAGGATGAGAAGTGAGAGGAGGTGATTAGAGAGGTCAGGAGAAACCAGGAGGGTAGGTATGGAATCTTGGAAATTAACAGAAGAGAGCATTTCATGAAGAATGAACAGCTGCAGAGAGAAAAAGATTGCATGAGAACTGGGAAAAGAAAGGCTTTGTGTTTGGTGACACTGTCATAGCTGACCCCAGAAAGCATGGTTTGAGTAGAGTGGCCCAAAAGAGAAGGATACTGGAAGGGGAGGATCAGTACCAGAGATGAACTACAGTCGTATATAAAGAAATGTGATGACATGAGGAAAGAGAGCACTCATTGGGGTCGAGAAATGATACTTCTTGCCTCTGGGAGAGTGATCATATCCTTAAAATTTTTTTTTTTTTTTTTTTTTTTTTTTGAGATGGGGTCTCACTCTGGCACCCAGGCAGGAGTGCAATGGTGCCATCTCAGCTCACTACAACATCCGCCTCCTGGGTTCAAGTGATTTTCATGCCTCAGCCTCCTGAGTAGTTGGGACTAGGCACCCGCCACCAATGCCTGGATAATTTTTGTACTTTTAGTAGAGACGGGGTTTCACCATGTTGGCCAGGCTAGTCTCGAACTCCTGACCTCAAATAATCTGCCTGCCTCAGCCTCCCAAAGTGTTGAGATTACAGGCGTGAGTCATTGCACTCGGCCTTAAAATGTATATTGATACCACTCCTCACTTCTAGCTTGTTTTTGACCTGCAAACCAAGAAGTAAGCATTACATCAACCTGTACAAGGTGCACATCAGTGATTCCTGCAACATCCTGCATCATGATGGGACCGGTAGTTGATGTGGTAAAAATATGTTGTGCATTAGTCTTTCCCACGAAATTTTTTCTAGCCACAAAATTAACCAGAAATAAGAGAAGCATAGCCCCATCCCCCCTTTTCTCAGCAACACAGAAAGGCAGTGTCTCCAACACAAGAGAATGAATAACCTGCCAAAAACTAAGTTAGAAATACTGATGAAACCAGGTTAGATGATACGCCGTAGTTTCTCTGCCATCCCACAGTGGATTGAAACCATGTTACAATTTGATGATGGGATGTCCCAGAGCAAATGAACAAGGTTGTGCCAGCAGAAATGAAGCCTGAGGATTTGGGGTCATTCACTTGTGAATGATTCCTCTCTCCCTGTCTTCTTTCTCTTCCTTTTTGCTGTATTTTTTTTCATGTACTCACTCTCTTCCACAGACAGACTGCGGAACTGCCCATGAGGCCAAGCACCTATTAGTAGACCAAGAAGCATCACCCATCCATGGCCTAAGTCGGCAGCCAGCTATTGTTCTCATCTGAGTCTGGGAGTTCAGGATTTCCATCCTGACCCGGCTACTTTCTTTCAACAGTTACCCACTGTAAATTTCCGAATACTTTCAGCTACTAATCCCAGTGTACCCAATTAAAAATGGCTTTCCTAATAAAGGCATTTCAGATCGAATTTAGCAAAGTGTTCCAAGGTAGGAGTTTCCAGGGCTGGGGCAGAAACTCAATGATCTTATAAAGGCCCCTGCTCTGACATCTTCAGCATGTTGGCTTTTATCCTTGGCTCTGTCCTCATGGTTGCAAGATGGCTGTCACAGCTCCAAGTATCTCCTGCCTCCAAGACAATGTCCAAAAATCTCTTTCTCTCTCTCTCTTTTTATCAGAGAGGAAAATCTTTCCCAGAAGCCTCCTTGCACACCTTCATTCAAGCTCCATTGCCCAAGATTAGGTCATCCACCCCCCCTAGCTGTAAGGAGCCTGGGGAGGTGAGTACCTTGCATTTTCAGTCTCTATAGTGGAAAAAAGGAGTTGGAATGACTACTTGGTAGGCAACCAAACATCCACTACAAGTAACAGTGATGGAAATAAAAAGTAATAATGACAGCTAACATGAATTATGCTATTAATACATGTTAGACATTGTTCTAAAGGGTTAACATGCATTGGCTTAGTTCATCCCAAAAATACTAACGAGATCCGTATTATTGTAGTCCTCATTTTATAGGCAAGAAAATGGGCTCAGAGAGACTTTAAAAATTTGCCTCCACCCCTGCCCCTCCCAGCAAAAAAGAAAAAACTTGCCCCCAGCCCGCAGAGCCCCAGTTAGAAAGCCCACACTTGGCCTTTTGGAGACCAAGGTCGGTGAGACATTCCTTGGCATCAAAAGATTCACAGTTCAGAGGAAGGCCCAGGCCAGAAAATAAATGACTGAAATATCACGAGTGAGGTAAGTGCTGATCTAGGAGAAATAGGGTGTTAGCAAGAAAGTGTCTGGCCGCAGCATCCCTTGGCCCCTCTCCTAGGACTGCCAGGCCAATCTTGTGTTTCCAGTGAAACCTCCCAGGGAGGAAGCGAACAGAAGAAGTTGCCTGAGGTGCATGAGCCAAAGCTGGGGCCTCAGTTGTGGAAGCATCTCCCAAACTGGGATGATGGGGGTGGGGGCATTTTGGAGGGTGTGACAATGCTGTGTTGCCTCAAAGTGCCCAGAGAGGCACCAGGACCCTAGCAGGAGTAACTGCATGACGCTATAAGGGAGGTTGCACCCCCCCAGCCACTGCCAGGTGCCTGTGCCCAACCTGGGAAGGAGTAGCGAGGACACCCACCTTCCAGGACCAGATGGAATTGGAAAATACTGCACTGTGTTGCCTGCTGCAGATAGGAGACAGAGGGCCCTCTCTAAGTGTCTGTGCTGTGTAGGACACCCCATCCCCTATCCTCTGTTTCCCCCTTTGGTTCTCTGTAGGCACAGAGAGAATCCAGACAACCACTGAGAGCAATTTATTGTACTCTGGGGCTTGAGGCCTTGGCACCAGACTTAATTGTATTTGAAACAACAAATTCCTATGGCGTGTCGTACATCCAGAGAGAAAGCCAGTCTGAGCTTGGGGCTGCATGTGCAGATCAGTGGGAATGCAGAAAGAGATAACACTGTGTCTATCATAGGAGAAGGAATCCAAGAAGGCTCCTGTACACTTTCATGCCCAGATGAGGGGCAGTGTCAGCAGGGTACTGAAGGATAAATAGGAGTTCGCCAGGTGGACAAAAAAGGAAAAAGTTCTACACAAGGCAAAGAAGTATGAAAGACATTCTGGAGCTGTGAGCGTTCTGATATTGAGCACACAGGCCCATAGATAAGGCAGGTAGAGAAGACCCAGAGGCTTTCTCTTGTGCTCCAACACTTTGGGTAGGGAAGACTAGCTCTTAAAAAGACTGAAATGGGTCTGAATGAGAGTTGTCCAAACTCGCACTTTTATTTTATTTATTTATTTTTTAGATGGAGTCTCTTTCTGTCACCCAAGTTGGAATGCAGTGGCATGATCTCGGCTCACTGCAACCTCTGCCTTCCGGGCTCAAGTGATTCTCCTGCCTCAGCCTCCTGAGTAGCTGGGACTACAGGCGCACATCACCACGCCTGGCTAATTTTGTATTTTTAGTAGAATCAGGGTTTTACCATGTTGGCCAGGCTGGTCTCGAATTCCTGACCTCAAGTGATCCTCCTGCCCTGGCCTCCCAAAGTGCTGGGATTACGGTCGTGAGCCACCGTGCAGGGCCAAACTTGCACTTTTAAGTACCAGGACATTTTCCTATTCATGAACCCCTTTATAAGTTGAAATTACCTGTAACTCCAATACGTAAATCGGATGTAATAGGGATACCTTTTTCCCTGACAACAATTGTCTTGGATGCAGGAAACGCCTCCCGATTTTACTAATACATGAAGTTAAGCCCAGCGCTGTGTTTCCAGAGACAAGGCTGGTGAGAAAGTTAATCTCTGTCATTATGGGGAACCCTCCCTACCAGAGAGCTGAGTGGAAATCCAGGGTCTGGTCTAATCCTAACTGTTGAGGGGGTCCCTGAGACTTTCATCCGTACTGGTGACTTCCAGAAGGTTGACTGTCCTCTGCTGTCTCCCCAAGCTGACTTCTTGTTGCAGAACTTGGGATTCTTGTGTGTGTGTGTGTATGTGTGTGTGACGGAATCTTGCTCTATTGCCCAGGCTGGAGTGCAGTGGTGTGATCATATTAAATAACTTCACTGATGCCTCCAACTTCTAGACTCAAGGGATCCTCCCACCTCTGCTTCCCGAGTAGCTGGCCTACAGGCGTGGACCACCACGCCCAGCGACTAGTTTGTTTTCTTATTATTGAGTTTTGAAAGTTGTTTATAAATTCTGGATACAAGGCTTGTATTTGATAGATAATTTGCAAATATTTTTTCAGTCTGCGGCTTCTCTTTTTTTATTTTCTTAATGGTGTCATTTGACGATCAGAAGTATTACATTTTGATGAAGAGCAATTTGTCAATTTTGTTCTTTTATGAGTCATGCTTTTGGTAGCATATCTACATAAACGTTTTTATTCATCTATTTATTGTATGTATTTATTTTGAGACAGGAGCTCACTCTGTCACTCAGGCTGGAGTGCAGTGGTGCTATCACAGTTCACTGCAGCCTCGACTTCCCAGGCTCAATCAATCCTCCTACCTCAGGCTCCCGAGTAGCTGGGACCACAGGCACGTGCTACCACACCAAGCTGATTTTTTGTATTTTTTGAAGAGACAGGGTTTCACCATGTTGCCCAGGCTGGTCTCAAGTTCCTGGGCTCAAGCAATCCACCAGCCTCGGCCTCCCAAAGTGTTAGGCTTACAGGCATGCTGGCCTATATTAACACTGTTAAATATCTTTATTAAGATATAATTCATAAACCATACGATTCACCCATGTAAAGTGTACAATTCAATGGCTTTCATCTTCAAATGCCTGTGCTGGGATTAACACTTCAGCATGCATGTCACCAACTAGAAGAGCTCGCCTTTTGTCCATAATTTTTTAAATGTAAAATTTACATATAATGAAATTCACAGATCTTAAGTGTATCATTTGATGAGCTTTGACAAAATTCATTCACTGGTGCAATGCAAATCTCTATCAAAATATACAACCATCAAAATATAGAACAATCTAGTAGGGTGTGGTGGCTCATGCCTGTAATCCCAGCCCTTTGGGAGGTCGAGGCAGGCGTATCACGGGGTCAGGAGATCGAGACCATCCTGGCCAACACGGTGAAACCCCATCTCTACTAAAAATACAAAAAATTAGCCGGGTGTGGTGGTGGGCGCCTGTAGTCCCAGCTACTCAGGAGGCTGAGAAAGGAGAATTGCATGAACCCTGGGGGCAGAGCTTGCAGTGAGCCGAGATTGCGCCACTGCACTCCAGCCTGGGTGACAGACCGAGACTCTGTCTCAAAAAAAAAAAAATATATATATATATATATATATAAAATATATATAAAATGTATTTAAAATATATATAATATATAATATATATAAAATATATATTATATATTATATAATATAAAATATATATTATATATTATATAATATAAAATATATATTATATAATATATAATATAAAATATATATTATATAATATATAATATAAAATATATATTATATAATATATAATATAAAATATATATTATATAATATATATAAAATATATATTATATAATATATAATATAAAATATATATTATATAATATATAATATAAAATATATATTATATAATATAATATAAAATATATATTATATAATATATAATATAAAATATATATTATATAATATATAATATAAAATATATATTAAATATATATTATATATTATATATAGTATATAATATATATATAATATATAATATATAGTATATATTATATATTATATAATATATAGTATATATTATATATTATATATTATATAATATATAGTATATATTATATATATTATATAATATATAGTATATAGTATATATTATATATTATATAATATATAGTATATATTATATATATTATATAATATATAGTATATATTATATATTATATATAATATATACTATATATTATACCACCCCAGTTATATATATATATATATATATATTATACCACCACACCCAGTTAATTGTTTTTATTTTTTGTAGAGATGGGGGTGTTACTGTGTTGCCCAGGCTGGTCTCAAACTCCTGGGATCAAGCGATCCTCCTGCCTTGGCCTCCTAAAGTGCTGGAAGTACAGGCATGAGCCACCGCACCCAGCCTGAGCAGCTTTCAATTGCTGGTTGGTCACTTGTATTTCTTCTTCAGAGAAGTGTCTATCCATATATATATAATATATGTATAAGTCCCTGTGCTGGGATTACAGGAGTGAGACACTACACCCAGCAAATTTATTCCTTTGCATTTTATTCTGTGTATTCACAATTTGTGCTAATATCACCACAATCAGTTTTAGAACATTTTCTTGCTGTCAAGGAGAAACCCCGGACGCCTTAACTGTCAGTGTCTCACTCTCACGTTCCCACCCTCCAAATCCAGACAGACAACCATCTACTTTCTGTCTCTATAGATTTGCCTATTGTGAACATTTCATATGAATAGAATCGTACCATTTGCGACCCTTCGTGTCTTTCACTCAGCATTATGTTTTCAAGGTTCATCCACATCACAGCGTGCATCAGTATTTCATTTCTCTTTATTGCCAAATAATATCCCTTGTATAGATACACCACATTTTATGTATCCATTATCAGTTTATGAACATTTGGGTCATACGAGTTGTTGTGTGGGTATATGTTTTCACTTCCCTCAGTTATACACCTAGGAATGGAATTGCTGGGTCATGAGGTGGACTGTATGTTCGAGCATTTGGGAACTGCTAGGCTGTTTTCCAAAGTGGCAGCACCACTTTGCATTTTCACCATCAGTGCGTGAGGTTTCCAATTTCTCAACATCCCAACCCACACTTGTTATTATCTGATGATAGCCATTTTAGTGGGTGTAAAGTAGCACCTCACCGTGGTTTTGATTTGCTTTTCCTGATGATGTTGAGCTCCTTTTTAAATTTGAGACAGGGTCACTCTATTACCCAGGCTGGAGTATAATGGCACGATCACAGCTCACTGCAGCCTTGACCTCCTGGGCTCAAGCGATTCTCCTGCATCAGCCTCCTGAGTAGCTGGGACTATAAGTGCACACCACCACACCCAGTTAATTGTTTTTATTTTTTGTAGAGATGGGGGTGTTACTGTGTTGCCCAGGCTGGTCTCAAACTCCTGGGATCAAGCGATCCTCCTGCCTTGGCCTCCTGAAGTGCTGGAAGTACAGGCATAAGCCACCGCACCCAGCCTGAGCAGCTGGTTGGTCACTTGTATTTCTTCTTCAGAGAACTGTCTATCCAAGTCCTTTGCTCATTTAAAAACTGGATAGTTGTGTTGTTATTATTAAGTTGTAATTGTTGTATATTCTAGATATAGTTCCCTTATCAGATATATGACTTGCAAAAATTTTCTTTCATTCTGTGGATTTTCTTTTCACTTTCTTGATGGTGTCCTTTAAAACATGAAAGTTTTAAATTTGATGATGTCTAGTTTATCTGTTTTTGGTTTCATTGCATCTACTTTTGTGTCATAGCTAAGAAACTACCACCTAAACCAATGTCAAGGAGATTTACATCTGTGGTTTCTATTTTTTTTTTTAATTTTAGAGATGGAGTCTCGCACTGTCGCCTGGGCTGGAGTGCAGTAACTTGATCTTGACTCACTGCAACCTCCACCTCCCGGGTTCAAGTGATTCTCCTGCCTCAGCTTCCCGAGTAGCTGGGATTACAGGCGCCCACCACCATGCCCAGCTAATTTTTTGTATTTTTAGTAGAGATGGGTTTCACCATGTTGGCCATGCTGGTCTCAAACTCCTGACCTTGTGATTCACCTGCCTTGGCCTCCCAAAGTGCTGGGATTACAGGCATGAGCCACCGCGCCTGGCCTACATCTGTGGTTTCTTAGAGTTTCATAGATTAGCTCTTACATACAAGTTTTTGATCCATTTTGAGTTAGAGTTATTACTTTTTTTTGAAGTTGAGTTTCACTCTTGTCACCCAGGCTGGGGTGCAGTGGCGCAATCTTGGCTCACTGTAACCTCCACCTCCTGGGTTCAAGCAATTCTTCCGCCTCAGCCTCCTCAGTAGCTGGGATCACAGGTGCCCGCCACCACACCCGGCTAATTTTTATATTTTTAGTAGAGATGGGGTTTCACCATGTTGGCCAGGGTGATCTTGAACTCTTGACCTCAGGTGATCCACCCACCTCAACCTCCCAAAATGTTGGGATTACAGGCGTGAGCCACTGCGCCCAGCGGAGTTAATTTTTGTATATGGTGTGGTGTGAGGCAAGGATACAACTTCATTCTTTTTTTTTTTTTTGGAGACAGGGTCTCTCACTCTTTTGTCCAGGTTGGAGTGCACTGGTGGGATCACAGCTCACTGCAGCCTCGACTTCCCCAGGCTCAGGTGATCCTCCCGCCTCAGCCTCCCAAGCAGCTGGGACTACAGGCACACACCACCATGCCAGGCTAGTTTTTGTATTTTTTGTAGAGATGAGGTTTTGCCATGTTGCCCAGGCTGGTCTCAAACTCCTAGACTCAAGTGGTCCACTCACCTCTGCCTCCCCAAGTGCTGGGATTACAGGAGGGAGCCACTGTACCCAGAAACTTCAGTCTTTTGTGTGTGGATATCAGGTTGTCCCTTTATCATTTATTGAAAAGACTAGTTTTTTTTCTGTTTTGTTTTTTGTTTTGAGACAGAGTTTTGCTCTTATTGCCCAGGCCGGAGTACAGTGGCACAATCTCGGCTCACTGCAACCTCTGCCTCCCGGGTTCAAGCGATTCTCCTGTCTCAGCCTCCTGAGTAGCTGGGATTACAGGCAAGCACCACCACGCCCAGCTCATTTTGTATTTTTAGTAGAGACAGGGTTTCTCCATGTCGGTCAAGCTGGTCTTGAACTCCCAACCTCAGGTGATCTGCCTGCCTCGGCCTCCCAAAGTGCTGGGATTACAGCCGTGAGCCACCGTGTCCGGACAAAAAGACTAGTTTTTTTCTCATTGGATTGTCTTGACGTAGATTAATATTTTATTATATCTACTGTATCACATATCTGTCAATCTTTCCATTCCTCTGTTCATCCAACAATCTAACTTATTTTTTGATGCATTTGAAAAAGTAAGCTGTAGACACTAGAACACTTCCTTCCAACACTTCAACATGTATATCACCAACTGGAGTTCAGCATTTGTCCATAATGTTTTTAATGTAAAATTCACATATAATGAAATTCACAGATCTTAAGTGTACCATTTGATGAGTTTTGACAAAATGCATTCACCTGTACAATGCAAATCTCTATCAAAATATAGAACAGCACCACCACACCAGAAAGTTCCCTCATGCGCACTTATTTTTATGTATTTATTTTTGACAAATGCATGTACGCGTGTAGACACCACCCTAATGAAGACATAGAACATTTCCATCCCTTAAGAAAGTTTCCTTTCACATCTTTGCAGTCAACCTTGCCTATCCCACCTCATTTCTACCACTATATATTAGTTTTGCCTGTTATAGCAGTTCATATAAATGAAATCATGCGATACGTACCAATTTGTGACCAGCTGATTTCACTTCTGATTAGGATTTTGAAAACAACATAGAGCAGAATAAAAAATAATAAAATAAATAGCTGCTTGCAGGGTGAAATACTGCTTTGTAGATCTTTGTTTCAGATAGATAGAGGATAGATTTTTGTGTATGTGTGTGTGTCTGTATGTGTGTATGTGTGTCTGTGTGTGTGTGAGAGAGAGAGAGAGAGAGAGAGAGAGAGGCCAGGCCTGCTGGCTCATGCCAGTAATCCTAGAACTTTGGGTGGCCAAGGCAAGCAGATTGCTTGAGCTCAGGAGTTCGGCCTGGGCAACATGGGGAAACCCTGTCTCTACAAAACATACAAACAAATTAGCTGGGCATGGTGGTGCACCCCTATAATCCCAGCTACTGTGGGGGCTGAAGCAGGAGGATCACTTGAACCTGGGAGGTTGAGGCTGCAGTGAGCCAAGATGGCGCCACTGCACTCCAGCCTGGGCAACAAAGTGAGACCCTGTCTCAAGTAAGTAAATAAATAAATGAGAGAGAGAGAGAGAGATTGTGTACCGGGGCAAAAGAGAACATGTGTTTCTTCCCATGGGTTATAATAAAAACTGTTTAAAAGCTATTGATCCAAAAGTTCTAGATCAGAACCCTGTCTTGTCGCCCTCCCCCACTGGCTGCCTTGATCCCATATCAATGACCACAGTACTTGCTCTTCCCTTTAGGTCCTCACCAGTGCCAACCCTTCACCACTGCCTACTTATCCATCAGGTGCCTGCTTGGTTTACCCTTCCTCTAGAAAACCTGTGTTCCCAAATTTCCCTCTCAGACCCAGTACCAAGTTGTATCCTAATTATTTGGCCTCTCTTTCCTCCAGCTGACAGGGACTGTGTTTCGTTCATCTTTGCAGTCCCTAGCTCCTGGGATGTGATGACATGTAACAGGCATCAATAAATATTCACGGAATGAATGAATGAATGAATGAATGAATCCCAGAGTTCCAGGTGACAGGGTTTGAAACAAACCAGCCTGATTATTTTCCAAGGCTCCCTTCCTACTTATTTTATTGTCCTATACACCTTCTTTTTTTTTTTTTTTTTGAGATGGCGTCTTGCTCTGTTGTCCAGGTTGGAGTGCAATGGTGCAATCTCGGCTCACTGCAACCTCTGCCTCCCAGGTGCAAGCGTTTCCCCTGCCTCAGCCTGCCAAGCAGCTGGGACTGCAGGTGCTTACCACCACGCCCGGTTAATTTTTTTGTTTTTTTTTTTTTTGGTATTTTAGTAAAGACGGGGTTTTTACCATGTTGGCCAGGATGGTCTTGATCTCCTGACCTCGTGATCCGCCCGCCTCGGCCTCCCAAAGTGTTGGGATTACAGGCGCGAGCCACCGCGCCCAGCCTCCTATACACCTTTGACTTCTTAACCATCATGTTCTATAACCTCCTTCAATTGCCCTGAGACCTTATTAGCCTTTCCCTTTTTCCTCTCTCCACCCCCAATATTAGTGCTTTCATCATGGCTACTTCCTCCCAGCCACGCTGTGGCAAACAAGGGCAGTTTGTCATCATGAGGTCACATAATATCCTTATATGAATGACTTTGCCCCAGAACCCTCCCCCGTCTTGCCAAAGGGATGTTAATTCTGTGACTGTGGATATGAGAGGAGGGGTGTGTGTGTGTGTGTGTGTGTGTGTGTGTGTGTGTGTGTAGCAGGATACATTCTTATCGTTAAAGCATATTTTTTAACTTGGAAATTCTATGTTAGCAGCTATGTCAGGTCCTGTATCTTCTTTTTGCAGAGGGTCACATTTGCTGACAACAAGTACATCTTGCTGAAATAAATTTCTGGGTTTTTGTTGTTGTTGTTGTTTTGTTTTTTGTTTTGGGACAGAATCTTGCTCTGTCACCCAGGCTGGAGGCCAGTGGCGCCATCTTGGCTCACTGAAACCTCCACCTCCTGGGTTCATGCGATTCTCCTGCCTCAGCCTCCCAAGTAGCTGGGACTACAGGTGCATGCCACCACCATGCCCGGCTAATTTTTGTATTTTTAGTAGAGACGTGGTTTCACCATGTTGACCAGAATGGTCTCGACCTCTTGACCTCATGATCCACCCGCCTCAGCCTCCCAAAGTGCTGGGATTACAGGCATGAGCCACCACACCTGGCTGCTGAAATAAATTTCTAATAAGACAGCTCTCTCACCAAAAAGCAAATGTGTTTTAAGAGACAAATGCCAGAGCAAGTGAAGAAGAGAGGCTAAAGGGTTAGAACATTTCCATCTCCTAAGAAAGTTTTATTTCACTTCTTTGCAGTTGACCTTGCCCCACCCATCTCATTTCTACCACCATAGATTAGTTTTACCTGTTTCAATGTCATGAATTGAATGAAGCAATTCCATTTCTCAGTATTTTTCCTAAGGAGATAAACAAGAGCACAAAGATAAATGGTCATGATGTTCATCACAGTGCTATTTAAGATAAGAAAAAATAGGAAACAGCTGGCTCACACCTGTAATCCCGGTACTTTGGGAAGCTGAGGCAGGTGGATCACCTGAGGTCAGGAGTTCGAGACCAGCCTGGCCAACATGGTGAAACCCTGTCTCTACTAAAAATACAAAAATTAGCCAGGCCTGGTGGTGGGCACATGTAATCCCAGCTACTTGGGAGGCTGAGGCAGGAGAATTGCTTGAACCCAGGAGGTGGAGGTTGCAGTGAGCCAAGATTGTGCCACTGCACTCCAGCCTGGGCAACAGAATGAGACTTCATCTAAAAAAAAAAAAAATAGGAAACAACCTAAATCTCTATCAATAAGGGGTTGATTAAATGCCCATACAGTGGAATTGTATGCTGCCAATAAATGAGTCATTATTATCTGTGTCTGGGTTGGCAAACTTTTTCTCTAAAGGGCCAGAGAGTAAATATATTAGGCTTTGTGGGCCACAAGGTCTCTGTTGCAACTACTCTACCCTTCCATGGTATTGCTAAGGCAGCCATACATAGATGATTTGTAAATGAATAGGTGTGGTTGTGTTCCAATAAAACTCTATTTATACTTGTTTTTTTATAACCACTTAAAAATGCAAAAGCGACTCTTACCTTGTGGTTTGCACAAAAACACGCAGTGGGCCAGATTTGGCCCAAGGGATATGGTTTGCTGAGCACTGATCTATTTTCGTGGACACAGAAAGATGACCAATTGTTGGGGTTTCACTCAACACTTACCACTTAACTTGCATGGGGTGAGCCTGTTTATATAAGTGGGGTGTGTACATGTGTACATGCATGTGTGTGCATATAGAGAGATGTTCATCAGGATGTCACCAGTGGTTACTTTTGTGATTTCAGATGACATTCATGTAATTAGGAAGAAAAAATAAAGGAGTGGAGGTTGGGGGGGGTCCCGCTATGTTGCCCAGGCTGGTTTTGAACCCCTGGCCTCAACTGATCTTCCTTCCTTGGCCTCCCTAAGTGCTGGGATTGTAGGCATGAGCCACCATGCCCAGCCTTCACTTAATTTTTTATCCTTTTCTGTGTGGCTTCAACGTTTTAATTGAGTATTGTATCAATCAATTATCCAGCTAATATAATGCTGCCAAAGTGCTCATCAGGATGCAGCAATAAGTGTTTCTTGCTTACACTGTAGTGGTTGGCTGGGCTGCTGCATATGTTGGCTGCTGGCTGATCTACAGGGGCCTCAGCTGAGACAATTGAGAGGACCTTACTCCACGTGTCCCTTATCCTTCTATGGACTAGCCCAGTCTGCAAACTTTCTGTAGCCATGGCAAACATGCAAATAAGTCTGATCATAGCTAATTACAAGCCTCTGTCCCATTGCATCTGCTAACATCCATTGGCCAATACAAGTCACATGGCTGAGCTCAAAGTGAGAGGACACTTGTAAGTTACATGGCAAGAAGCATGGACCCGGGGAGCGGTAAAGAATGGGAGTGTCATGGCAGTCTCTCACAAACATGGGTTATCTTCATAGTCAGCAAAGGCAGTACAGCTGGTTTTAAGCAGAATGGCTCCCAGAGCTCTAGCCCTGCATCCTCTGGGTGGTACAGGTGATAGACACCTGTGGAAGGACAGGTGACTGTCTATCTCAGCAGCTCCAGAAAAATTTCAAAGATTCTCATTAACTCCTATCAGGTCGCATGGCCATCTCTGACCCAATCAGTAAGGCCAAGGCACTGCAGTGTTCTGACTGTTGACTCCTGAAAATCACCTGCCCACTTTCACAGCCAGAGGTGGAGTCAATTCTACCTGAATTTTTTGGACTGAGTGTTAGGGAGGGGTGGTTCACTGGAGGCATATCCAGGATGTTACAGAGGTGGCTGGCTTGGATTAGCTCTCCCCTGAAATGCAGATTAGAGGGCCAGTAGCATATTGTGATGTGATCCCAGAGGGCACCAGTAACAGGGAGGGGGAAATGAACAGGGAGGCAAGAAAGTCGATAAAAGGAGTATTAATGAGCAGATTATTGCTGGGGGAAACTGGGTCCTCTGGGAGACTGTGTTGAAAAACCCTCAGAGAGGCCAGACACGGTGGCTCTCGCCTATAATCCCAGCATATTGGGATGCTGAGGCAGGAGGATCACCTGAGGTCAGGAGTTCGAGACCAGCCTGGCCAACATGGTGAAACCCCCCTCTCCACTAAAAAAACACAAAAATTAGCTGGGCATGGTGGTGTGAACCTGTAATCCCAGCTACTCAGAAGCTGAGGCAGGAGACTTGCTTGAACTCGGGAGGTGGAGGTTGCAGTGAGCTGAGATTGCGCCACTGCACTCTAGCCTGGGCGACAAAGCAAGACTCTGTCTCAAAAAAAAAAAAAAGAAAAGAAAAAGCCCTCTTCTTGTGGTTGTGAGATGGCATCCAACCATAACAAAATTAAAATCCCATGCCTTCCATATTAAATTCAGTACAAAAGGGTATAAGTGCTCTTGTCCCAGAAATCCCACAAAGTCTCAAGATTCACCCTGACTGGAATAGCTTGGGGCATTTAAGTAACATGCTTACCTCTGACCAAGCTCTGTGGCACTGTGTCCAGAGAAACCGGTGTACTAGTTGACTTAGGTTCGGGCCACATGCTCCAGTCCTAGGCTGGGCACGGAGCCCCATCTCGACATATGAATGGAGAGGGGCGGTTCGGAGGTAGCCCCCAGGGGCAAAGCAGGGCTTTTGCCGAGCAACAACGGGACAAATCTACATGGGAGACAAGCTACCCAAATCCACTATAAACAATCTCTGCGGCTTCAGCCAACTAGCTGAAAAGGAAGAACTCTGGGAGCTGACAGGTTGTCGTCCTGCAAACAGGTGAGGCTGTTCTTGGACCATAGAAAACCTTCTAGGGGAGCCCCATTGTTCCAAGAACTAGTCCCTTAACTGTCTGGGGCTTCAGCTCCTCCTCTGCCACTTCCTGGGCAGTCATGGGTGACTCACTAAACCTCTCCAGGTCTCAGCCACATTGATAACTTCATTGTCCATCCATCCATCCATCCATCCATCCATCCATCCATCCATCCATCCACCTGTTCATTCATTCACTAAACATTTATAAGCATTTAAGTATGCCATGCACTCTGTAGATTCTGAGGATAAACACAGTTGTTCACAGCTATATCACAGTATCTAGCACAGTGCCTGGCACATAGTAAGTGCTCAAGAAACACTGATTCAAGGAATAAATGAACAAGATAAAGTCACTGCACTCAAAGAGCTGACTGTCTAATAGAGAAAACAGACACTTAGAATTACAATATACTGGACACCTATCCAATGTGCTTCGGGTAAACAGGAAGGAGCTTGTCTGGAAGGCTGAAGAAGGCTCCACTCAGGAAGTCACAGGCCTTCAAGGAGAGGGGGATTTCAGCAGGCTGAGAAAAAGAGGCAGCACACAGCCAGCCCAGGGAATCATGTCAACAATGGCACAGAACTGGAGGAGAAGAAATTAATTTTTTTTTTTCGAGACAGAGTCTCACTCTGTCACCTAGGCTGGAGTGCAGTGGTATAGTCTTGGCTCACTGCAACCTCTGCCTCCCAGGCTCAAGCGATTCTCCTGCCTTAGCCTCCTGAGTAGCCGGGATTACAGGCACCCGCTACTACACCCAGATAACTTTTTGTATTTTTAGTAGAGACAGGGATTCACTGCACTGGCCAGGCTGGTCTCGAACTCCTGACCTCATGATATGCCCGCCTTGGCCTCCCAAAGTGTTGGGATTACAGGCATGAGCCACCGCGCCTGGCCAAAATTAATATTATTAATCACTTTCCATGGACCAGACATTTTATTTTTGCCTTTACACTCTTAGAAAGGACTAGAATTTATCCACCATGAAATCTTGGCATGCCTAGACTCCTTCTGCCTCTTGCTCTCCCCTCCTCTGGGTCTCAGCTCTCACTTAAATTATTGTGATGCTCCCCGCCCCCCAAACCCATCAGTCAATAGTTGTGTCTCCCTCTGGTTCACCATCCGAATGGCTGCCAGAGGGATTGTTTCAAATTTCAAGGCTGAGCCTCTCGTTCCTTTGTTTGGAATCCTTCAATGGCTCCACATCTCCTGAAGGCTGTGTTTAAGACCTTTTGTAATATGACCATGAATTGCATTGCATGCCCCACCCCTGGCACTCCCTAAGGTATACTTGTACACCTCCAAACTTTGCTCCCACTGCTCTTTCTGCCTTGGGTGCCCATCTCCCCTTCTGCCTCCAATTTGGGGGCTATTTTTACTCTCCAGAGGACATTTGGCAATGTCTGGAGACATTTTGGATGTCACAACTAAGGGGATGCTTCTGCAATCTGCTGGGTAAAGATTAAAAATTCTGCTAAACATCCTACAATGCACAGAAAGTCCCCCACAGCAAAGAATTATCTGGCTCGAAATGTCAGTAGTGCTGAGGTTGAGAAATCCTGCTTTGACTTTTCAGGAATGGGGAGCTTCAGAAGGATTCTCAACAGAGAGTGAGAGATTTAGCTTTGGAAACTCTGGCAGCTGTCTGTGATGGCCAAGAGGAAGGCAGGACTGCAGACCAGTGTAAATCATGACCTTTCTTCCTCTTTTCTTCCTCCTCCTGGAAATCAGTGAGGTAAGCTGGCAAGAGTCTATTGCTCTTCAGCCAGAAACACTAAGCTCTGTGGGCACTCCTCCCAGATGGCAAATGATATCTATCGCAACAAGCAAAGTGAATATGTCACATCTCTTAGGTTTCTGGGAGAGGTTTGTTTCTCCTGAGAAAGTGTGCTCACTCACACTCAACAGCTATGGGATCTTGAGAGAGTTACTTTCCTGTCTGTGCCTGTTCTCTTGTCTGTGAAATGGAGCTAATAACAGTACCTACTTCTTGGAGTTTTGTGAGGATTAATTAATATATTACAAGAGCCTACAACAGGGCCTGGTACGTAGTAAGTGTGGTTATATGTGTTAGCTCTTAACATCATCACATCTTCCTCCCCACTATCACCATCATCATCACCACCACTACCACCATCAACATCATCACCGCCACCATCACTATCATCATCACCACTGCCACCACTACCATTATCACCACGACCATCGCCATCATCACCATCAACATCATCACCACCATCATCACCATCAACACCATCACCACCACCACCATCACCATCATCACCGTCATCATCACCACCCCCACCATCACCATCATCACCGTCAACATCACCACCACCACCACCATCATCACCATCAACATCATCACCACCACCACCATCAACATCATCATCACCACTGCCACCATCACCATCACCATCAACATCATCACCACCGCCACCATCACCATCATCACCGTCATCATCACCACCCCCACCATCACCATCATCACCATCAACATCATCACCACCACCACCATCATCACCATCAACATCATCACCACCACCACCATCATCACCATCAACATCACCACCACCACCATCAACATCATCATCACCACCGCCACCATCACCATCATCACCATCAACATCGTCACCACCGCCACCATCACCATCATCACCGTCAACATCGTCACCACCGCCACCATCACCATCATCACCGTCAACATCGTCACCACCGCCACCATCACCATCATCACCGTCAACATCGTCACCACCGCCACCATCACCATCATCACCGTCAACATCGTCACCACCGCCACCATCACCATCATCACCGTCAACATCGTCACCACCGCCACCATCACCATCATCACCATCATCATCACCACCACCACCATCACCGTCAACATCATCATTTTATTTTAGAGAAAGTTTATCTGTTGAACCTGATTTGCCAGAGGTAAGAGGGATATGACTGGATATCATTCTTCCCCAAGGGTGGAAGCAAGGAGTCAACCCTCAGCCTCTGCACAATCTCCTGGCTATATCCACAGAGCTTGACTCGGGTTGTTGGCAAACCCCTGTGTCTTCACCCACCAAAACCAGTTGAGCCATGATTCCCAAATGGCTCCCACTCTCAAAATAATTCCATTGGGTCTGATCTGTTAAGTTGCAAAATAACAAAAAACTCAATAATAGGAACATAAACAGAGGTTAAATTTTCTCTAGTTACATGGAATCTGGAGGTTGGTCACAACTGGTGCGGTTCAGCTGCTCAAAAATGTCAGGGGCTGGGTGCAGTGGTTCATGCCTGTAATCCCAGCACTTTGAGAGGCCAAAGCAGGTCGACCACTTGAGGTCAGGAGTTCAAGACCAGCCTGGCCAACATGGAGAAACCCCATCTCTACAAAAAATACAAAAATTAGCCAGGCGTGATGGTGGGCGCCTGTAATTCCAGCTACTCGGGAGGCTGAGGCAGGAGAATCACTTGAACCCAGGAGGCAGAGGTTGCAGTGAGCCAAGACTGTACCACTGCACTCCAGCATGGGTGACAGAGCAAGACTCCGTCTCAAAAAAAAAAAAAAAAAAAAAGATATCACGGCTTCTGTGTCTAGAAAATTCTTCACCTGACAAGAATTCCAGATATTAGCTCTTGCTGGGGTTGATTCAGTTGTTCACAGATGTCAGTGCTCCTGTACTGCAGTTGTCTTGGCCTTCTCTCATGGCGGCAAGATGTTTCACAGCAGGAAGACCCTTTCAGTCAGGAAAGCCAACCTTATCCCAGAAGCATTCCCCTACACACAGAAACTTCCATTTGGGTTTCTTCAACAGAAAAAAAGAAAAGTTACACAGATTTGGAAGGAAGAAACCAAACTTTCTTTGTTTGCAGATGACATTATTGTCTACATAGAAAATCCTAAAGAATTAAATAAAAAACCCTCTTGGAACTAATAAGTGTGTGTAGCAAGGTTGCAGGATAAAAAGTTAACATACAAAGGTCAACTGCTTTCCCACATACCAGTAATAAACAAGTGGCATTTAAAATTAAAAACACAATGCCATTTATATTAGCACCAAAAAAGAAAGAAAAATAAATACTTAAGTATAAATCTAATAAACATATACTGGATCTTTATGAGGAAAACTACAAAATTCTGATGAATGAAACCAAAGATCTCAATAAATGGAGAGATAGTCCATGTTCATGGAGAATTTTTCCCAACTTGATCTTACGGATTCAGCACAATCCCTATCAGAATCCCAGCAAGTTATTTTGTGAGTATTGGCAAACTGATTCTAAAGTTCAAACAGAAAGGCAAAAAGCCTGGAATAGCCAACACAATACTGAAGAACAACAACCAAGTTGAAGGACTGACATTACCTGACTTTAAAACTATAAAATAAAGCTACAGTAATCAAGACAGTATGGTGCAGGTGAAAGAAGAGACAAAAAGAATAATGGAACAGAATACAGATCCCCAAAATATACTGACACAAATACAGTCAACTGGTCTGTGACAAAGAGGCAAAGGCAATCCAGTGGGAAAAGGATAGTCTTTTCAACAAATGTTCCTGAAACAACTGGATGTCTACATGCAAAATAATAATAATAAATTTAGACACAGACCTTACACCTTTCACAAAAAATAACTCAACATAAATCGTGGACCTAAATGTAAAATACAAAATTATAAAATTTCTAGAAGATATCATAGGATAAAATCTTGGATCTCAGTGTCCTTAGGTTTGGCAATGAGTTTTTGGATATGACACTAAAAGTATAATCCAGGAATGAGAAAAAAAATTGGTGGTTTGGAGTTTATGAAAATTGAAAACTATATTAAATTTGAAAATCTTTGCAAAACACATGTCTGATAAAGGACCTGTATCCAAAATACACAAAGAATTTTAAAACTCGACAATAAGAAAACAAGTAACCCAACTAAAAAATGGGCACAACATATCAACAGACAACAAATAAGATATACAGATGGCAAAAAGCATATGAAAATATGTTCAACATCATATGTCATTAGGAAATTGCAAATTTCCTAATTTGCAAACATTGACATATGCATCTTAAGTCACTAGGAAATTGCAAACAATGATGAGATACCACTATACACTTACTAGAGTGGCTAAAATCCTCAAACTGACAATATCAAAAGCTGACAAGAATACAGAGCAATGGAAACTCTCACTTGTTGATAGAAAGGCAAAATGTTACAGCTAGCTTCGAAGACACTGGCAGTTTATTGCCAAACTTTCTTACTTTTACCATATGATCCAGCAATTGTGCTCCTTGGTATTTACTCAATTGTGTTGCAAGCTTATGTCCACCCAAAAACTTGCACATGAGTGTTGATAGCAGCTTTATTCATAATTGCCAAAAATTGGAAGCAACAAAGATGTCTTTCAATAGGTAGAATGGATAAACTGTGGTACATCCATACAATAGGGCACTATTCAGCCACAAAAGAAATGAGGTGTGAAGCCTGGAAAAGACATTGAGGAACCTGAAAAGCATATTGCTAAGTAAAAGAAGTCAGTATTAAGAGACTACATACTTTCTGATTTCAATTACGTGACATTCTGAAAAAGGCAAAACTATGGAGACAGTAAAAAAATCAGTGGTTTCCAGAATCCAGGAAGAATAGGTAGAGAATTGGGGATTTTTAGGGAAGTAAAACTATTCTTTATTTTTTTCTTTTTTTTTTTAGAGACAGGGTCTCATTCTGTTGCCCAGGCTGGAGTGCAGTGGCATGATCATAGTTCACTGCAGCCTCGAACTCCTGGGCTCAAGGGATCCTCCTGCCTCAGCCTCTGAGTAGCTGGGACTACAGTGCACCACCATGCCTGGCCTGTTTTTTGTTGTTGTTGTTTGTTTGTGTTTTTTGGTAGAGACCGGGTCTTGCTATGTTGCCCAGGCTGGGAAACTATTCTTTTTGTTGCTACATGTGTGGATCCATGGCATTATACATTGTTAAGACCCAGAACTTGGCTGGGTGCATTGGCTCATGCCTGTAATCCCAACACTTTGGGAGGCCGAGGCTGGTGGATCACTTGAGGTCAGGAGTTCAAAACCAGCTTGGCCAGTATGGGGAAACTCCGTCTCTACTAAAAATACAAAAATTAGCCAGGCGTGCACCTGTAGTCCCAGCTACTTGGAAGGCTGAGGAGTGAGAATCGCTTGAACCTGGGAGGCACAGGTTGCAGTGAGTTGAGATCACGCCACTGTACCCCAGCCTGGGTGACAGAACAAGACTCTGTCTCAAAGAAAAAAAAAAGACTCAGAACTGTGCTGCAGAGGTTAGGCACAGTGGCTCATGCTTGTAATCCCAGCACTTTAGGAGGCTGAGATGGAAGGATAACTTCAGCTTAGGAGTCTGAGACCAGCTTGGGCAATGTAGCAAGACTGTCTCTAAAAGTATAAAAAAAAAAAAGCCTAGTGTGGTGGCATGTTCTTGTAGCCCAAGCTACTCAGAAGGCAGAAGCAGGAGGATCCCCTGAGTCCAGGAGTTCCAGGCTGCTCCAGCCTGGGCAACAGAGTGAGACCTTGTTTCCAAACAAGCAAACAAACACAAAACAAAACAAAACAAAACAAAACCCCGAGAAACAGTGAAACAATGTATGCTATGGACTTTAGTTTATAATAATGTATCAGCATTATAAGGAAGGCACTACACACTAATGCAAGATGTTGATAAAAGAGGAAATTTTGCATGGGGGAGAGGGATGTATGGGAACTCTCAGTACTATCGGCTCAATTTTTCCATAATCTACAATGGTTCTAAAAAATAAACTCTATTAGTTTTAAAGACCGAAAGGCTTGGAAACAAGTAAGCGTGTTAGGATATAATGAGGATTGAGCTTATACTGAGGCAAGACTTGGGAACCCCTAGATGGGGGAACAGAGGTTTTACTATCTTGGTGCCTTTGGACCTGCTCCCAGGACTGACGGAGCAGTCACAGATAAAGTCTGGGCATCTTGGGCAGGAACTTGAACAGTGGGACTGTATGCAAGAAGACATTTATTATCTCTCTTGCACCCGAGAACAATGCCCTGTTTTCTTTAACTTTGTAATTTGACATAATTTCAGACTGGCGGGAAAGTTGGGAGAAGAGTACAAAGAATTCCCGAAGTCTCTTCCCCCAGATTTCCTGAATGTCTTAGCCTCTGACCACAGCTGTGCTTTCTTTGCCTGTCTTCTCAATGCCACGTTCATCTCCATTTCACAACCAAGCAACAGACCAAGGCAACAGGCTTCGACTTTGCTTCTTTCTCATTTTCATCCTGATAAGAACAGCAATTGACATTTTGAATGCCTAATCCACGCCAGGCACTATTCTAGGCACTGCGATACGTACCTTGCCATTTCACCATTTCATAGCCCTATGAGGTGGGTCTATTATTATCCCCATTTTACAGATGGGGAAACTGAAGCACAGGGAGGATGATCTACTTTGCCCAAAGTCACATAGTCAATACGTAGCAGAGTTGGTATGCCAATGCCGGCAGTCTAGAGGCAAGCGAGGAAACCGACGAAGGATGACTTGACTGGGAAAACAGGATGGGAGCCCAGTTTGGGAGTCCAGGAGGGGATATAGCCCAAGCCATACATTCCCAAAGGACTTCAAAGGTAGACTTTTGCTGTCGTCTCCCGATGACATGGGGCACAAACTCAGAAACACAGACAGGACAAAGGCAGCTTGCAGGGCTGAACTGCCTGGGATGAAGCATCAACCGTGTGGGTGTGCGGATGTGTGAGTAATGAGTGTGAGGGAGTATGAGTGTGGACGGGAGTGGAAGTCACACCTAATCCAGAGGATTCCTATTCCTCCTGAAACCCAAGCTTCCAGGAAAGCCCTTCCTGTGGCCTTCTCTCCCTAGTCCTCTTAGCGTCTGCCTGGGCTGCCCCCAGTACGGGGTTTATTACACTCAATTGCTTACATCTGTTCACTTCAATTGCTTACGTCTGCTCACTTGTCAGTGCCCCAACCAGGTCCTCAGGGCTAGGAAGCAGGGGCTGGATCTATTTCTTGCTCTCCCTAGCCCCCAGCTCACGACTTGGCATATGGAGGCATCCACAAACAGATGCCGAAGGATGGGAGTTTTTCCACACTCCCACGCCACCTCCAGGTATTTGCTCATGCTGTCCCTTCCACCTGCATGTTTTTCTGCATTGATTCAGGCACTGGTCAGAGGTCACCTCCTCCAGGAAGCCATCCCTGACCCCAGGGAACTGACTTATCTTTACTGTCACTTCCGGGGGTGGGTTGGTGGCTGTCTTGCTCACTTGGTTGTAAGGTCTCAGAGGGCAGGGATTGTGTCTGTTTCATGTCTTCAGGTCTGCGTCATCAGCGCTTGTCACAAGGTTAGACACACAGTAGGACCAAGACAGACCAAGTACATGAAAGAATGATTGACATATGGGCCAGGCGTGGTGGCTCACACCTGTAATCCCAGCACTTCGGGAGGCAGAGGCAGGCAGATCACCTGAGGTCAGGAGTTTGATACCAGCCTGGCCAACATAGTGAAACCTCATGTCTACTAAAAATACAAAAATGAGCCGGACGTGGTGGTGCACGCTTGTAATTCCAGCTACTCAGGAGGCTGAGGCAGGAGAATTGCTTGAACTCAGGAAGTGGAGGTTGCAGTGAGCTGAGATCACCCACTGCACTCCAGCCTAGGCAATGGAATGAGACCCCATCTTCAAAAAAAAAAAAAGAATGATTGACGTG
This sequence comes from Homo sapiens, assembly GCF_000001405.40. Taxonomy (NCBI): domain Eukaryota; kingdom Metazoa; phylum Chordata; class Mammalia; order Primates; family Hominidae; genus Homo; species Homo sapiens. The sequence goes on from NC_000016.10 coordinate 27,312,558, forward strand.
CAGTGGCCCCTGCCCTGGGAAGCCAACCCTCACCCTCCACCACAGCACTTGATCCCATTGGGCAGTCCTTGGCTTCCACCCTCAAACTGAGAGCTCCTTGAGGGCAGCAGGGGGTCAAATTACTCTCTGGGTTCTCAGCACTGCCCAGTGTGAGTCCAAATATCTCCCACCTCCCCTGTCTCCGCTCTTTCCTCACTCAGGGCTCCACAGCCATGCCGGCCTTCAGCAATTCCTCCTGCAGGCTGAGCTGGTTCCCACAGGGCCTTTGCACTAGCTCTTCCCTCTCCCTACACAAGTCTTCCCCCATAGGCTCTTCAGAGTCTCAGCTCAAATGGCCTCTACTCAAAAAGCCTCTTCCAGACCACCTGCCCCACTGGTCTAAGAGGTCCCTACTTTCTTCTTGGGCCCTCCTGACCTGAAATACTTTGTTGAGTGTTTTCCCCCCAGTCATCTGGCTGCATCCGGGTTCTTATGGTGTCCAGACGTTAATGGTCTATGGGGCCTGTGTTCGAATCCCAGCTCCACCCCTGCTCCTGCTTACCTGCAGAGTGATTCTGAGTTTCTTTCTTTTCTTTTTTAAAATTTTATAAATGTCAATTTTTGTAGATAGGGGTCTCGCTAACAGGGTTGCCCAGGCTGGTCTCGAACTATGGGGTTCAAGTGATCCTCCCGCCTCAGCTTCCCAAAGTGCTGGGATTACAGGCATGAGCCACTTTGCCCAACCCATTTTGAATTTCTTAAGGACTCTGTGCCTCAGTTTCCTGATTTGTAAAACCGGTGATAGTATCACTCCCTTATAGGGTAGTTGCCAGGATTGAACGAGTTAACATTTGCAGTGCCCGACAGATTGTACTAGTTACTGATTGAAGGGCTGTTTTACTATCCAAATGTGGCTGGAGTAGGAGTTGGGTAAACATTTATTGAAGAATGTGCAACCACTCTCACTTGGAAGCCGGGCTGTTAGGAAGGGGAGGAGGATTCCAGTCGCCCAGCCCTCCCCCACCAAACGCAACTGCCCCGGCGCAAAAGAGGCCGCGGAGGCCAGGCAGGAGCAGGTCCTGGAGGCCTGGTCGGCGTGGGCGTTTTATTCCGAGACCAAGGGGATCCACTGCAGAGTTCTCCGCTGGGCGTGACCTCGGGCTACGGCGTGGGAGGAAGCGCGCGGCAAGACACCCAGCGAGGTGCTGGGGTCGCCCCCAGGAGAGGACGGCGGCTCGGACTGTCCGGCGGCGGCGGCGGGGACAGCGACAGGGGCGCGAGGTGGCCGGGACCCGGGCCGGGCGCGCCGGGCGGGGCGGCGCATGCAAATCTGCCGGGCGCCGGGGCGGGGAGCAGGAAGCCGGGGCGGGCTGGGTCTCCGCGCCCAGGAAAGCCCCGCGCGGCGCGGGCCAGGGAAGGGCCACCCAGGGGTCCCCCACTTCCCGCTTGGGCGCCCGGACGGCGAATGGAGCAGGGGCGCGCAGGTAGGATCCGGGGCCCGCGCGCGGATCGGGTTGCGAAGGTATCGCCCGGGCACGCCGGCTGAGGGCGTTCGGGAAGGGCTCGGCCGCCGGCGGGGACCACGGGGACCACCCCGACTCCGAGCGGGGCCCGAGCCCGCGACTCTCGGTGCGCGCGGAGCAGCGCCCGGTTCCGTCCTTGCCGCCGAACGGCAGCGGAGGCGCGAGGCCCGGGGTACGTGGACACCCAGCGCTCCCCAAAGCCGGTGCTGGCAGTGAGACCTCCGCCGGGACGGCCTGCGGGGGTGGGGGGCTTGGGGTTAGGCTGTCGGAGGCCACGCAGCCCCTCTTCTCCGGGCAGTGGCGCCCAGCCCTGCGCTCAGGAAGTCAGTGAGGACTTCGGAGAGAGAAAGGGTGGGGAAAGTTCTGAGAACTGTAAATTTGAGTAGTAGGTCAGTGAATCGGGGCGGTCTCCGCCTCCGAATATCAGATGGACCCAATAATCGCGATCATTGACTGGGACTTGTTTTACTGAAAGGATGCCAAGTGAAACCTCCCACTAACTTCTCTGTGGCCGGTGCTGTGCGTCATGGACATTGTACAGATGAGGTCACCAAGACCCCAGCCGCTTTAGTAACTTGCCCTAAGGTGCCGCCCACTTGGGAGTCCGTGGGGCAGCAGGACTAGAGCCCAGGCAATCCCACGCCAGAGCCAGCTGCTCTCCATCTCTCAATCACGTTTGAGGAGCCCCCACAATAACCAGAATCTCCGGGAGATTTGCTTAAAATGCAGATTCCCAGGTCCTTGCCCTGAGATTCAGATTCAGTAAACCCAGGAATCTGATCTTTATTTTATTTTTAAAAATTTATTTTATAAAGATGGTGTCTCACTATGTTGTCCAGGCTGGCCTCAAGTGATCCTCCCACCTCGGCCTCCCAAAATGCTGGGATGACAGGTGTGAGCCACTGAGCCCTGATTTTTTTTTTAAACAAAATCTGGATTTCTTAGACTTAAGCAAGATAGGGGACCACTAGTTTGTCTGCTTCTGGGGTTCAAGGAATGCCCCCAGGCCAGCGCTAACCCTGCTCCAGTTCTAGTCTCTCCCCTTCCCCAGCCCTCTGGGAGGCATGACCCACTGCACTTCCCTGCCCCCAGTAGCCTATGAGGAGCCCAAGGCATTTGCTGGGACCTCAGTGCCTTTATCAAAATCCCAAAGTCCAATGGGGAAACAGGCTCAGGTGTAGGTTTGGCCAGGGTGTCCTGCACATTAGGGCATTCCAGGGTCCTGCAGGGGTTTCTTAGAACTCGGCTAGCCCAGCCCATGAATGGGAGGTGACCTGCTAAGCCACTCATTCACTCACTAGCACTCATTCAGCTCCTGCGAGGCCCTGGGTGGTGTTCTGGGCACTGGTGCTTGCCTCAAGGAGCACCCCCTCTGCAGGAAGACAGACGTGAGGGCTGGGAGGGTGCGGATGCACCAGCGGCTGCAGGACCACAAGCCAGAGGGGATCAGCTCTTCAAAGGTCACTGGGCCAGGCTTCCCAGCACCCAGGGACCCTGAGCTAGCCTTGTGAGTAGAGCAGGGGAGTCTGGCAGGTAGAGGATGGGAGGTAAAGGGAGGCACAGAGTGGGCGGAGGCTGGGAAGTGTGAAAGGGCACTGTGTACAGAACCTAGGGAGTAAGCAGAAGCCAGAGATGGATGGAAAGTTGGGCTGGGCTGCATTGTGGAAAGCCTTGAATGCCATGCCAAGGAACTTGGGCCAGTGTATTCACCTTGGCTTGAGTTGTAAAAGCAACAATGCAGATTCCTGGGCCCCACCCTGGGCCTCTGGATCTGAATCTGGAGGGAGACGCTGGGGAGGCAGCAGGGAGGAAAACCTGCAGTCACTCACCCCATTTACAACACATGCAGTTACCGGCAGGTCCGAGATAACCTAAGGGTTTCCAAATGCTAGGAAGTGACTCAATGACTGATATGTTTAATACAATACAATCCCGGTTGCAAAATGCCCAGGGCAAGGGTGGGGGTGTTCAGTTTTCTAATGCTCCCAGTTCAAAAAGGAGCTGAAATGAATTGTCAAAGAAGTGACAAGCTGGGCGCAGTGACTCACACCTGTAATCCCAGCACTTTGGGAGGCTGAGAGAGGATCGCTTGAACCCAGGAGTTTGAGACCAGCCTGGGCAACATAGTGAGATCCTGTTCCTACAAAAAAAATTTAAAAACTTAGCCAGGCGTGGTAGCAGGTGCCTCTAGCCCCAGCTATTTGGGAGGCTGAGGTGGGAGGATGGCTTGAGCCCAGGTGGTCAAGGCTGCAGTGAACTATGATTGTGCCACTGCACTGTAGCCTGGGTGACAGAGCGAGACTCTGTCTCAAAATAAACAAATACATAAATACATGAGAAGAGAGAACCTTTTCTACCTCCCCCATCTCCCTGCCCTCTTCCACCCACCCCATCTGGGACGATGGAGGAGAGCGTTTGGGATTAGATGCCCCACCTCTCGACTGCCCTCACTGGTACCTGGGAGTGAGGCCAGGACAGAAGCCGCCTAAGTACTGTTCTTCCTCACATTTGTAAAAGTGAACTTTCTTGAGGGTTGATGACATGTTTTATAAGCTACTTCACACAATGTCCAACACCCAGTGGGTCCACAATCAATGTATATGTCTGTTGTTACCTGTCAAAACGTATAGCTGGGGAGTGACAGTATGGACTTGAGCCAGATCACCCAGTGCAAATGCTGGCTTTGCTGCTTACTGTGTAACTGACTTCCCAGAGCCTCAGTTTCTGCATTTATGAGATTATAGTGACTATGCCATTGTAGTGATGACTAAATGAGTTAATATATGTCAAGCATACAAAACAGTACCTGGTATGTAGTACAAACTATGTATTTGTTAAATGAATACCTTTTTTTTTTTTTTAGAGCCATGGTCTCTCTCTATTTCCCAGGCTGGAGCACAGTGGCACAATCATAGCTCACTGTAGCATCCAATACCTGGGTTCAAGTAATCCTTCCACCTCAGCCTCCTGAGTAGCTGGGACTACAGGTGTGTGCCACCACGGCTGGCTAATTGTTTTTATATTTTTAGAGACAGGATCTTGCTATGTTGCCTAGGCTAGTCTTGAACTGCTGGTCTCAAGCAGTCCTCCTGCCTCAGCCTCCTAAAGTGTTGGATTTATAGATGCGAGCAAACGTGCCTGGCCTAAATGAATAAATCTTTACTGTTGCCTCCTTTGAGCTTTATTGGTTGGGATTTAGTCCACTCATTTTGCAGGTGAGAACTGAGACCCGGAGATGAATGCAGTAGCCTTGCCTCAGGTCCACATCTGAGGGACAGACTCCATCCTACTTTTCTTCCCATGTATTCTTTCCTGCTTGTACCAGTTCACTGGGGTGACCAAGAAAGACATTTCTGAGTTTTCCTCCTGGCTGGCACAGTGGAGACATGCCCAGCCACGTTTAGCTAGACTTACCATGGCTGGGCTAGAAGAGAGGCCAGGAGCTTGTCTGGAGGTTGCACAGACCTGCCCTTGGTGAATGTGGATCGGAGCGCCCCGGCAGAGGCTTGAGGTGCTACAGAGGCTGGGGGATCCACTGTCAGACCGGGTGCATCACCACTGTTTTATGATATCCAGCAAATTGCTCTGCGTCTCTGAGCTTAAGGCAGAGAGAAGGGCCTGAGCTTGAAGAGGGGATCCCAGGTTTAAATCGGAGCTGGCTACTTCCCAGCTCTCCACTGTGTAATCTGGAGGAAGTTGTTTAACCTCTCTGAGCCTCCCTTTGTTTTGTCATGGGTGTTTGCAGGGAGAGCATTCATGAGATAGTTTGTATAGACATTTTGCCCTTGGAAGGCGCTCAGTGATTGCTGTTTTTCTCTGCATTTTGGACCGAGTCCCTTCTGCGTATCCAGCACCTGGCTTCCTCCTGCATTTCTTCCTCAGGAATTTATTGAGCACCTATATGTGCCAGAGCATCGGACCAAGTCCTTTGCTCTCCTGGGGTTTAGATTCTAGTTGAGCATACAGGCAATGTACAACCAATACATATGTTCAGATCGGCAGCTTTATCTGTTATTCTGAAATCCACGATTTCTGAAAACCGAAAGTTTTTCATAACTCATTTTGAAGCTAAACTTGAGGCTTTTTAGAGTCTTCATCCTCTTCGGTGTGATGCTCAGATGTCTTTCTGCAGAGATATTAGTGCAATTGATCTTTGGGTGCTTTCCCGCCCTGCATGATGGGCATGTCGGTGGGTATTTTATACAAGGTGACCTTTCTACAGCCTGAGTCATCCTGAATTCTGAACTATGTCTGGCCCCCAGGATTTTACAGGAGAGAACATGGACCTGCAATATCCTATCAGGTGGAGACTGTGCTAGGAAGGAAAGCAAAGCTGGGTGCAAGTGGAATCAGGGAGGGCTTCCCTGAGGAGGTGACATTTGAGAGGGATGAGGAAGAGAGGGCCAGGTGGAGGGACTCACAGAGGACGGAAGACTCCACTTCCTGACTGGCCTGTGCTTACCCCTCATTCTGCATGCACAGTTCTGTCTAAATGCGTCCGTTCTTGCCTTTCCAAGAAGTGCTGATGTCTCTTACGTTTCAAGTCTAGCTCTGACTGACTCATTCTCTCTTTAGGTGCCCCCACAGGCCTCCTCACCTCTTCTCGTTTGCTTAAGAAATCTGAGGTCTGCGCTAAAGCCAGCCTGGGTGCTGTAACCTCTCGGCCGAGGATGGTGCCCAGCTGGGCTTGCATCTGGAGTTGGAGGAAGTGGGTCCCGGGAGGGGAAGAGGAGCCGTGGGGCCTTCCAAGGGTTTGGTGGAATTGAGTTCCTGGTGGGGAGGGGCTGTGTTCTGGGTCTTAGAGCCTCTCGCCTGCAAAGCAAAGTTGAACGTAACACGCGCTCACATATCTCGAGTGCCAGCCCGGGGCTAGGTGCTTAACGCTTGCTTAGCCAAAGTGCCAGGGGCTGGGGACACGGGAATGAGTGACCCAGAAATGAGGGCCCTCATGGAGCTGAAAGCATTCTGGGCTTGGTGACTTTGAGGAAGTGGCTTTTGAACTGAGACCTGAAATACCAAGGCATGTGGATATCTGGGGAAAGAGTGATCCTGGCAGTGGGAACAGAGAGTGCAAAGGCCCAGAGGCATGAATGAGCTTGGTGTGTTTGACCCACAGCAAGGAAGCTGGTGTGGTTGGATGGAACCAAACAAGAAAGAGGTCTAGGAGCAGAGGTCAGGGAGGGAGCTGGGGCCAGATACCTGCATTGTCTCATTTAACTTGTGTAATAACCCTACCAGATAGGAGCTACTCTCATGCAAATGTTACAGATGAAGTAACAGAGGCACAGAGAGGTTCAGTGACTTGTCCAGGGTCACACACCTGAAGGTGGCAGAGCAGGGCTGTGAACCTAGAAGCTCCAGAGTCCTCAGTCCTCACCATGGTGTTTAAACACAATAAAATCTATGCCTGAGTGCTGAAGACACACCTGCCATTTAGATCGATCCACTTTTTTACATTGTCGGTGTACTCCCTGCCATCCATCTGCCCAGAAATACTGTGAATGTGGGCAGCGCAGGACTGGTTCCTCCAAGCCCCATTTTACAGACAGTCCAATCATTTTACATATTATTTTATGAATGAGCACCTTCCTCAGTGTCTCAGACCAGGGGTCCCCACACAGCAGGGCCACACAGCAGGAGGTGAGTGGCGGGTGAGTGAGCGAAGTTTTATCTGTATTTACAGCTGCTCCCCATCGCTCGCATTACCACCCAAGCTCGGCCACCTGTCAGGTCAGCTGAGGCATTAGATGATTCTCACAGGAGCACAAACCCTTTTGTGAACTGCACATGTGAGGGATCTGGGTTGCGTACTTTTTCTTTTTTTTTTAAGACGGAGTTTCGCTCTTGTCGCCCAGACTGGAGTGCAATGGTGCGATCTTGGCTCACTGCAATCTCCACCTCCCCATGTTCAAGTGATTCTCCTGCCTCAGCCTGGTGGCTGGGATTACAGGCCTGTGCTATCACACCCAGCTAATTTTTGTATTTTTAGTAGAGACAGGGTTTCACTGTGTTGGCCAGGCTGGTGTCGAACTCCTGGCCTCAGGTGATCCACCTGCCTCAGTCTCCCAAAGTGCTGGGATTACAGGCATGAGCCACTGCACGCGGCCCTGGGTGCGTGCTTCTTATGAGACTCTAATGCCTGATGATCTGTCACTGTCTCCCATCGCCCTTGGATGGGACCATCTAATTGCAGGAAAATAAGCTCAGGGCTCCCACTGATTCTGCATTATGGTGAGTTGTATAATTATTTCATTATATGTTACCATATAATAATAATAGAAATAAAGTACGTAATACATGTAATGTGCTTGAATCATCCCGAAGCCATGGCCCCAACCACGGCCTCTGGCAGTGGAGGCTGGAGTCCACATCACGCTCTGTGCTGGGTGCAGGAATGGAGATGAGTGGGTGTCCTGCTCATTTCCCTGAGGAGGAACCTGAGGCTCAGGCTAGAGACTTACCTGGGTGACACGGCTCCTAAGTGGCAGAGTCCAGATTCAAACCCAGGGCTACAGACCCAGAAGCCTGTGCATTTAACCACGGTTCTGAGCTATCCAGCCCAAAGAGGAGAGTTTAAAAGGATTACATTTCTTCGTTGGAAATCAGTGAGCATAGTCGCCCAGAACCATTTTTGAAAAACTCAGAGAAGGCCTATGTTTTCCTGAAGCGGCCAGGGAAGTATTCTGCCTTTTTAAAAGGGAAGACTGAATTCTAGGGAGGAGAGGCACCAGCTCTCTGGGCTGGGCAGGTCTCCAAGCTGGCAGGGCCACAGCCTCCCGACGGTCTTGCCTCTAGCATATTTCTTCCAGAAGCCACATTTCCACAGGTGGGCAGCTCTAACTGGGAGAAAATCTTCCTGAGATTTAGCCAAATTAGCTTTCTTTCTTTCTTTTTTTTTTTTTGAGATGGAGTCTCACTCTGCTGCCCAGGCTGGAGTGCAGTGGCGCAATCTCAGCTCACTGCAATCTCTGCCTCCCGGGTTCAAGTGATTCTCCTGCCTCAACCTCCCGAGTAGCTGGGATTTCAGGCACACACCACCACGCCTGGCTAATTTTTGTATTTTTATTAGCAATGGGGTTTCACCATGCTGGCCAGACTGGTCTCAAACTCCTGACCTAGGGTGATCCGCCCACCTCAGCCTCCCAAAGTGCTGGTATTACAGGTGTGAGCCACCGTGCCCAGCCCAAATTAGCTTTCTAGGAGCTTCCACTTTCTGAGTCTGTTTCTGCCTCTTGGAGGTAGTGACCATCTCCCTCCAAACTCGGATACTTCTCTTATTCAGACTACACAACTGTAGTTATTTCAGGTATTCTCCCTGACTCAGGAAATTATAAGTTTGGCCTGCCTTGGCACATGAGTCAACTGGTTGGAGTCCCACGCAAAGACTGTTTGTTTGGTCAAAGAGGAAGGAGACTATTACCTCCTTGGATCTAGAGCTTATACTTCTGTTGATGCAACCTGGAATCATACTGTGTAGCAGCCATATCCCACTTGGAGTGCATATTGGGCTTGTCAGCTAAAATCTCCATGTTTCTCTTCTATATGAGCTGCTGTTAATCCAAGTTTCTTCTATTCTGAGAGTCCTTGTCTAAAGCTAAGAGGTTCCAGTTTTTCATGCTCTCTAATAAATCTACTTCAGGCTAACATGCTATCATTTTTTCTTTGAGTACTGCTTTGGTTTCTTTCCACAACTTGTTACACAATGTTATTCACTGCCCAGTTTAGAATTTCCCTTTTGGTTCCCATTTTAAGACTTATTTAATTATATGCTTTTTAAATTTTTGAGACAGATAGAATTTTTTAAGTTATCTTTTTATTGTTGATTTCTAAATTTGGTCATCATGGTTGTTGTGGTCAATATATGTGGTTCCTATAATATCAGTGGTAGAGAATTTGCTGAGATCTTTATAGGATTTTCTGGTCATTTTTTTCCTCTTGTGTTTGAAAAGAATGTATATTTTCTGTTGGGTATAAGGTTCTAGAAATGTATCTATTTGATCAAGCTAGCTATTATATTATCTATATTTGTTATGTCACTATGTGGTTTTTTTTTTTTTACCTGATTTACCTCCCACCGTAATACAATTACAATTCACCATAATAGAGGCTTTGTTAAGTTCTCCTTTTGAGTCTGTCAGTTTTTTGCTTTATTTTTGAAGCTATGTTGTTAAGTGCATAGCCATATGAGTAGAATAAGGGTTCAGGATTTTTATACCTTTTTGGTGAATTGTTGCATTTTCCCGAGTAGCTGGGACTACAGATGTGCACTACCACGCCTAGCTGATGTTTGTGTTTTTTGTAGAGATGGGATTTCGCTATGTTTCCCGGGCCAGTCTCAAACTCCTAGGTTCAAGCAGTCTGCCCACCTCAGCCTCCCAAAGTGCTGGGATTACAGGCATGAGCCACCGCAGCTGGCTGAATTGTTCCTTTAATCAGTATAAAAGAGCCAACTTCCAGCCTGGGCAGCATAGTGAGACCCCATCTCTACCAAAAACTAAAAATTAGCTGGGTGTGGTGGCGTGCACCTGTAGTTCCAGCTACTTGGGAGGGCGAGGTGGGAGAATCACTTGAGACCAGGAATTCAAGGCCGCAGTGAGCTATGATTGCTCCACTGCACTCCAGTCTAGGTGACAGAGTGAGACATTCTCAAAAAAACAAAAACAAAAAAACCATCCACCTTCTCTCTTCTAATACTTACTCAAGACATCATTGTCATGAATTCTATTTTATTGATGTCAGTACTCCTGTACTAATAAGCCAGATGAGTTAAAAACAACAGCAGCCTTGCAACCAGCCATGAAGCAAGTGATCTTATTCTCATTTCACAGATGAGGAGACTGAGGCTCTGAGTGGACTCCAGCCTGCCACGGTCTCCCACCGAGTCAGGTTGGAGCCTGCACTTAGGCCCAGAGTTATGCTTCTGTGTCTCAGATGCTTGGGGGTCCCTGCCCACAAAGGTGGCCCCCATGTCTGTGTGTCCCCACCCATCCAGGAATGGTATGGGGTGAGACAACAGGAAGAGCTCCATGGGTAGTCCCCACCCACTGCCTTCCATATGCCAGTCTGCAAGCAGAAAATGAACGGGAAGCTCTTACCTGTGCCCATGTGTTGTCCTGGCTTTGGGTTTGCCCAGGGGGCAAAGTCCTGGTCATTGTTGAGACAAGTTCACTGCTGCTGAGGGCCGAGCAAATGGTGACAAAGGCCAGATTCTAAATTCCTACCTGGTTACTTCCTGCTCCGTCACCATCACCTCGGGCAAATTCTGAACCTCCCTCAGCCTCATTCCTCCATCTGTGCTTGCAGGGAGAATATTTTACTGTATCTTCCATAGTGAGCTTTCCAGGAGAAGCAAAAAAGAGTGGTGTATAAAAAAGCAAGTTTATGACTGCTTCTGTGCCAGGCACTGTGCTGTGCACTCCAGAGCCAAAGGCCTGGGTTCAAATCCCAGCCCACTCACTAGCTGTGCATCCTTAGGCAGGTTCCTGACCCTCTCTGGGCCTCGGCTTCTCCATCTCTGCAATGGAGATGATATTAATTGTATCTGCAATGCTCCTTGGATTGGGTCCATGGTTAAGTGAGTGAGTGAGGCTCAAGGGCTTCTTTTTTTTTTTTTAGAGATAGGGTCTCACTCTGTTGCCCAGGCTGGAGTGCAGTGGCATGATCACAGTTCACTGCAGCTGCGACCTCGTGGGCTCAAGCCATCCTCCTGCCTCATCTCCCTTAGTAGCTGGGACTACAGGCATGTGCCACCATGCCTGGCAATTTTTTTTTGTATTTTTGGTAGAGACGGGGTCTTGCCATGTTACCCAGGCTGGTCTTGAACTCCTGGACTCAAGTGATCTACCTGCCTCAGCCTCCCAAATGGCTGTGATTACAGGTAGGAGCCACCGCGCCCAGCCTTCAAGTGCTTTTTTTTGTTAGTGAGACTGGTACAACCAATGCCAAGGCTGGTGAGCAAAGTTGCACCCAGTTGGGGAGGGGCGAAACCAAGGGCAGAAGGGCCCAGGGCATGGCCTCTCATGGCTGAAGGAAGAGGGGACACGTGGCCAGTCACAGTGACCTCTGCAGACCTCAAGAAGGAGGCCAGCTAGGAGCCATAGCTGTCACTAAGACAGTCAAAATCTAATCAGCACCCTGGCGCCAAGAGGCCATTGTCCGCTGCTCAGGACAGTGAGTGATAGTCGATAACCAGCTCTCTGGAGGTCAGGGCCCCGAGGTGGCTGAGATCTGTGCCTGCATTAGGACATTTAAGGGGACTCCAAGCCAGGATTTGCTAGTGTTTGCCCAGCAGGGAGAGGTGGAAAATTGGGGATGACCAACCAGGCCTCCCTGCTCACAGCCAGGGGAATTCATCCTGTCGTTCTTCCATTCAGCAAATATTCATGGAGCACCTGCTGTGTGCCAGGCACCGTGCTAGGCTCTGGGGAGATGGCTGTGAGCGGGATCGACACTGGCCTTGTGTGAGCTGGCCTTGCAGTAGGGGATATGAGCACCAAACACATAAGGCCCGAGTGTGCAATATGCCACAAAGATTGCAGAGAAATAAAGCAAGATAACAGGTTGCAGAAAGATGGAGGCCAGGCTGGCTGCTGTTCCTGGGTAGGTGGCTTCTGGACACAGTTTCCTCAGGCTCTGTTTCCTCCTTTGGGCCTCTGGAATCTTCTGAAGACAGGCCTGGCTTCCAGGATCCCGGATGGAGTTGCCTGTTGACTGTGTGGACTCAAAGTGTCCACAGTGCGCCGGAGCGCGTGGTCTTCCCCAGCAAATCTGCTTCTCTTCTCGGCTCTCCATCGTGGGAAGGGTCCCTGGGATCCTCCCCACCACCCCAGCCTGAGGCCACTTTCCCTCTGTCCCCGCTCTCCCCAGCCTGCTTTCCCCACCAAGCGCCACCAAGTCCCTGCTGCCTCCTCCTCCCAAACAGGCTCAAACCTGCCCCCTCTTCGCCAGCTCTCAGCTCAGCCCGCTCCTCTCCTGCTTAAGAGCCTTCACTGGCTCCCCACTGCCCTAGAGACAGAGTTTGAGTCTACTGCCATGGCTTGGCAGACGGTGTTGTCCCCGGCCTGCCAACCTTCCAGCTGCCATCCCAGCCAGTCCTTCTCCCCCTTGCTCCAGCCAAGGGCCCCGCTTGTAGGGTGGGAAGTGGGCCGTGCCCTCCCTCCTGCCTGCCTATTCGCTGGGTCTTCCCTCATTCCCTCCCTCACCCCGCCCTCTCATAAGAACCTTCAGAATCTGCCAGACGCAGTGGCTCACGCCTGTAATCCCAGCACTTTGGGAGGCTGAGGTGGGTGGATCACCTGAGGTCAGGAGTTTGAGACCAGCTTGGCCAACATGGCAAAACCCTGTGTCTGCTAAAAATACAAAAAAATTAGCTGGGCGTTGTTGTGGGCACCTGTAGTCCCAGCTACTCGGGAGACTGAGGCAGGAGAACTACTTGAACCTGGGAGACAGAGGTTGCAGTGAACTGAGATCCCACCATTGCACTCCAGCCTGGACTACACAGTGAGACTCTGTCTCAAAAAAAAAAAAAGAACCTTCAGAATCATAAAATGGGTTTAATAATTATACTTATCTCATAGGGAGGGCTTAAAGCACCTAGGCCAGTGTCTGGCACCAAGGAAACACTGTATACCTGTTAAAATAAGAATAAAATAAAATACACATGCTCACTTATTGAGTGCCTGCTGTATGTCGGGCCCCTCCCCGAGAGAACTCTGGTGCATCCCCGATAAAGAAACCTGACCCTCTAGGATGAGGGAGGGTCTTCCCTGAGCGCCTGCTAACAGCCTCCTCTGCTAATCTGAAGTCCTGCAGCTTGCCCAGCAGGCTGGCTTGTCACACGGGCTACCCCCACAGGCCGCCATCTTGGAAAAGGCCAATGGCTGTGGAATCATTCTTGACTCCTATTAGCCTTCCTGTTCTCTCTCCCGCCCCACAGCATCCATCCTGTCAGCAAATCCTGTGGGCTCTGTCTTCAACACAGATCTAGAATTCAGCCCCTTCTCAACCTCCCCATCTCCGCAGCCTGGTGTGAGCCCTGGCACCTCTCTCTGGGGCCAGTGTGGTAGCCTCCTCACTGCTACCCACTTCTACCCGTGCCCCCACCACCCAAGCAAGAGAGGTCTTTTTTAAAGTCTCATCATGTCACTTCTTTGCTCAAAACGCTCTGGCAACTTCTTCCTTGCTCAAATATTTGTTAAAAGAAGAAAGGAATGAATGAATGAATGGCCTGTTTGCATCTGTAATAGCCAGCACATAGGCAGTACTTGGAAAACACCCACAGCAAGAATAAATGAGGAGATGGCTGGACACGGCAGCTCATGCCTGTAGCATGTTGGAAGGCCGAGGCAGGAGGTTTGCTTGAGGCCAGGAGTTTGAGGTTGCAGTGAGCTATGATTGTGCCATAGCACTCCAGCTTGGGCCACAGAGAGAGATCCCCATCTCTACAAAAATTTAAAAATTATTCGAGCATGGTGGTGTGTGCCTGTAGTCACAACTACTTGGGAGGCTAAGGCAGGAGGATCACTTGAGCCCAGGAGTTCAAGGCTGCACTGAGCCGTGACGGTGCGACTGCATTCTAGCCACAGAATGAGACCCTGTCTCTAAAGCAAAAAAGAGAAGGAGAATAAGTGAGGTACTTGAGCAAGTGGGTGAGGATGGTTGAGCCACAGCAGGCCCACAGGGAGGCTGGTGGGTGCTGTTGGTGGAGGGGGCCGATTTGTGTTCCTGGTGGCTGCAGAGCCAGTCTGTTGCCTCCCCTCCCTCCCACTGGCTGGGCTGGGGACGGAGCCAACCAGGCAGATCCCGGGCCATTCTGGGGCCCTGGCCTGGCCTGCCTTACTATCCCAGTGGGGCCACCGACGTGGCTGCCATTTCTGGAAACCCCAGTTCTAGGTAGGTTACTGTCCCAGGAAGAAGTGCATGCCTAGCTTCCTGCCAGCCCAGCCCAGCTGTCCCAGAAGCCAGAGGAAGCTCTGGGCTGGTTTCTTATAAGTAGCATGACTAACTGATTGCGCCACAGGAGCTGAGGTTTCAGGCCAGTTTCTGTCGTGGAGTTTCAGGGGTCAGCGGCTCCAAAGCCCCAGCCCCCACCCGAGGCCCCTGCTGTCCCTGGATTCCTCTCCACATGCCACCTGTCACAGAGGTGCTTGCATCCTGTCTGCAGAACCAGCCCCTCCTCCAAGCCAGGTTTCCTGCCCAGAGGGAAGAAGAGCAGAAGGCCTGTACCGCCCCCTGTGCGCCCCCAGTCCTCCGCCCCCTGCCCCCCTGCCACCCGCTGTGGGTTCGGGAAGAGTCCTGCTGGGTCGCTTCCAGGCTGCTGCTGGCTTCTGACATTTCAAGGCTTAATCACTTAATCTCCCCCGAGTTTTTTAAAAAAAGTGAGTCAAGTGTGTTCTCCTGGTGGCGGGCGTGTTTTCCCAGGCCCATGCTTCTGCTCATTTCCTGGCTGCGGCCTTCACTGACTTTGCTGCTTCCTAACTCTGTGACCTTGGCCTTGTCACTTGCTGTCTCTGGGTCTCAGGCCAATGGGTCTCAGGCCAGTGGGGCTCCCCGGACAAAGTTCCAGGGTTTTGGGGACTGCATTTCAAGGGTCAGCAACCACAGTCCTTAAACACGTGGATTTTGGAGTGACAATGCCTAGGTTATGGTTCTGTGACCACCAGCAAGTGCTCTAGCCTTTTTGTGCCTCAGTCTTCTCATCAGTAAAATGGGAATGTTAATGGCACCTACCTCATAGGGTCGTTGGGAGAACCAAATTGATTAATATATTGTAAGTACTTAGAACAGGGCCAGGCACAAAATAAGTACTGCATATACAGTTAACTATGGACAAAAGCTTGGGACCTGGTTCATGTTTAAAAATGATTATTGAGGCCAGGTGCGGTAGCTCATGCCTGTAATCCCAGCACTATGGGAGGCTGAGGCAGGCGGATCAGGAGGTCAAGAGATCGAGACCATCCTGGCCAACATGGTGAAATCCCGTTTCTACTAAAAATACAAAAATTAGCCAGGTGTGATGGCGTGCTCCTGTAGTCCCAGCTACTCAGGAGGCTGAGGCAGGAGAATCACTTGAACCCACGCGGAGGTTGCAGTGAGCTGATATCGTGCCACTGCACTCCAGACTGGTGACAAAGCTAGGCTCCATCTCAAAAAAAAAAAAAAAAAAGATTGTTGAATTTATTATTGCTGAATTTTTTTTTTTTTGAGACAGAACTTTGCTCTATTGCCCGGGCTGGAGTGCAATGGTGTGATCTCAACTCATTGCAGCCTCTGCCTCTTGGGTTCAAGCGATTCTCCTGCCTCAGCCTCTCAGCCTCCCGAGTAGCTGGGAATACAGGCACCCACCATCATGCCCGGCTAATTTTTGTATTTTTGTAGAGATGTGGTTTCACCATGTTGGTGAACTCCTGACCTCAGGTGATCCACCTGCCTCGGCCTCCCAAAGTGCTGGGATTACAGGCGTGAGCCACTGTGCCCAGCCTATTATTGCTGACTTTTAAACCATTCATTCATTTAATATATGTTTATTGTACACATGCTATGCCTGTGTCAGGCACTGTTTCAGGCACTGGGGATAAAGCAGTGAGCACAGCAGACATAAAGCTCTGCCCTCATGGGGCTTGTGGTCTCTCAGAGGGAGGCAAACAATGCATTTATAGACAAATACATAATTTAAATTTGAGGTTACCTATTATACTCCCAACTTGAAAAACTAGCAGTATATTGAGGTGGCTATTTCACATCTGATGGAGGAATATGTCTTTTGTGAACCATTTATGTTCTTTGCCTATTTTTCTTAAAGGGATGTTTGTCTTATTGATTTGTAAGAACTCTTCATATATTAAGGCCATTAACCGTTCATAATGTAGATTGCTACCTTTTTCTAGTCTTTTGCTTGCTGATATAGTTGGGATGTCATCCTCTCTAAATCTCTTGTTGAAATGTGATCCCCAGTGTTGGAGGTGGGTCCTGGTGGGAGATGTTGGGTCATGGGGACGGGTCCCTCATGGTTTGGTTCTGTCCTTGCCATAGTGAGTGAGTTCTCACAAGATCTGGTTGTTTAGAAGTGTGCGGCACCTCCCTCCTCTCTCTTGCCCTGGCTGTCACCATGTACGCCTGCTCCCCTCTTGCCTTCCCCGTGAATAAAAGCTCCCTGAGGCCTCCCCAGAAGCCAAGTAGATACGGGTGCTATGCTTCCTGTACAGCCTGCAGAGCCATAAGCCAATTAAACCTCTTTTCTTTGTAAATTACTCAGTCTCAGATATTTCTTTATAGCAATGCAAAAATGGACTAACACACTTGAGTTCTGTCTTTTTCTTATGGCATATTTTAATCTAGGCCAGACACAGTGGCTCATGCCTGTAATCCCAGCACTTTGGAGGCCAAGGCGGGTGGATCACTTGAGGTCAGGAGTTTAAGACCAGCCTGGCCAACATGGGGAAACCCTGTCTCTACTAAAAACACAAAAAATTAGTTGGGTGTGGTGGCACACACCTGTAATTCCAGCTACTCGAGAGGCTGAGACACAAGAATCGCTTGAACCCGGGAGGTGGAGGTTGCAGTGAGCCGACATCACGCCACTGCTCTCCAGCTTGGGGAACAGAGCAAACCTCCGTCTCAAAAAAAAAAAAAAAAATCTAGGGAAGTTGAAAACATTTTGCAGTCAAAGCTATCTTTGCTATCTGCATCTTGAAATAAAATAAACATTCATACATGTAACCTCATTAATCTGATTAGAGATAGTGATAAGTACTGGGACAGACATAAACAGGGTGCTGTGATAAGAAGTCACAGGGAGGGCCCGCATTAGTTGAGGGGGGTCAGAGAAGGCTTCTGAAGTGTTTCTGGTGCAAATGCTTGGAAAAGGGAGAGCTGGGAGTGTATCCCAGGGCTGAGGCCAATGGAGGATTGCAGAAGAGGGAGAGGGGATAGGAGGGGAATGTTAGAGGGATAAGCAGGGGAATTGGCTCTTTTCTTCATTTTCTTAAATTAAACTTTTTATTTTCAGATAATTAAAGATTTACACACAGCTGGAAGAAATCATAGAGAAGCCGGGCGTGGTGGCTCATGCCTATAATCCCAGCACTTTTGGAGGCTGAGGCGGGCAGATCACTTGAGATCAGGAGTTCGAGACCAGCCTGGTCAGTATGATGAAACCCCATCTCTACTAAAAATACAAAAATTAGTTGGGCATGGTGGCTTGCCTGTAGTCCCAGCTACTGGGGAGGCTGAGGCAGGAGAATCACTTGAGCCTAGGAGGTAGAGGTTGCAGTGAGCCGAGATCACACCACTGCACTCCAGCCTGGGCAACAGAGTGAGACTCCATCTCAAAAAAAAAAAAAAGAAAAGAAAAAGAAAAAGAAATCACAGAGAGACCCCTGCTTCTATGCTGTTCCCCCCGAGGGCAAGATTGTAGAAATCTGTAATACAGTATCACAGCTGGGATACTGACACTGATATAAGCTACTGACCTTATTGGGATTTCCCGATTTACTTGTACTCATTTTTGTGTTTGCGTACGCATGTGTGGTTTAGTGCTATGCAATTTTATCACGGCATAGGTTTGTGTATGCAGCCAGGATCCAGCACAGTTCTATCATCACAAGGATGGCTCAAATTCTCCTTTTATAGCCACATCCAACTCCCTTCCTGACCCACCCCCTCAGCCCCTGGCACCCACTGATGTGTTTTCCATTTCCATGGTTATGTGATTTCAAGTATGTTACATAAATGGAGTCACGGGGTGTGTACTCTGGGAACTGGCTTTTTTCACTCTAGGGCTTGGATTTTATTCTAAGTCAGAGATGCTTCTCTAATGAGCTGTGAACCCCCTGGGGATCTGTGGCCCCTGTGAAGAAGCCCTTTAGGAGCCAGGGGGCATTGGATGTGTGAGCTGGCCCTGGTCTCATTTCTGATTTTAAAATGGCTCTGGCTGTGATGTGGAGAAGAGGCAGGGTGAGCCTCATCTGCAGCAACTGCTAACTGCCCACATCCCCCCAGACTTCTCAAAAATTTGCCACTCCCCTGCTCAAAGACCCTCAAAAGCTGCCCACTGCTTAGAGGACAGGCCTTTGACCTGAGGTCCTCACTTGGGCTTCAGGGATTCTGTGAACCCCTAAAATGGAATGCAGAATTAAGTGTATGCACCTTGCCAGAAACAGGGTTTGGGGTTTACATTAGATGCTCAGATAGGTCATTGATCCCCAAAACACTAAGGTCTCTGACTTCTAGACAGATAGTAGTTAAGAACCAAAGCTTTGGAGCTTGAGTGCTGGATTTAAGACCCATGACTGTCACAGCTGTGCAACCTCAGACAAATCACTCAGCCTTTCTGTGCCTTGGTTTCCTCATCTGAAAATGGAGAAAATAATATTACCTATTTCATAGATTATTAAATGCATTCTTGTATGTAAAAGATGTAAAAGAAAACTTGGCATGTGGTAAACTCTGTGTGTTTAAGTGAATGGTGAGGCTGCCCAGTATAGGAGGGCAGAGCTTTCCAGGTAAAGACTTTCTAGGCCTCCTGGGATTATCAGGCCCTCTCTGTGTTGGTTGTTGTCATACATGACAGCAGTATTCCTTCCAAAGGGATGCCAAGTTGTGGTTGCACACTGCACTTAGATCCAGTTGATTGACAGCACTGTTCAAGTCAACTGTGTCCTTACTGATTTCTGCCTGCTGGATCTGTCGATTACCAAAAGAGTTGAAGTAATAGTAATAATACTATTATTATCCAATAATAGTATTATTCAGAATAATCACACAGATTTCTCTATTTCTCCTTGCTGCTCTCAGTTTTTGCCTTACATATTTTGACCCTTTGTTGTTAGTTGCCTACACATTAAGGATTGTTATTTACATCTTCTTGGAGAATTAACTCCCGAATCATTATATAGTGCCACTTTTTTTTAATTTAAAAATTTTATTTTTTATTTTTTGAGACAGGATCTTTCTCTGTTGCCCAGGCTGGAGTTCAGTGGCATGAACACAGCCCACTGCAGCCTTAACCTCCTGGGCTCAAGTGATCCTCCTGCCTCAGCCTTCCCAGTAGCTGGGGCTACAGGCATGTGCCACCTCTAATAACTTTTCTTTAATTTACAATAGTATTAGTTTGTTCTCATGCTGCTCTAAGGACATGCCCAAGACTGGGTAATTTATAAAGGAAAGAGGTTTGACTCACAGTTCTGCAGGGCTGGGGAGGCTTCAGGAAACATATTATCATGGCGGAAAGGGAAGCAAAGACATCCTTTTTCACATGACGTCAGGAAGGAGACACGCCAAGGAAAGGGGGGGAAAGCCCTTTATAAAACCATCAGATCTCAGGAGAACTCACTCACTGTCACGAAAACAGCATGGGGGAACTGCTCCCGTAATCTAATCACCTCCCATGAGGTCCTTCCCCCAACACGTGGGGATTACAATTCATATTACAATTCAAGGTGAGATTTGGGTGGGGACACAGAGCCAGGCCATATCACATTATTATTAATTAGTGCCTTCTCTCTCATTTTTTTGATTCGCCTAGGTAGAGATTTATCAATTTCATTGATCTTTTCGAAGAACCAATTTTTGATTTCATTGATTTTCCTCGATTAATTTTCTATTTTTAATTTCATTGATGTATGCTCCAATTTTGTATTTTTTTCTTCTGCTTGTTTTAGACATATATTGCTTTTCTGTTTCTAGTACTCTAGATGGAAACAGATTATTGATTTTAGAACTTTCTTTCTAAGATATACATTCAATAATATAAATTTCCCTCTAAGCACTGCTTTTGCTACGTCTCACCGATTTTGATAGGCTATATTTTCATTTTTATTTAGTTAAAAATATTTTTAGTTTCTCTTGTGATTTCTTCTTTGATCCATATGTTATTCGGAAGTGTGTTTTTAAATCTCCAAATACTTGGAAATTTTCTGGCTTTCTTCCTGCTAGTGACTTCTAATTTGAATCCATTGTGGCCTAAGAGCATATGTTGTGTGATTTCTAATGTTTTCAATCTCTTAAGGTTGTTTTATGTCCCAGAATGTGGTCTGTCTTGGTGATTATTCCACATGAACCTGAGGAGAATGTATATTCTGCTGTTGTGAGATGTAACAGTCTATAAATGGATACCTCTGTTAATATGACCTCGGGTGACTCTTTTTTTTTTTTTAAGTTGCTGCTTCACCATTGGCTTTTGGAGATTTTGCAGATGATAAAATCCTCAGGACTTTTCTGCTGCTCAGTCAGATTTTCTTATCCTACACTTGCGGAACTGTTGTTTGAAATTGACAAGCAGGATGGCCAACTCTGCCCGGCTCATTTTATTTCATCTTATTGGGTTCAGCCTGCAGTTTTAGGAGATGAGATTGAAGGAACTGGTATACTGGAATCCACGGTGGGCTCGGAAGCAAACAAACGTGGGTTCTGATTCTAGCTCTGACCTTTTACCAGCTGTGGGACCTGGTGGATGGGTTATTTGGCCTCTCTGGCCTCAGTTTCCTTAGCTAGACAGTTGGGATAACAGCCTACCTTTCAGGATTCTTGTGTGGATTCGGTGAGGTAATACTTCTAAAGCACCTAGCAAAGTGTCAAGTACAAGGTAAGTGCTGGGCAAGCAGGGATTTTGTTCACACAAAGCCTTGACTCAACATAAGGAGGCTGTTTCCAATGGCTCTGCTTAACTGAGACCTGAGAGTGATTGCTCCATCTGTGGTGGCATATGGGCTGAAACTGCCTAGCAGCATGTCAGAAGTGGGGTGTTCGCAGGACATCCTTGTCCAGGTTGGCAGTTGAGCTTGGCAGGTGACCGCTGAGACCCCTTCCAACTCCACCACTTCAGGAATCTCTTTTTTTTTTTTCTGAGACAGTCTTGCTCTGTCACCCAGGCTGGAGTGCAGTGGCTCAATCTTGGCTCACTGCAAGCTCCGCCTCCCGGGTTCAAGCCATTCTCCTGCCTCAGCCTCCTGAGTAGCTGGGACTACAGGCACCCGCCACCACGCCCAGCTAATTTTTTGTATTTTTAGTAGAGACTGAGTTTCACCATGTTAGCCAGGATGGTCTCGATCTCCTGACCTCATGATCTGCCTGCCTCAGCCTCCCGAAGTGCTGGGATTACAGGCGTGAGCCACCGCGCCCAGCCAGGAGTCTCTTGATTTAGAATGGGAACTTGAAATCATCTCCTCTTGCCGTGTACTTGAACGCGATAACCTGGCACTTATCTTTTTAATTCTTTTACTCACCTGCATCTTTGTTCTTTTTGCCTCTGATGTTCAGGGAAGCCTCTTCTCCCACTGCATCTGTGATCTCTCCTGAAATGTAGCACCCACACATCCCTGAGAAGCTAGCTGCGGCACGTGTGTGTGCACATGGGCATGCGTAAGTCTGGGCGTGCCTTCCACAACAGATTAAGGATATCAATCCTGACGCCATGCTGGGATGTTTTAGTGAATCTTGACAGGGTTGTTGACTCCCCTGTTTCCCTGGAGGACTTTACCATGAAAGTCTTCTGCTGTGTGACTTTGGACAGGCGTCTTGGCCTCTCTGTTTCTCTTTATTCATAATTGAGGCTAAAGTGACACCTTTGCCATCTCTGCCACAGGATACTGTGGGCATCTGTGTAGTTGTGAGAGTAAAAGTTACTAGGACTTGCCAAGGAAATCAGTGTCAGGAACCCACCACCCCATTCCCGCCCCTCCTTTACTTGAGACTTTACTTTTGTAACTCTCAGCAAGGAAGACGAGTTCAACCTTTGAGCCGATACAGAGCCTTCCCCTAGAGAGAGCTTTGCAGCCTCATGCTGAGCCAGTTAGGGGCCCCACATCATGTCCAAAATGAATTTAATCAACAAACAGTTACTGAACACGTCCTATGTGCCAGGCACCGTTGTAGATACTGGGGACTCGGCAGTGAATGGGACAGACCCTGGCTGTCAGGATGACAGACAATTTAAAAAGGGACAGATGTCCCACGCTGGCTTGTCCTTTGCACCCCTGGCACTTCGTGAGGAGCAGCGGCCAGTTCTTGTATATAGACTGGCCCTTGGTGTACATTTGTCTGACGTTTCCAAATGATGTATGCATCCTTGGCAGGAACCCAGGAAAAGACATGCTGTGCTCTTCTCAGGAATTGTTTCAGGGAGGTGATGTTGGGGATTTGTCCCATTCTTGTTGGTGAGTTTAGATCACTTGGTGAAGGTGGTGTCTGCCAGGTTTCTGTATTGTAACGTTCATTGATATGTATTTTCACTCATTAGTTAATATACAATACAAGTTTTGCAGGGAGTTACTTTGAGGCTGTCATAGTAAAATAGAGCTTTCCCTTCTTCCCTGTTTATTTATTTATTAGAGATGAAGTCTGACTCTGTTGCCCAGGCTGGAGTGCGGTGGTGCGATCATAGCTCACTGCAGCCTCCAACTCCCAGGCTCAAGCCATCCTCCTGCCTCAGCCTCCCAAGAAGTTGGGATTACAGGCACACACCACACTGCACCCGGCCTCCTCCATTTATTGATCTATGTCAATACAGACTCCTGGACTTTAACTCCAAGGGTTACAAGTGGATACCATAATATTCATTTTGATGCTCAAAATGTGCCTGTTTTGTCCAGGTCAGGCTAGCTGCTGAGTACTTCCTTATTGTCTGGCACAAGAATTCCAAGCCTATCTGGTACTTTTCCTTCTCCTGGAATCAGCTATTTCTCTAAGGCGCTCTGGTTCCTTTCAGTACAGAATAGTATTTAGAAGCCAAGACCTGGTCACTAGGAAGGCATGATAATCAAATGTGATGAATGATCTTGGATTGCATCCTGGACGTATAAAGGGCATTATTGAGGCAATTAGCAAAACATAAATAGGGGCCGTGGATGAGATAGTGGTGATGCATCACTGTTAATTTCCTGATTTCGATGGTTGTATTGTGATTATGCAGAGAATGTCCTTGTTTTTCTGACATGCACACTGAGGTATTGGGGTAATTTATTCATTATGGAGATATGTGAGTGTGTTTATGTGTCTCATACACAGATGTTTCTTAATGATGGGGTTTTGTCCCCATAAACTCATCATAAGTTGAAAATATTATTAAGTCAGAAATGTACTTCATACTCCTAACCTACTGAACGTTATAGCTTAACTTAGCTCGGAACACTTGCATTAGCCTACAGTTGGGCAAAGTCATCTAACACAAAGCCTGTTTTGTTATAAAGTGTTGAATAGCTTGTGTAGTTTATGGAATACTGAGAGTGAAAAACAGAATGGTCGTATGGGTGCTCCAAGTACTGCTTCTACTGAACACCCATTGATTTTGCACCATCATAAATTAGGGGAAGAGAGGAAAAGCACGCGTAAGGGAGGAAGGGCCGGGTACAGTGGCTCACGCCTGTAATCCCAGCACTTTGGGAGACCAAGGTGGGCAGATCGCTTGAACTCAGGAGTTCGAGACCAGCCTGGGCAACATAATGAGACCCCATCTCTATCAAAAATACAAACACTTAGCCAGGCCTCATGGTGCACATCTGTGGTCCCAGCTACTCAGGAGGCTGAGGTGGGAAGATTGCTTGAGCCCGGGAGGTGGAGGTTGCAGGGAGTCGAGGTTGTGCCACTACACTCTAGCTTGGGTAACAGAGTAAACTCTGTCTCAAAAAAAAAAAAAAAAAAAAGGAAAGGGAGGAAGGGAAGGTCCCTCCAGGTGGAGGGGACAGAGAGAGAAAAGGCATGGAGGTGGGACTGAGTTTGGTGTGTTTAAGAAGTGCAGGTGGCAGCCGGGCTCAGTGGCTCACGCCTGTAATCCCAGCACTTTGGGAGGCTGAGGCAGGCGGATCACCTGGGGTCGGGAGTTCAAGACCAGCCTGACCAGCATGGAGAAACCCTGTCTCTACTAAAAATACAAAATTAGTTGGGTGTGTGGCCCATGCCTGTAATCCCAGCTACTCAGAAGGCTGAGGCAGGAGAATCGCTTGAACCTGGGAGGCGGAGGTTGCAGTGAGCCGAGATCGCGCCATTGCACTCCAGCCTGGGCAACAAGAGTGAAACTCTGTCTCAAAAAAATAAAATGAAATAAAATAAAATAAAATGTTAAAAAACAAAAAAGAAGAAGTGTAGGTGGCAGGCGTAGGATGCATGGGTGCTGGGCCCAGGTGGAGAGGGAGGTGGAGCCCTGCTGGGGGGAGGGCCTTCAAGTGTGCCCAAGTCACTCGGAGAGCATCCAGCAGGGGCCTAGAGCTCCTGAGGTGGCCTTAAGTTCTTATGATGCCCCAGACACTGCACACAGTGCTTCAGAGGCAACACCTCCGTTCCTGTTTGCTGCAAGCCTGTGAGGTTAGCCTTGGAACCATTCCTGTGCCACAGAAACACAGCCAGAGCACCAAAAGAGAAATGCTGTTAATGGCAAAGAACTACTCACTAGCAGAACAAAGCCTGGGAGCTGCTTTTTTGAATAAGATCCCAGGAGAGAGACCCAAGCGGGAAGTGAAGGATGGGCACTTGAAATGTTGCAGGGAATATAACCCAGCGCGTGCTGTTTTCTTTTTTTCTTTTTCTTTTTTTTTTTTTTCTCTTTTTGCAACAGGGTCTCACTGTGTCGCCCAGCCTAGAGTGCAGTGGTGCCATCTCGGCTCACCACAACCTCCACCTCCTAGGCTCAAGCGATTTTCCTGCCTCAGCCTCCTGAGTAGCTGGGACTACAGGCACGCGCCACTACCGCCCGGCTAATTTTTTTTTGTATTTTTGGTAGAGACAGGTTTCACCATGTTGGCCAGGCTGGTTGTGAACTCCTAAAGTGCTGGGATTACAGATGTGAGCCACCACGCCCGGCCCCAGTACACACTTTTTGGAGGGTATTTGACGTTATGTACCAGGAGTGCTGGGGAAAAGTACACACTTGACTCCGTGAGATTCTGCTTCTTAGCATTTTTTTCTTTTCCTTTTTTTTTTTTTTTGAGACAGAGTCTCACTCTGTCACCCAGGCTGGAGTGCAATGGCATGGTCTCGGCTCGCTGCAACCTCCGCCTCCTGGGTTCAAGCAATTCTCCCACCTCGGCCTCCCGTGTAGCTGGGACTACAGGTGTGCGCCACCACACTTGGCTAATTTTTGTATTTTTAGTAGAGACAGGGTTTCACTATGTTGGCCAGGCTGGTCTCAAACTCCTGACCTCGTGATCCGCCCACCTCAGCCTCCCAAACTTTCTGTTTTCTTTTCTTTTCTTTTTTTTTTATGACAGGGTCTTGCTGGAGTGCAGTGGTACGGTCTTGGCTTACTGCAGCCTTGACATCCCAGGCTCAAACGATCTTCCCACCTCAACCTCCCAAGTAGCTAGGATTACAGGCATGCACCACCGTGCCTGGCTGATTTTGTTTAATTTTTGTAGAGATAAGGTCTCACTCTGTTGCCCAGGCTGGTCTTGAACTCCTGGGCTCAAGCCATCCTCCCTCCTTAGCCTCCCAAAGTGCTGGGATTACAGGTGTGAGCCACCACACCTGGCTTCTGAACATTTTTTTCTTAATGATAATAGCTGGTGCTATGGGCTGAATGTGTTCCCCCAAATTCATATGTTGAAACTTCATCCCATTGTAGTCATATTAAGAGATGGGGCCTTTGGAGAAGTGATTAAGTCATGAGGGCTCTGTGGTTGGTCATGAATGGGGTTAGTGCCCTCATGAACGGGCTGAAGGAAGTGTGTTTGCCCCTTCTGTCATATGAAGACACAGCAGCATGGCATCGTCCGTGAGGAATGGGCTCTCACCAGATCTGGATCTCCTAGTGTCGTGATCTTGGACTTCCCAGTCTCCAGAACTATGCATTAGAAAATTTATTTATTTATTATTTATTTATTTTGAGATGGAGTCTTGCTCTTGTCGCCCAGGCTGGAGTACAATGACGCGATCTCGACTCACTGCAACCTCTGCCTACCCCAGTTCAAGCGATTCTCCTGCCTCAGCCTCCAGAGTAGCTGGAATTACAGGTGCCCGCCACCACACTCGGCTAGTTTTTGTATTTTTAGTACAGACGGGGTTTCTCCATGTTGGCCAGGCTGATCTCGAACTCCTGACCTCAGGTGATCCACCCACCTTGGCTCCCCAAAGTGCTGGAAATACAGGTGTGAGCTACTGTGTCTGGCCTGAATAATAAAATTTAAAACAATTTTTCAAAAATTCACCATGAGGTCTCACTATATTCCCTAGGCTGGTCTCAAACCCCTGGACTCCAAGTGATCCACCCCACCTTCCCGAGTAGCTGGGACTAGAGATGCACACCATTGCACCCAATAGAGCAATACGTTTCTGTTCTTTGTAAATTACCTGCTCTAAGGTATTTTTGTTATAGCAGCCTATATGGACTAAGCTGACTTGTAACGTTACTTGAGACTTTAAAGTGTTCCGGTCACTGTTGGAGGGCTCTGTCTGTGTTAGCTCATTTAATCCCCACAACACCTCAATCAGATGGGGCTATTCTTAGTCCCACTTTATAGATAAGGAAACTGAGGCATGGAAGCACAGCTTGCTCAAGGTTCACATCTAGTCAGTGACAGAGCAGGTATTTAAACCTCAGGAAATAATCAGAGAAACATGTGTAGAGGGTTGTCCAAGGAAGGCCACATCCAGAAGCATCTCCCAGGACAGTTGTTGTGTAGCTCACCCTCTGGACTTTGTGGGTCTGGGTGTTGTTTCATGATTATAGAGAGAGCTCTGTGAACGTGGAGGACCTGTTGTCGGCAGAGACACAAATGGCCAGGGCATGGCTGGGCAGCCGCAGTGGCTCAGGCCTGTAATCCCAGCACTTCGAGAAGACCAGAGGGGCAGATCATGAGGTCAGAAGTTCAAGACCAGCCTGGCCAACATGGTGAAACCCCGTCTCTACTAAAAATACAAAAATTAGCCAGGTGTGGTGGTGGGCACCTGTAATCCCAGCTACTCGGGAGGCTGAGGCAGAAGAATCGCTTGAACCCGGGAGGTGGAGGTTGCAGTGAGCTGAGATTGCACCACTGCACTCCAGCCTTGGAGACAGAGCGAGACTCTGTCTCGGAAAAACAAACAAACAAGCAAACAAACAAACAAATAAATGGCCAGGGCAGGGGAGGGTTGCATATTGAATAAGATGAGCTCTGCTGGAAGCACAGGTCAGCACTAACCTGCTTCCTCTCTCTCTGCAGGTGCCTTGGCATCTCCCAATGGGGTGGCTTTGCTCTGGGCTCCTGTTCCCTGTGAGCTGCCTGGTCCTGCTGCAGGTGGCAAGCTCTGGTAAGTCACCACTTCTCAATCATTCATTTGTTGGCTATTAATGGCGTGCCAGGGTCCTGCAGTATGTCACCTGGCCTTATGGAGATTACACTGCAGTGGGAGGGGACAGCCAATGACAAGTGGCCCTGATTATCAGTAAATTCTAAAGATTGTTAGAAAGTGATGGGAGCCGGGTGCAGTGGCTCACACCTGTAATCCCAGCACTTCAGGAGGCCGAGGCAGGAGGATCGCTTGAGCCCAGGAGTTCGAGGTCAGCTTGGGCAACATAGGGAGACCTTGTCTCTACAAATAATAAAATATTAGCCAGGTGTGGCAGTGCACGCCTGTAGCCCCAGCTACTCAGGAGGCCGAGGTGGGAGGATCCCTTGAACTCAGGAGGTCAAGGCTGCAGTGAACTGTGATCGCGCCACTCCACTCCAGCCTGCGTGAGAAAGTGAGACCCTGTCAAAAAAAAAGAGAAGGTGATGGGGAAAGAACACAGAACAGCATAAGAGGGGGTTGGGGAAGCTGGGTGGAGTGGGGGGGATTGCAGTTGAAAGTAGGGAAGTCAGGGAAGGCCTCATTGAGCTGACTTGGAGGAAGCGGGAACCGTGCAGATGTCTGGGGAAGGCTCATTCTTGGCAGAGAGGCCCTGCACTGAGCCTGGCGGGAGGGTTGAGCACAGGAGGGAATGTGGTGGAGGAGAGTGAGCAGCAGGAGGGAGCAGTGAAGGTCAGCAAGGTGACAGAGTGGCTGAATCAAAAAAGACCTTGCAGTGTTTGAGCAGAGGATCCATATCATCCATTATGTTCCAAAGGACTCTTCAGGATGCCGTGTGGAGAAAGGAAGAGGGTGGAAGCCAGGAGGTCTGGAGGGAGGTCTGGAGTGGAGGAGATGAGAGGCTCCGGATCCCTCTGGGAGGTAGATTTGAGGACAGATTGGAATTGAGGTGAAAGACAGAGAAAGAGAAGTGGCCAGGATGACTCCAAGATTTCTGACCTAAACTACTGGGAAGGACGCGGTTGTCATTTCTGAAATGCAGAAGGATGCCAGAAGAGAAGGTACTTTGGGGAGGGGCGGGAATCAGGAGTTAGTTTTGGACATGAGATAAGCTTGGAATATTTATTTGCTATCTAAGACAGCTCCTTAACATGGTAAGCCCTTATGCAAGTTGTTGTCAGCTGAGATGGGCGTGGCACTGAGCATGGGAGCATGGAGGCGCCTGAGTGGTCTCATGCTCAGGTGGTTTAGCAAACTCAGTGTACATCCTGCCAATTCCAGTCCTGCCATGGCCACTGACAAGCTAGGAGGGCGCTGAAAGGAGAAGGACCCCGATGTCTCCTCCAGCCCATCCATCTCCTCTCTCCCATTGGCCAAACCCAACCGGAAACTAAAGGCCAAGGGTACCCGGTGATGAAGACTGTGGTATCAGCCTCCTGAGCACAGAGAGGGCAGAAAGGGGTGGAGACAAAGAGGGGCGCAGATAGTGGGCAAATGGGGAAGTGGCACTTCCCCTAGCTCGAGGGCAGAGGCTTGGTGTGATGGAATGGCACTCCTTAAACTGCTACATATTTTCCCTTTAATTTGGCCAAGAACAAGTTGTCAAGTTTGTGTGAGATAAAGGTGCACTTGGTTCGTTCTTGTCTAATGGCCCCCGCACCCATGGGTATTTCTTCAGCTTCCACAGTCATCCCGACACTAGCTGGGAAGCTCCAGCAGCCCTGGTCCTGGCCCCAGCTCTGTGGGCGCTGGCCCTCAACTTTGCCTGCACTGTGCTTTTGTGCTATTCCCCTTGGTCCTGTTTGGGTGCAAGTCCCCCTCACGCATTGAGTTCCTGGGCCGCTCAGGCTGCTCCTGTGTCTCCCCAGGGAACATGAAGGTCTTGCAGGAGCCCACCTGCGTCTCCGACTACATGAGCATCTCTACTTGCGAGTGGAAGATGAATGGTCCCACCAATTGCAGCACCGAGCTCCGCCTGTTGTACCAGCTGGTTTTTCTGCTCTCCGAGTAAGCCTGCGCTGGAGCTGGAGGTTTGGGGAGGTTGTGCCCAAAGGGTTTGCCCCAAGAGTGAGCTGGGTCCAGGTGGTGCGCTGGAGTGCAGGATGCTGAGTATGGTTTGCTGCTGTTTATATGGTGTTAGAGGGGAGGTCCCATCTCCAGGGACATGTTATGTAAGATACAGTGGAGCGCATGGTGGGAGTGTTGGTCCACGTGGCACATGGATACGGCTGGAATACTGGACTAGACCAGCAGTTCTCACACTTTTTGGTCTCAGGACCCTTTTTCACACTTAAAAATGAGTGAGGACCCAAAGGGCTTTGGTGTAGGTAACACATCATTCTATGTTTACCTAATTAGAACTTGCAATGAAGAAATGGTGTAATTTTTAAAAAATTAAAACAATTAAAAATTTTTTTTCTTACTGAAATGGAGGTCTCACTGTGTTGCCCAGGCTGCTCTCAAACTCCTGGGCTCCAGTGATCCTCCTGCCTCCGCCTCCCAAAGTGCTGGGATTACAAGCGTGAGCCGCTGTATCCGGCCCAAAATGGAGAAATTTTAAGTCCCAACAACATGCAAGCCCGCATTCAACAAATCTTCAGATCAATTACATGATCACAGGTCATGTAGCCTCTAGAAAATTCCACTGTACGCCAGTGAGAGAGAGTGAAAAGGCAAATAACGTCCCTGTATTATGATGAAAAGAGTTTTACCTGGTGGGCCCAGACCACACTTTGAGAACCACTGGACTAGACCCTTGATTGAGGAGTACGGTGTTGAGAGTGGAGTCCTCTGTGATGGTGGATGGACCAGGACACATGGCATAGGAGTCAGGTGGTTCCCTGGGCTACTCCATGGTGCACAGGATGCTTCGTTACACTGGTGCCCAGGACATAATCACGTACACAAGACACACAGTTACGGGGCAGACTGGGGATATACGGCACACCAGCATGCAGCGTTCACCAGTAAAGGTGGTATTCCATGATTATTCTAAGGTAGATGGGCTGTGCTTTGTTTCCATTGGCTTAGTCCAGGGATTGGCAAACTATGGCCCGTGAGCCAAATCCGGCCCACTGCTTGTTTTTGTAAATAAAGTTTTATTGGAACACACTGGCTGCTGTAGTTGTAACAGAAACTGCATGGCCCTCCTTTATGTTTTTTGTTTGTTTGTTTGTTTGTTTGTTTTCTTTGAGACAGAGTTTCGCTCTTGTTGCCCAGGCTGGAGTGCAGTGGCACAATCTCGGCTCACTGCAACCTCTGCCTCCCGGGTTCAAGCGATTCTCCTGTCTCAGCCTCCCGAGTAGTTGGGATTAATGGTGCCTGCCACCACACCCGGCTAATTTTTCGTATTTTTAGTAGAGACCGGTTTTCATCATGTTGGCCAAGCTGGTCTCGAACTCCTGAACTCAGGTGATCCACCCGCCTCAGCGTCCCAAAGTGCTGGGATTACAGGCATGAGCCACTGAGCCCGGCCTCCTCCTTTATCTTAATTGAAATAATTCAGAAATGGAAAGTCAAATACTGCATGTTCTCACTTATAAGTAAGAGTTAAATAATGTGTACACATGGGCATTATTCCATGTACCATGGAATAACAGACATTGAAGACTTGGGAGGGTGGGAGAGGGGTGAAGGAAGAGAAGTTACTTAATGGGCATAGTGTACACCATTTGGGTGACGGACCCACCAGAACCCCAGACTTCACCACTAGGCAGCATATCCAGTGAGAACAGATCTGAGGCTTGCCATCAAAATTGCACTTGTAAGGCCGGGCACTGTGGTGGCTCGCGGCTGTAATCCCAGCCCTTTGGGAGGCCGAGGTGGGCAGATCACTTGAGGTCAGGAGTTCGAGACCGGCCTGGCCAACATGGTGAAGCTCCATCTCTACTAAAAATACAACAATTAACTGGGTGTAGTGGCGCACACCTGTAATCCCAGCTACTAGGGAGGCTGAGGCGGGAGAATTGCTTGAGCCCAGGAGGTGGAGGTTGCAGTGAGCCGAGATCACATCACTGTACTCTAGCCTGGGTGACAGTGAGACTTTGTCTCAGGAAAAAAAAACAAAAACAAAAAACAAAAAACTCGTACCCCCTAAATTTATACAAATAACCAAAAAAAAAAAAAAAAAAGGAAATTGTGTGGCCTTTGAAGTCCAAAATATTAACTATCTGGCCTGTTACAGAAAAAGTTTGCAGACCCCTGGCCTAGCCCGTGAGATGTGGGTTGGCTGTTAAGGTGGAACATTGGAATTATCTTACGATGGCCAAACTGTGCGATGCAGAGCTTATGTTGTTCTAAATTAATTAGTGCCACCGGTTCTTCCCTTTCATGGGCTTTCAGGAACAAGCTAAGTCCCAGGACCAGGGCCGGCAGCTAGGCAGGTGTGAGGAGCATCCTTGGTGCATGTGGTAAGAGGCTGTGGCCAGCAAGAGAGGCAACCCTAGTCGGCTGCCCCAGCACACCCTGGCCGCTCCCAAGCCCCCAGATCTGTCCTCACATCCGTGATCGGGAAGCTGGAAGAGTCTGATGCGGTTCCTGGAGGCATGTCCCGGACACAGCTGTGGGGCCCAGCCAGCCTACAGGTGACCAGCCTAACCCAGCCCCTGTGTCTGCAGAGCCCACACGTGTATCCCTGAGAACAACGGAGGCGCGGGGTGCGTGTGCCACCTGCTCATGGATGACGTGGTCAGTGCGGATAACTATACACTGGACCTGTGGGCTGGGCAGCAGCTGCTGTGGAAGGGCTCCTTCAAGCCCAGCGAGCATGGTGAGCAGGGCGGAGTGCGGCAGGGGTGGCTGGGTGTGTTCCCACAGCTGCCTGGGCTGAGGGTGGGGTGGGCAGGGGAGGAGGTGGGGTCATAGCAACAGCAGGAGGAAGCCGCCTGTATTTTCCCAAATCTGATGGGATTCCTGCCCCTGCCTGGGCCTCAGTCCTCCCACCTTTGAAACGGAGCTGGTCGCAGTAGACCACCAAGCCCCCTTCAGCCCAGCTGTTTCCACCCCTGAACTTAAGTGCCCAGGAAGGCGTATTGAGATGAGGTGTGCTTGCTGGAAGGCATGCCTGCTGCTGATTGAAAACCGAACTGGGAACATTCCTTCCATTCTGTGTCCACTGGTCAGCTGCTGCGGCTTTGGATGGTCTTGACCGTGGAAGGCTGACCTTCTTCTGGTACCCGGAGTCCCTGCAGGAATCCCCCTTGAGCTTGCTGGGCTGTGGTGACAGGAGTTTAAAACATGCGTTGTATTCCAGTGATGCATGATATGACATGCATCACAGGAATAAAAACCTGAGGTCTCATGGATATGATTGCTTCAAAGGAGACCAAGTTTTAAAACAGATGAATCAAAATAAAGAAAAATACTCAGTAAATCATCATAAAGTACAGAGATGTGGCCAAAGGTGTGAAGGATGCAGCTGTAAAAGCTGAAGTTTGAGGCCGGGTGTGGTGGTTCATGCCTATAATCCCAGCACTTTGGGAGGCCGAGCCCAGCGGATCACCGGAGGTCAGGAGTTCGAGACCAGCCTGGACAACATGGTAAAACCCCGTCTCTACTAAAAATACAAAAAATTAGTCTGGCATGGTGGCAGGCGCCTGTAATCCCAGCTACTTGGGAGGCTGAGGTAGGAGAATGGCTTGAACCCAGGAGAAGGAGGTTGCAGTGAGCTTAGATCATGCTACTGCCCTCCAGCCTGGGCGACAGAGTGAGATTACGTCTCAAAAAAATAAAAATAAATAAAAATAAAAAGATTTTTTAAAAGGCTGAAGTTTGGGTTACTTTGGCTCATACACTTTGCCTTCACTGTAGAAAGGTGGTTAGTAAAGACCAGGCGCGGTGGCTCATGCCTGGAATCCCAGCACTTTGGGAGCCCAGCGCAGGCAGATCACTTGAGCCCTGGGCTATTGAGGCTGCAGTGAGCTGGGATTGTGCCACTGCACTCCAGCCTGGGCAACAGAGTGGGACCCTGTCTCAAAAAAGAAGAAAAAAAGGGTAATTAATAAACACTAAAGTTCTATGTAGAATTTTAGCAACATTATTGTTATTATAATCTTCTTTGCTATGGCTCTGAATCTGTGTGGTGCTCCAGAAGTATGCTATGGAGGTTTTGTCGACCAAAAATCTGGGTGGTGGCTGTGGTTTGTAGGCCGGGGCTGGGCTGGGTGATGGGGGAGTCACTGCATAGATCCTCACATAGAGGCCGCTTCTCCCGCAGTGAAACCCAGGGCCCCAGGAAACCTGACAGTTCACACCAATGTCTCCGACACTCTGCTGCTGACCTGGAGCAACCCGTATCCCCCTGACAATTACCTGTATAATCATCTCACCTATGCAGTCAACATTTGGAGTGAAAACGACCCGGCAGATGTGAGTGGGCATGCTTTGACGTTTTTCTGTGACCTCTGGGGAACAGGGTGGGTGACCAGCAGAGGCCCAGTCCCTGGAGCCAGGAGCCTGGGAGGCAAGCCCTGGGGCTGGATAGCAAATCCCAGGAGCTAGAGACCTGGCTTCTCACCTGGCTCTGCACTAGGCAAGTCCCTTTGCTTCCTGGCCCCCCACCCCTCACATCAGAGAAGGGGAGTTATCTCTGCATGCCGCTCCTCCTCTGTAAAGGTAGGGCTGTGGGCCACATCTGTGTTTCCCAGTTTGGGGGACACAAGTGATCGTAGGTGGCACATTGACAGCTCACTTGAATAACCCTATTATTGAAGAGAATAATACTGACTCAAGAGACAGTGACCCGTGTCAGTTCCCTTTTGAGGCCAACGGGTTAAGGAGGAAGTCCCCATACAGCTGACTCGTTTACTAATTCCTCTTAATGAAGAGAGCAGAGGCCACACCCCAGGCTTAGACTTTCCCAAGAAAACAAGATCAGTTTGTTGGTTGTTCCCCATGGAAGCTGGTCCTGACATTCCCTTCACAGTAGTGTTGGTGGAGTTTTTGTTGTTGTTTGTTTTGAGACAGAGTCTCACTCTGTCACCCAGGGTGGAACACAGTGGCGTGATCTTGGCTCACTGCAACCTCCGCCTCCTGGGTTCTAGCGATTCTCCTGCCTCAGCCTCCTGAGCAGCCGGGACTACAGGCACCTGCCACCGTGCCCAGCTAATTTTTGTATATTTAGTAGAGATGGGGTTTCACTGCGTTGGCCAGGCTGGTCTCAAACTCCTGACCTCAGATGATCCACTCGCCTTGGCCTCCCAAAGTGCTGGGATTACAGGTGTGAGCCACCGCACCTGGCCAGTGGAGTTCCTTCTTAAGTACATGTATTGACATCTTTAAAAAGGGCGAGAGGATTTACAGGAAACTATCAGGTCAGTAATGGCAGGGGCCGTCCACAGTGGGTGGCTGAGTCCCCCTATTTTTCTGCTGGTGTGCAGGGAGGTCATTTCCTGCCACCCATGTTTCCCCACCCTGAATCCACCTTCCTCACATTCCCATTGGAGGGACAATCTCTGGACATATGGGACCTGGGGTCCCACAGGGCTGCAATCCAATGCCTGCTGTGCCACTCGCCAGCTGTGTGATGTTGGGCATATCCCATAACCTCTTTGTGCCTCAGTTTCCTCATCTGTAACACAGGAGTGACAAGAGCACCCGCCCACAGGGCTATGACAGTACAAGGTGTGTGATACAGATGAGCTCCCCTGTTTGGCCCACATGTGTCCTAAAAGCCATGTGCCCTTTCTCTTGAGTGCCCCAGGCCACAGAGATCCCCATCTGCCCGCTGTCCCACACACTGGTCTGTCATTTGTTCCTTGAGGTTTGTGAGGGCCGGCTCTGTGCATCCCAGGGGCCCAGGCTGGGCCTGGTTGGCTCTCAGGGAGCAGGCACCCGCCACCTTAAGCTCCCATGCTGGTGTCTGTCACTGCTTCCTCTCAATCTGGCCAAGCCAGGGGTGTCGATTTATATCTCTCAGGTCTGGTTTCCCCTTTGGCACTGGGCCAGGTATGGGGAAAGAGCAGGAATGGGGCAGTTGGCTCACACAGCAGAGGCTCAGAAAGCGGGGGGCATGGGGGGAAGGAGTGCACAGATGCTAGAGAGTGGGGCAAGTTTTGTTTGGTCAATAAATCTCCTTCTCATGCCCCAGGCCTGTGCAAGACCTACAGAGAGTCCCAAGGATGGGCTGGGGGGAAGAGAAAGGTACCACCTTCAGAGTCCAAAGATATGTTATTTAATATTTTCATATTTCTAGATCTGCCTTCAGGCATGGCTGGATCCAGCTTCTAGGAACCTGTCCAGCTCTGCGCCCTGCTTTATTCTGTACTGGCTTCGTTTTTAGGCAGGCTCTTCCCTCATGTAGTGGCAGATATGCCTACTAGTTGCTCCAGGCCTACATCCCAAAGCCACAGTGGGAAAAGGGTTTTTTTTCTTGACGGTTCTAATAAGAGTCCTAAGGCTGCTGCTCAGTGGCCTGGCTTCGATGCTGTGCCAGCCTCTGAACCAATCACTGGCTGTGGGTGGAGAGAGGGTGCTGGTGGAGGGCCCTGCTTGTCCAGGGAGGAGTCACATACCTGCCTCTAGGGCTGCAGGTGGGCTCAGCTCCATCCAAACCAGATGAACTGAAAATAAGGCAGGAGTGGCTTCCCCAGGGGAAACTGGGGAAGAGGAAGCAGGACTGTGCTGGCTAAAATGCCAGCCAGGTTTAAGACGTGGCACCAGATGCCAGTCATGGGATTGGATTGGTCAGCATGCCTGGGCTATGGCTTAGGGGTATGTTGGTGCTCAGGGATGCCACAGGCCTCCAGATACCAGGTCTGAGGCAGAAGAATGAAGTCCAGCTTCTCTTGTGGGTGGAACAGTGGCAACTGAGATACCCCATCTCTCCCTTCCCAAGAACAGAGCTGAACATAAAGAATTTAGTGATTGGCCAGAGCTTGGCCACATGCTCCCCTCTGATGAATGATAGGCCAGGTGATGGGATTGGCACAATTGGCTTAGACTAATGAGGGTTGGCCCTGGAGTTGCAGGCAGTGGAGTTCTGTCCTAAGCAGTGGGCACCTAAACCCGATGGCATAAAAGCTGGGCGGGTGTCCACCTGCATCTGCCACAGCACTATAGGCACCAACTGTGGCTCATACTGAGTGGGATAAATTCCAGAAAGAAACATTAGGAACTTACTATAGAATTTTGGGGCTAGAGCTACTCATTCATTCCCCTAGATAATTTCTAGGCAAGGTTCCATAGTGGAGGGGGAGTTTTGGCTTGGGCATTGAAGGATGCATAGGAGTTTTCTAGATGGGGAAAGAAGGGAACGGTAGACCAGGCAGAGGGAACTGCATGATAAAAGGTTTATGGGTGTGAAAATTCATGGAATGTTTGAGGATTATGGGGTTGGGGGATGTGGGAATATGTGTAGCGATAAAGCACCAAACAAAGCCAAAAGTTTAGTTAGAGCCCTGAATGCCTGCCTCATAATGGTTTCCATATTTTATATGCCTACTATGTGCCAGGCACATTGCTCAGGGTCACACAGCTGGAAATGGCAGGGCTGAGTTTTTGTTGTTGTTGTTGTTGTTGAGACAGAGTCTCACTCTATCACCCAGGCTGGAATGCAGGGGCGTGATCATGGCTCACTGCATCCTTGACTTCCTGGGATCAGGTGATTCTCCCACCTCTGCCTCCCAGGTAGCTGGGACTACAGGCACAGGCCACCACGCCAGGCTAATTTTTTGTATTTTTAGTAGCGACAGGGTCTCGCCATGTTGTCCGGGCTGGTCTGGATCTCCTGGCTTCAAGTGATCCCCCTGGCTCAGCCTCCCAAGGTGCTGGGATTACAGGCTTGAGCCACCGCATCCAGCCCAGATCTGAGATTTGCACCCAGTATTTGAACTCCCAAGCCTGTGCTCTTTTTCCTCCCATGGACATTTCTCTCAGAGATGGTCTCCCAAACACCTGTCCTTCTTGTTAAAAAACAGACAAACCGCAAGTAGTTCTTTGGAAGCTCAGATTTCTCTTTTGTTTCTTAGTAAAACATTTCCCAGTTCCCAGCTCCCTTCCAGGGTGTAAGATTTCTTCGGTAACTTACATCTAGCTGTTGCTTCTTGTTTGCTCATGTTTAGAAAGAAAGACAAAAGAGAGTGAGAATTTTCTCTCCCTTCCCCAGTCTCCCCACAACTCACACCCCACCCTCAGCTCCCTCTGTAATAGGAAAATCTCTGAACTCTCTGTAGTTGCTCCAGCAATCTTTTGGAACTTTGCTTCTTTCTTGTGAAAAAACCTCCCCTTGGCTCACTTTGCACCAGGTTTCCCCAAATGTGCTTCCAACCACAAGCAGAAATGGAGCTGCCAGTAACCAGGAAGAAACTGCCGGGGGCTGAGGAAGAGGAGAGGGAGGTGCATAGCCCTGGATCTCGCAGGGAGAGGGGTGACAGGATGAGAACTCAGGTTGCTCACTTGCCATCAGGGTCAGTCATGAATATAGCGTTCATGTATCACTTTTTAAAGCTTTTTTGGAGGGTAAAAGTAATAGTTACACAAAATAAAAATACAAATGGTACAAAAGGACTTAGAATGGAAACATGTTTCTCTCCCGACTCCAGCCTCCTGTTTTTCTTCCCAGAGACTGACCACTGCTGTCTGTCTCTTGCCAGAAGGGAAAGGGAGGCAAGGTTAGGGCAGGCAGAGGGCATGT
The DNA here is from genome assembly GCF_000001405.40 of Homo sapiens. Taxonomy (NCBI): domain Eukaryota; kingdom Metazoa; phylum Chordata; class Mammalia; order Primates; family Hominidae; genus Homo; species Homo sapiens. The sequence continues at coordinate 27,350,883 of NC_000016.10, forward strand.
GCATCCTTTAGAGAGAGCTTATGTCTATACAAGCAAATGTGTGTGTTCAGTCATCGCTGTCTTAGTTTTCTATTGCTGCATAATAATGGTACTACCAGCTTCACAGCTTTAAACAACACCCATTTATTATCTCATAGTTTCTGTGGTTGGGAGTCTGGACATAGCTTAGCCAGGTTCTCTGCTTTAGAGTCTCGTGAGGCTATAATCAAGGTGTGGGATGGGGCTGCAGTTTCATCTGAGGCTCAATTGGGGAAGGGTCACTTCTAAGCTCATACAATATTGGTGACATTCAGTCCCTGGCAGGCTGTTGAACTGAGAGCCTCAGTTTCGTGCTGGCTGTTGGTTGTAGTTAACCCTGAATTCCTTCCCATGTGCCCTTTGCAAAGCCATCAAGGCAGAGAGACTTGCCTAGCAAGTAGGATATTACAGTCTTCTGTAATATAATCACATCCATGAAATCCTCTATATATCCCATCACCTTTACCATATTCTGTGGGTTAGAAACAAGTAGCAGGTCCTGCCCACACTCGAGAAGACCAGATGACACAAAGATGTGATTCAAAGTGGGGATCATCGGGGCCATCTTAGGTTTGTCTGCAGTGATCACTGTGCCATCTCTCTCTCTCTCTTTTTTTTTTTTTTTTTTTCCGAGACGAAGTCGTCACTCTGTCACCCAGGCTGGAGTGCAGTGGCATGATCTCAGCTTACCACAATCTCTGCCTCCCAGGTTCAAATGATTCTTCTGCCTCAGCCTCCTGAGTAGCTGGGATTACAGGTGCCCGCCACCACACCCAGCTAATTTTTGTATTTTTAGTAGAGACAGAGTTTCACCATGTTGGCCAGGCTGGTCTTGAACTCCTCACCTCAAGTGATCCACCCACTTCGGCCTCCCAAAGTGCTGGGATTACAGGCATGAGCCACCATGCCCAGCCCCATCTCTCTTTAAAAAACAAACAAACAAACAAAAAACATAAAAAGAAGCAGAGAACACATACACATCTGCATCTTCCCTTGTTTACTTAACAATAGATCTTGGAAGTCACTTCTCAGTAGAGGCTAGGTTGGGCAGAGCATTGGATTCTAGGCCAGTGAGTTTGGACTTGACCATGGAGACACTAGGAAGCCCATGAAGGACAGAGAGAGATGCCTCGACCCTGCCAGTCCTTTAGAAAGATCACCCAGTGCTTTTTGTATACCAAACCCTATTTGAAATACTTACGTATATTAACCCATTTCCTTATCACCACAACCCTGCGGGAAGGGAGATAGGCACTTTTATTATCTTCATTTTGCAGATGAGGACATTGAGGTCCAGAGAGGTTATGTCACTTACTTAAGGTCACACAGCCAGGAAGTGGTAGTAGGGACTCTTACCCTTGTTTTACAGATGAGATTGAATTATCTCACGAAAACTCAGAAAGGTTAAACAACTTGCCTAAGTAACATACAGCTAATTAGTCGAGGAGCCTGACGCATGTTGCTGTAGCCTGGTCACAGTTACAGAGGTGGCAAGCAATGGCCTGAACAGGACGAACAACCAAATACCCAGGCTGGTGGCTCTTAAACATGGTGGGGTCAGCTAACGACAGCAACCAGGGTGGGCACTGGTGCCCCTCGCCCCCGGCTGGTGCCCTAACATCTCCCTTTTCTCTACCAGTTCAGAATCTATAACGTGACCTACCTAGAACCCTCCCTCCGCATCGCAGCCAGCACCCTGAAGTCTGGGATTTCCTACAGGGCACGGGTGAGGGCCTGGGCTCAGTGCTATAACACCACCTGGAGTGAGTGGAGCCCCAGCACCAAGTGGCACAACTGTGAGTATCAAGAGGCCTAAGCAATGGTAATCTCCACTCTCCATTCTTCCCCTGTGGCCAGACACTTCCCCTGGCTGAGTCTCTGGGCTTTTATATCATAGGATGCCTCTAATGGCAATCCTGCCATTAGATACACCTGCCGTGGTGTATCTGCCAGGTAGGCAGGCTAGGCTGCAGTAACAAACAAGCCCACAATTTCCATGGCTTAACACTATGGGAATATATTTCTTGCTCACGTAACAAGCTAACGTGAATGTTGCTGGTTTGTAGGTGGTTTCCCTCCCTGTAGAAATCTGGGGAGTGAGGTTCTTTCCATCTTGTGGTGCCGTCATTCTCCAGGACAAAGATTCTTACCTACTTTTGTGTCCTGGTTTCCTTTGGCAGCCTGGTGAAGCCTATGGACCTCATTTCAGAATATTTTTAAATACATAAAATCCCAGCCTGGGCAATATAGTGAAACCCCCATCTGTACAAAAATTAGCCAGGCATGGTGGCATGCACCTGTAGTCCCAGGTACTGGGAAGGCTGAGGTGGGAGGATCACTTGAGCCCAGGAGTTTGAGGCTGCAGTGAGCCGTGATCGTACCACTTTACTCCCACCTGGGTGACAGAGCAAGAGCCCATCTCTAAAAATAAATAAATACAATGAAATAAAATAAAATAAATAGAACTACAGAGGAAACTAATTGTATTGAAATGCAGTTATAAAACATTTAAACACATTTTTAATCTAGAGATATATGTGCTTCTTTATTAAGATCTATAAATAATAAGTTCTAGGGGTAGCTCGCATAAATACTGTAATTTCAAAGTAGATAAGCATAAATAATACTTTATGATACTGAAATTGTGATGTGATATGAGAATAGCTGTGAGTTTTGTTTTGCTGGGGACAGGATCAGTGATGCTGTCATTACTGGGGTCTCTTCCCTCCATTCTTTTTTTAAAATTGTATTTTATTTTATTTTTAAAATTTTAAAATAAATAGAGACAGGGTATCACTATGTTGCCCAGGCTGCTTTTGACCTCCTGGGCTCCAGTGATCTTCCCATCTTGGCTTCCCAAAGTGCTGGGATTACAAGTGGGAGCCAGTGTTCCTGGCCCCTTCCTCCATTCTTAATGGAAGGAGATGCTAGGTGTGAGAGGTTAGGGAAAGTAAAGATGTAATTTCTTTCCCATCCAAGTTCTCAGACCCCTGAATTCTACCTGCAGCCATGTTGGTCCATCAACCCCAAGTGAAGAATCCCTGCTCTAGGGCCCCACCATTGTCTGTATCCAGCCAGCAGAAGAGGCGTGATTATGGAGATCACATCTGCTTCTTGAAAGCAGACAGCCCGGAAGTGGGCCGCATCACTTCCTCTCAAATTCTATTGGTGAAAATGGTCACATGACTACACATAGCCACAAAGGAGGCTGGGAACTTTCTCACTTGGAACCTACATCCCAGAAACAACTCTTTTCAGTGAGGTATCCCACAGGTCTTTCGCAGTAGAAATATTGATTATCTCACATAAAATGAAGTCTTACAAATGGACCTACTGGGTTTTGTACAGCAGCCAAGTGATATCTCTTCCCTTCTGCTGTCTTCCCTTCTGCCATCCTTCACATGGTGGCATTGTATCCTTAGACTTGCCACCCATGCCCTCAGGTTGGCCGTTGCACACTGTCTTACATAAAGCAGGAAGGAAAGGAAAGGCTGCTACGAGAGAGTGTACCTTGTGCATCTCTTTTTTAATCAGGAAGCAAACATCTTTCTAGAAGCTTCCCTAGCAAAATTCCCCTTACATCTCATTGGCCAAGACTGTTACATGTTACATGGTTACTGTTATTACTTGCTCATTGCAAGGAAGACTGGGAACTCAAATGCCTGGAAAAAGGAACAGGATAATCGTGATTGGCTCAAGCCTTAGGGTGGGCATGGCTCCCTGACAAGGGAGAGAGGAAAAAGCTGTTGAGTGAAGAAGACTGCTTCAGTTTCCCCATCTGTATAATGGGAGGAGTAAGGGCTGTCGTAAAAACTCAATGAAAGAAGATTCTTCAACGTGGTAGGTGCAGTGGCAGCTGGCAGTACCCTGACCCTGCCACCGCACAGCCCTCTCAGCATTGCTCATCCTGCACTGTGGATATCAGTTGAGCCACGTGTCTCCTGCCCTGGGCTGTGAGCTCCATAGGCAGGGTCTCCATGGCTGTATCTCCAGAACCCAGCACAGAACCAGGTGCTTGGGAAAGTTTTGAATTGATTCTCATCTGCCATTGGCATGGGGAAGGGAACTAGCTTGTATGAAACAGATAACAATGTATGGGACCCTCATTCATTATTTCAGCAAATATTTGCTGAGTTCCTCCTACATGGCTAGCCCTGTGCTAGACACTGGGGAATCGGCGATGAACAAAGCAGATAGAAATCCCCACTCTTGTGGAGCTGACATTCTGGAGGGAGAGACAAAAAGCAAACATATAAAGAAAGAAAGAAATCACATGGATCTGGATGACAGTGAGTGCTGGGAAGAAAATAAAAGCAGAGGAAGGGGATGGAGCGATGGGCAGGGGGCAACGGTAGGGAGGGTGTCGGGGAAAACTTTTTGGAGAATGTGACGATGAAAGTGAACAAGGAGAAGTCAACCGTGTTGAGATGATGGCAGCTAATGATGTGGACAGGCCACTCTGTTCTGAGTGCATTATCTATTGATTCATCATGTCATCCTCGCAACAGCCCTGCACGATCAATTCTGTCATTAACCCCATAGTACAGATGAGGATGCGGAGGCACAGAGAAGATAAGGGACTTGTCCTGTGTCACACAGCAAGGAGCCATCCGGCTCCTAAGTTGGTGCATTTGACTTCTGTGCTTCCGGAAAGAAAGAGCAGCAAGTTTAAGATCTGGAGGTGGCACTGAGCTTTGGAGGAGCAGGGGGCAATGAGGTGGCCGGTGTGACGAGGACTCAATGTGCAAGAGGGAGAGTGGTGGGGAGATGAGGTGGAGGGGTGGTCGGCGGTCAGATCGTGGAGGGTCTCGGACGAGGGTCCTGACCCTGGGTCTCCAGTCCTGGGAAGTGGAGCCCAGGCTGTACCATGGCTGACCTCAGCTCATGGCTTCCCCTCCCACTTCCAGCCTACAGGGAGCCCTTCGAGCAGCACCTCCTGCTGGGCGTCAGCGTTTCCTGCATTGTCATCCTGGCCGTCTGCCTGTTGTGCTATGTCAGCATCACCAAGTGAGTCCTGGGCCCAGTGCTGCCGAGCAGTCCCTCTGGAGTGCAGGGTGGCAGGGACTTGCCCCTCTAGTCTGCCCCTTTGCAGTCCTCTCAGTCAATAATACGCATTTACTGAGCAGCTACTACACACCTTGAGAGTAGAGCTGAGAACATATCGACAAGGACCCCACTTTTTTCTTTTTTTTTTTTTTTTTTTTTTTTTGAGACGGAGTCTCACTCTGTCACCCAGGCTGGAGTATAGTGGCACAATCTTGCCTAACAGTAACCTCCGCCTCCCGGGTTCAAGCAATTCTTCTGCCTCAGCCTCCAGAGTAGCTGGGATTACAGGCGCATGCCACTATGCCCGGCTAATTTTTTGTATTTTTGGTAGAGATGGGGTTTCACCATGTTGGTCAGGCTGGTCTCGAACTCCTGACCTCATGATCTGCCTGCCTCAGCCTCCCAAAGTGCTGGGATTACAGGTGTGAGCCACTGCACCCAACCAGGACTCCACATTTCTAAAACCGGCATCCTACTGGGGAGACTGAAAATACATATCAATCACAAACAGGTGGTTTTCCATAGTGACCCACTCTCTGAATGCACTAGACCAGGGTGCAGGCCAGAGATCTTCTGGGGTGCTTTTTGCAAGGGGGACCAGGATAAGGCTCTCCAAGGAGGGAAAATTTGAGGGGGGCCCTGACTGGGGAGAATGAGCTGGCCAGGGATAAGCAAGATGGAGTCATCCCACATCCCCTTACAACGCTGGGTGCCTGGGCAACTGGGGGCATCTGGGGGCATGTGGTAGGAGCCAGAGGAATTTGCGACGATTGCCCTGATGGAGTCAGGAGACCTGGGTTTGAATCCTGGCCTTGGAGCTTGGTAGCTGGCGGCCGACAAGTTGCTGAAACCCCTGAGCCTGGGGTTCCTGCTTTGCAGAGTGACAGTGATGGTGAGAACATATTTCATCAGCCAGAAGAGGCCAAATCACAGTAAAGGCTGAGGGAGGAGATGAGTGGCGAGTGGCTGGGAGGTGGTGGAAGGAGCCTCGTTTCCAGAGAGCTCTTGCCAGCCCTTGGAATCATGGTGTCTCAGAGCCTCAGTCCTCCCATCTCTGAAATGGGACTAGCAAGCTCAACCTCACTAAGTCAGGATTAGAGGTGGCTAAGGATTATTAACATGATTGATGAAAGTGCCCACTCTTGGCCCAGCACACACTAGGTAGGCAGGGAATGCAAATTCCCCTCCATATCTTGTCACTGATGCCTCCGAGCAACCTTGGACTGATCGCCTTGCTCTGAGCCTCAGTTTCCCCATCACCTGTACCTCTTCCCACTCCCCATCACTATATCCCAGCATGCCAGCCTCTTTGCTGTTCTTTGTCTTTGGTTTCTTGTTTTGTTCTGTTTTTTAGACAGGGTCTCACTCTGTTAGCCAGGCTGAAGTGCAGTGGCGCGGTTACGGCTCACTGCAGCCTCCAATTCCTGGGCTAAAGAGATCCTCCCATTTCAACTTCCAGAGCAGCTGGGACAACAGGCGCTTGCCACCACACCTGGCTAATTTTCTTATTTTAATTTAATTTAATTTTATTTTTTGGGACAGAGTGGAGTCTCAAAAACCAAGCTGGAGTGCAGTGGTGCGATCTCGACTCACTGCAATCTCTGCCTCCCGGGTTCAAGCGATTCTCCTGCCTTAGCCTCCCGACTAGCTGGGATTACAGGCGTGTGCCACGACACCCAGCTAATTTTTGTATTTTTAGTAGAGATGGGGTTTCACCATGTTGGCCAGGATGGTCTTGAACTCCTGACCTCAAGTGATCCACCCACCTCGTTCTCCCAAGGTGCTGGGTACAGGCATGAGCCACTGTGCCTGGCCAATTTTCTTACATTTTGTAGAGACTGGCTGTCACTTATGTAGCCCAGGCTGATCTTGAACTTCTACCCCTTTATCTTTATTCATGGCACTTATTACCATGAATGAATGACCTCATATAAGCATTTCTTTCGTTTTTTTTTTTTTTTCTTTGAGATGGAGTCTCATGTTGTCCCCCAGGCTGGAGTGCAGTGGCGCGATCTCAGCTCACTGCAACCTCCGCCTTCCGGGTTCAAGCGATTCTCCTGCCTCAGCCTCCTGAGTAGCTGGGATTGCAGGCGCCTGCCACCATGCCTGGCTAAGTTTTGCATTTTTAGTAGAGACGGTGTTTCACCATATTGGCCAGGCTGGTCTCGAACTTCTGACCTCAGGTGATACACCTGCCTTGGCCTCCCAAAGTGCTGGGATTACAGGCGTGAGCCACCATGCCTGGCCTCATATAAGCATTTCTGTCTCCATTTATCATCCATCTTTCCCTCTTGAAGGTCAGTTTCACCAAGGCAGGCATCTTTGTCTCGTTCACTGTTGTGGCCTCAGGGCCAGGCACAGTGAGTCAAACATAGAAGGTGCTCAATAAATATGTGTTTATTTATTGAAACCATGGGCAGAGGCTAATTCAGAAGCGGTCTGAGGACCTTACCTCCCAGTGATGATGCACCATGGCCCCAGGCAGGCCAGGAAGAGAGAAGGGTTGTGTTTCTCCGTAGGTCCCCCAGCTTCCCAGGCCATCCCAGGCCATTCCCTGGTCATTTGCCCTCAGCTGCTCTGAAAAAGGGATTGTTGAGGGGAACCTAGAATCCTCTCTCTGCAGTTTGAGTCTTTCCTAATCCCCTGGGGTCTCATTCCCACTGAGGACATAGGTGGCCTCCTCAGGAACTCTGTGCTGGGTAACAGAATGCGGGAGTGTGAACCTGGCTCTGCCACCTACCAGCTGTCACTCCACCTCCTTGGGCCTCACTCTCCTCATCTGTAGAATAGGGTTAGCAATAGAATCCATGTCACCAGGTTAGAATGATGAGTCAGTGGTTTGACCTCCAGAAACTAATCAGCCTGATCTCTGATGCCAAATAAGTATTGGTGATAACGACCACTTTTATGGGAGGAGCGTTCACCTGTCAATAATTCAGAGATCAACACCTTTTCCTTTTGTTTTTCAGGATTAAGAAAGAATGGTGGGATCAGATTCCCAACCCAGCCCGCAGCCGCCTCGTGGCTATAATAATCCAGGATGCTCAGGTAGGAGTAGGCGTGGATGAGGACATGTGGGACTGTGTACATGAAGAAGTGTGGTTCAGAACACCTGGGCTGTTAAGGACCTTCACTGGCTTCTGGAATGGCAAATAGACAGTCAGGAGGGTTGCAGGGGAGACAGAGACAGAAGCCGAATGAGGTCATTAGCAGACCAGAGGCTTTCCCGCCCTTCCCCTTGGCAATCCCAGCCTGGGGTGGGCTTCTCTGGGGTTGGTTTCCTGTTTTTTTCCCTCCCCTTGGGAGAATGACCCTTGGGTCATCATCACTGTGTCATTCCCTGGGGAGGTGCCAGTACCAGGGCTAGAGGCCAGAAGGAGTGGAGGAAGGAGAGGGTGACAGGCTTTCTGTGTCTTCTTCTTAAGCATAGGAAACTGCCCCCGAAGCACTAGCAAATCCCTTCCGGGTTCTCATTGGCCTGAAATGTATCCCACCCCTAAGCCAGGGGTGGAGTCAGCTTCCCCAAGGCGATGGTCCTGTGGGTGAGTGGGTGGGGTTTGCCTGAGCAAGATGAGAGTTCTCTAGGTAGGAGAAAGGGGGATTATAGGTCCTGTCTAGAAGAGAAGGTCTGAGGGTCCTTGCTTTTCCAGGGACTCTGGAATCTAGTGGTGTTGGCTTTGAATCCTGACTCTGCCACTCACTGGCAGTGTGGACTTGAGCAAGTTGCTTAATTCTCTGAGCCTCAGTTTCCTCTTGTGGGTTATAACAGTGTTTACCTGGTAGGACAGATATTGGAATTTATTGAGACAATACATATAAAGTGCATATTCCAGCCTCTTGCAAATACCAAGTGCCATTTATGTATCAGTTAGTGTTTGCTGTGTAACAAACGACCCCGAAATGTAGAGGGTTACAACAACTTTATTTAGCTTATGCTTCTGCAGGCTGGCATTTGGGGCTGGGCTCAGCAGTGAGGGTGGCGGGGGAGGCTGGGCTGGGCTGGGCTGGGCAGATCTGAATTGAGCTGACCCGTCCCCGTAGCCTCCCTCCGTGTCTGACAGTTGGCTTTTTTTTTTTTTTTCTTTTTCTGAGACGGAGTTTTGCTCTTATTGCCCAGGAGTGCAATGGCGTGATCTTGGCTCACTGCAACCTCTGCTTCCTGGGTTCAAGCAATTTTCTTGCCTCAGCCTCCCAAGTAGCTGGGATTACAGGCATGTGCCACCACGCCAGGCTAATTTTGTATTTTTAATAGAGATGGGGTTTCTTCATGTCGGTCAGGCTGGTCTGGAACTCCTAATATCAGGTGATCCACCCACTTCAGCCTCCCAAAGTGCTGGGATTACAGGCGTGAGCCACTGCACCCAGCCTAGTTGGCTGACTTTTACCTGGGACAGTGCAGGTGCCTGAGCCATGTGCCTCTCACTCTCCAGCAGGCCGGCCCAGGCTTGTTTACAGAGTGGCTCAGTTTTCAAGGGTGGGAAGTCCCAAGGCTTCTTGAGGCCTAGGCGCAGCACTGGCATGATATCACTTCCATCACATTCTATGGGCCCAAGCAAGTCCCAGGGCCAGTGTAGATTCAAGGGATGGGAGGAGATTCAGAGCACTCCTCTGTGGCCACTTTTGCCATCGACCACAGTCCCTGTAAATATTAGGACAATGTAATTAATTCCCAGGAATCTGAAGCTCAGAAAGCGTAAGTGACCTGTTGGACTTCTGATCTGTGTGATGTCGAGGCTTGTACCCCTTCCTGAGCATTGCCGTACTCCAGGCCGGGCTGCAAGGCCACTCTGCTCTTTCATTGGCTGTCTCTGTATTTTAGGGGTCACAGTGGGAGAAGCGGTCCCGAGGCCAGGAACCAGCCAAGTGCCCGTATGTATCTGAACTTAGGTCACAGCCTGCATGCATTGGGAAGGTGATAGAATTGGAGAGGCAAGCCCCTAGCTCCATGTCTGCCTTCTCTTCCCTGCATTCGGTAATTGCCCTGTGACATTAGCCTTCAAGGGACGGCAGGAGGAGGGGTGTTCTGGAAACGTGGACTGCTGGCCAAGCCCCCTGAGTTTCACTGGTGTGTCAGGTACATGGTGATACCCCTTGGGAGTGCTGTTATAGTTAACAACCAGAGCAGCCGTGCCTGTTGTTAAAATCTTGACCTAATTGTATACTTGTCGGCAAATAGCCACTATCCTGAACACTCCCCTCCTTTTTTTTAATATACAGGATCTCACTCTGTGGCCCAGGCTGGTGTGCAGTGGTGCGATCATAGCTCACTGCACCTTCAAACTCCTGAGCTCAAGTGATCCTCCCATCTTAGCCTCCCGAGTAGCTGATACTACAGATGTGCATTACCACGCCTGGCTATTTTAAAAGGTTTTTGCCTGTAATTCCAGCTACTCAGGAGGCTGAGGCATGAGAATCACTTGAACCCGGGAGGCAGAGGTTGCAGTGAGCGCAGATTGTGCCACTGCACTCCAGCCTGGGCGACAGAGTGAGACTCTTGTCTCAAAAAAAATAATACCAAAAAAAGTTTTTGTAAAGACAAGCTCTCGCTGTGTTGCCCCGCCACTGTGGCCTCCTTAGCTTCTTCCCTGGGGCCTGCTGGACCTTTCCATACTCCAGAAACTAAAGGGGGTCCAGGACCCTGCTTCAACCCTAGGATCCCGCATCTTTTTTTTTTTTTTTTTTTTTTGGACGCAGGGTCTTGCTGTGTCCCTCAGGCTGGAGTGCAGTGATTCACTGCAGCCTCAAACTCGTGGGCTCAAGTGATTCTCTAGCCTCAGCCTTCTAAGTAGCTGGGACTACAGTCATACACCAACATGCCCAGCTAATTTTCCTTTTTTTTAATTCTTGTAGAGATGTTTGAGACGGCTTGGGCTCTGTTGCCCAGGCTGTTCTCAAACTCCTGAGCTCAAGCGATCCTCCCTCCTCAGCCTCCTAAAGTGCTGGGATTACAGGCGTGAGCCACCGCACCCGGCTTCCATATCCTTTCTAATTGGTCATGGCTTGGGATAATGGTGTTGCTTTTAATTATCATCATCCATAAAGACTTTTTCTTACTCAACAGATCTGAGCTTGTATTTGGTGCCCAGGACATGTGCTGGGTTCCCGAAATCCCAAAGACACAGACCCTACCCTCAGGGATTTCTCATTCTAGCAACATAGACTGATCAATTACTGATTATAACGTTAGAAGGCATGTCTGAAGTAGACAGCCATCAGGACATGGTGATTTCAGGCTGGGCTTTGAAGAATGAATAGGAGTTTTTCAAGTGTCGAAACTGAACCCTGACCAACCTTTGCTTTTGCAGACACTGGAAGAATTGTCTTACCAAGCTCTTGCCCTGTTTTCTGGAGCACAACATGAAAAGGGATGAAGATCCTCACAAGGCTGCCAAAGAGATGCCTTTCCAGGGCTCTGGAAAATCAGCATGGTGCCCAGTGGAGATCAGCAAGACAGTCCTCTGGCCAGAGAGCATCAGCGTGGTGCGATGTGTGGAGTTGTTTGAGGCCCCGGTGGAGTGTGAGGAGGAGGAGGAGGTAGAGGAAGAAAAAGGGAGCTTCTGTGCATCGCCTGAGAGCAGCAGGGATGACTTCCAGGAGGGAAGGGAGGGCATTGTGGCCCGGCTAACAGAGAGCCTGTTCCTGGACCTGCTCGGAGAGGAGAATGGGGGCTTTTGCCAGCAGGACATGGGGGAGTCATGCCTTCTTCCACCTTCGGGAAGTACGAGTGCTCACATGCCCTGGGATGAGTTCCCAAGTGCAGGGCCCAAGGAGGCACCTCCCTGGGGCAAGGAGCAGCCTCTCCACCTGGAGCCAAGTCCTCCTGCCAGCCCGACCCAGAGTCCAGACAACCTGACTTGCACAGAGACGCCCCTCGTCATCGCAGGCAACCCTGCTTACCGCAGCTTCAGCAACTCCCTGAGCCAGTCACCGTGTCCCAGAGAGCTGGGTCCAGACCCACTGCTGGCCAGACACCTGGAGGAAGTAGAACCCGAGATGCCCTGTGTCCCCCAGCTCTCTGAGCCAACCACTGTGCCCCAACCTGAGCCAGAAACCTGGGAGCAGATCCTCCGCCGAAATGTCCTCCAGCATGGGGCAGCTGCAGCCCCCGTCTCGGCCCCCACCAGTGGCTATCAGGAGTTTGTACATGCGGTGGAGCAGGGTGGCACCCAGGCCAGTGCGGTGGTGGGCTTGGGTCCCCCAGGAGAGGCTGGTTACAAGGCCTTCTCAAGCCTGCTTGCCAGCAGTGCTGTGTCCCCAGAGAAATGTGGGTTTGGGGCTAGCAGTGGGGAAGAGGGGTATAAGCCTTTCCAAGACCTCATTCCTGGCTGCCCTGGGGACCCTGCCCCAGTCCCTGTCCCCTTGTTCACCTTTGGACTGGACAGGGAGCCACCTCGCAGTCCGCAGAGCTCACATCTCCCAAGCAGCTCCCCAGAGCACCTGGGTCTGGAGCCGGGGGAAAAGGTAGAGGACATGCCAAAGCCCCCACTTCCCCAGGAGCAGGCCACAGACCCCCTTGTGGACAGCCTGGGCAGTGGCATTGTCTACTCAGCCCTTACCTGCCACCTGTGCGGCCACCTGAAACAGTGTCATGGCCAGGAGGATGGTGGCCAGACCCCTGTCATGGCCAGTCCTTGCTGTGGCTGCTGCTGTGGAGACAGGTCCTCGCCCCCTACAACCCCCCTGAGGGCCCCAGACCCCTCTCCAGGTGGGGTTCCACTGGAGGCCAGTCTGTGTCCGGCCTCCCTGGCACCCTCGGGCATCTCAGAGAAGAGTAAATCCTCATCATCCTTCCATCCTGCCCCTGGCAATGCTCAGAGCTCAAGCCAGACCCCCAAAATCGTGAACTTTGTCTCCGTGGGACCCACATACATGAGGGTCTCTTAGGTGCATGTCCTCTTGTTGCTGAGTCTGCAGATGAGGACTAGGGCTTATCCATGCCTGGGAAATGCCACCTCCTGGAAGGCAGCCAGGCTGGCAGATTTCCAAAAGACTTGAAGAACCATGGTATGAAGGTGATTGGCCCCACTGACGTTGGCCTAACACTGGGCTGCAGAGACTGGACCCCGCCCAGCATTGGGCTGGGCTCGCCACATCCCATGAGAGTAGAGGGCACTGGGTCGCCGTGCCCCACGGCAGGCCCCTGCAGGAAAACTGAGGCCCTTGGGCACCTCGACTTGTGAACGAGTTGTTGGCTGCTCCCTCCACAGCTTCTGCAGCAGACTGTCCCTGTTGTAACTGCCCAAGGCATGTTTTGCCCACCAGATCATGGCCCACGTGGAGGCCCACCTGCCTCTGTCTCACTGAACTAGAAGCCGAGCCTAGAAACTAACACAGCCATCAAGGGAATGACTTGGGCGGCCTTGGGAAATCGATGAGAAATTGAACTTCAGGGAGGGTGGTCATTGCCTAGAGGTGCTCATTCATTTAACAGAGCTTCCTTAGGTTGATGCTGGAGGCAGAATCCCGGCTGTCAAGGGGTGTTCAGTTAAGGGGAGCAACAGAGGACATGAAAAATTGCTATGACTAAAGCAGGGACAATTTGCTGCCAAACACCCATGCCCAGCTGTATGGCTGGGGGCTCCTCGTATGCATGGAACCCCCAGAATAAATATGCTCAGCCACCCTGTGGGCCGGGCAATCCAGACAGCAGGCATAAGGCACCAGTTACCCTGCATGTTGGCCCAGACCTCAGGTGCTAGGGAAGGCGGGAACCTTGGGTTGAGTAATGCTCGTCTGTGTGTTTTAGTTTCATCACCTGTTATCTGTGTTTGCTGAGGAGAGTGGAACAGAAGGGGTGGAGTTTTGTATAAATAAAGTTTCTTTGTCTCTTTATTTTTTATGTATTAACCAAACATACCTCCAGACACTGCTGTGAGTGCTGTGTCTCTGTTAACTCCTGGAATTCACCCATCCAGAGGAACCAGGATGCAAGAGGTTAAGAAACTTGCCATCTGGGTTTGGGTTCCCCATACAAGGATTCAAATAGTTGATTTAGGAAGTAATCCCGGGAAACCCTGCTAAGGTAGTGGGGAACTGAGGCAGGGAAGGACACAAACCAAGAAAGTGTTACCTGAAAGGGGTCCAGATGCAGACCCCAAAAGAGGGTTCTTGAATCTCATGCAAGAAAGAATTCAGAGCGAGTCCATAGAGTCAGTGAAAGCAAGTTAATGAGGAAAGTAAAGGAATAAAAGAATGGCTACTCCGTAGACAGAGCAGCCCTGAGGGTTGCTGGCTGCCTATTTTTATGGTTATTGATTAATTATATTCCAAACAAGGGGTGGATTATTATGCCTCCCTTTTAGACCATATAGGGTAACTTCCTGATGTTGCCATGGCATTTGTAAACTGTCATGGCGCTGTTGGGAGTGTAGCAGTGAGGACAACCAGAGGTCACTCTTGTTGCCATCTTGGTTTTGGTGGGTTAGAGCCATCTTCTTTACTGCAACCTGTTTTATCAGCAAGGTCTTTATGACTTGTATCGGTGACGACCTCCTGTCTCATTCTATGACTAAGAATGCCCTAACCTCCCAGGAATGCAGCCCAGTAAGTCTCAGCCTCATTTTACCCAGCCCCTCTTCAAAGCTCCAGTTTAAATAAACCTCTGACAAAAGGGTGAGTTATTCAACAGATTACCAGCATGAGTAACTGATGCTTACCTGCCGGGGATCTCTGGAAGACCATGCATGGCACATGCCCAGTTATGCCTGCAAAGGAGAGGGAGCTGGGGTATTTGTCCACCAGCTCCCATCTGTCATTGGCTGAGAGCTGCTTCCAGGAGCATTAATTCTCCAGCACTTCCAGCTACTCCAGGAAAAAAAAAATTCTTCAACTGAGAGTTGGAGGTGTTGAGAGACTCTGGCACACCAAGAAGACAGGAACAGGACACCAACAGTGGCTGATGATACACTGCCAAGGTCACACAGCTAGTTAGCAACAGATCTATAGTGGAATCCAGACAGTGTCTCCATCACCCAGGCTCTCTGTAGTGATCTGCGCTTCACATCCGAGGCAGGCAGAGGGATGGTGTGGGCCTTAGATGGGAAGGCTGGGAACCTGAAGCTCCTATGTCTGTATCACTTTTGCTTCTCTGAGTAGCTGCCCTGATTTCACACTTGAGGGGCTTGGCCATTTTAGATTCCTTCCTGCTCTAGGAGCCTACATACTACACTGGAAATGATGGGGAGCTCTCTACCTCACATGCAGCCTGATGTTTGTTAGAAACACCTCCTTGCGCCAGGCATGATGGCTCATGGCTGTAATCCCAGCAATTTGGGAGGCTGAGGCGGGTGTATCACTTGAGGTGAGGAGTTCAAGACCAGCCTGGCCAATATGGTGAAACCCTATCTCTACCAAAAAATAAAAAATTAGCCGGGTGTGGTGGTGGGTGCCTGTAATCTCAGCTACTTGGGAGGCTGAGTTGGTAGAATTGCTTCAACCTGGGACGCGGAGGTTGCAGTGAGCTGAGATTGTGCCATTGCACTCCAGCTTGGATGACAGAGTGAGACCCTGTCTCAGGAAAAAAAAAAAAAAACAAAAAAAACCTTGTTCTAAGCCAAAATCAATCCCTTTAGCTGCCCAAATCACACAGTTTACAGATGGAGAAACAGTTTTAGAGAGGAAAAGGGACTTGCCCAAAGTCACCCAGAGAATGGCAGAGCCTGAACTAGCCTTCTGGACTTCTTGCCTCCAAAAGCTCTTTATAATAAAATATAATTTTAAATAAAAATAGTTATCTGTTTAGGGCCAAGCAATATGCTAAGTGCCGTCCAGCCACTGTGTCATTTACGTCTCCAAACAGCTCTAGTTGGGAGGCTCAATGATTATCCCAATTTTACAGATAAGGAAACAGGTCCAGAGAGGTTGAGGATTAGCCTAGAACCACACAGCTAGGAAATCCTGGAGCCAGGATTTGAACCCGGGTCTGACCTAAGAGCTCCCAGCCGCCGTGATATATCAGCTTATGTCATCCTGACACCTACGCAGATGTCGGCTCGAATCCACTTTGCCTGAGCATTGTCTCAGAGAAATCTAATTTAAAAATTAGGCAGCAAATAGAAAATATATTTGACTGCTAGAGATGCAATGGGACTGGGAGCCCAACAAAGGATCTTAGGCAAAAGAAATCCAAGTTGTTGGCCTCAGCAACTATTACTGAACTGGCTGGGCTTTGGGAAGCTACAGAGGGATGAGAAGACCTGGTGGATCAGGTGGGCCCAACTCAGGCTGGCCCCCACCCTGCAGGAAGTAGGAAAAGTCCAGGGTCATAGGCCCAGTGAGATGCCGGCTGCGGGAGTTTCAGCCTCCGGGGCTGGACCAGAGGGCAGGAGGGGACGCCCCTGGGTAGCAGCGCCAGAGTGGGCTGAGTGGCCTGGGCCCCTGCGGGGGAGCTTTCAGAGATGTTGATTTGGGGGTACTCCCTCAGCCCTGCCTTTACACAGAATTTGTGGGGGATGAGGGGAGGGGGAAAGGGGGGAGGAAGGCAGTGAGTGCATCTGAATTTTTTTTTTTTTTTTACAAAAAGTGGCTTATTGCATTTTTCTGATTACTCTATCAGCACGTGCAGACCTTTTCCTATTCAGAGAAAGCCTGAAGATATAAAGAGGAAAGTGAAGAAAAACCACCGGAAATCCCATCCCCGCCCCAGCATCTGGCACTGTGTGGGCGATCACGAAATGAGCGCTTGTTTTTGAAGGCGTAGTATCTCCGTGAACATCCGGTTGAACAACCTTTCTGACTTTATTTTTCCCACGAAAGTTATTAATTAAAAAACAAAAAGCAAAACACCGAAAAAACAAAAAACCCAGCAAGTGTTTGAGCTCCCACCACGAGGGAGGCCTGACGTCACTGGATCCTCCCGGCAGCCGATGAGGCTGCATGGGACTTGCCCACGATGTGCTGTTACCGAGTGGCATAGCCAGGCTTCAAACCAGAGTCCTAGCTAACCGCCCTGTATATACCATGGGCTCATCATCTTCCCTGGTTCCAGCTCAGAACAGAGACTCAGAGGAACAAGGGCTCTGCGCTCACCCTGCCTGGTTAGGTCCAGCCTTTCCAATTCCAAGCTGTGTGACCATGGGAAAAGTGTTTGCCCACTCTGGGCCTAAATTTCCTCCTTGGTAAAAGGCACACAAGAGCAGTACTCTGCACGCCACAGTGGTGGGGTGAGCAGCAGATGACGTGGTGGGTGGAGGCCAGGTGACACCAGGCTGCTCTCAAGCTTAACTTGCCTGTGATGGTGGCGGGACCGTGTCAGTTCTTCCACCAAATCCCACCTGTTTCCACGACGTTTATTGACAAGTCAGGGGCACCGCCCCGGGTGGAGGGGGTGTGAAGAGGAAGTCAGCTCCCTGGTCCCTGCTGCCCTCTGGTGACCACATCAGCATCAGCACCTGCTCCATCCCAGCAGCTCCAGGTCCAGGCCGTGCCCAGAAAACTTGGCCTGGGAGATTCCCCACCCGCCCTGCCCCGATCCCACCTCTCTTCCATCTCTGCATTTTCCAGAAATTCCCCCAGCACCAGACAAAAGAGCCTAATGTCCATTAGATATGCTGTGTGGCGCCAGGCCAGCGTGTAACCTCTCTGTGCTTGATTCGTTATCTGTAAAATGGGAATCATTATAATATCTGCCTCATGTAGCTATTGTGAGAATTAAATATGTTAGTACCTGTGAGGTCCTTAGAACTATGCCTGCGGCTGGGCACAGTGGCTCACGCCTGTAATCCCAGCACTATGGGAGGCCAAGGTGGGCAGATTGCCTGAGGTAGGCGTTTGAGACCAGCCTGGCCAACATGGTGAAACCCTGTCTCTATTAAAAATACAAAAATCAGCCAGACATGGTGGCGGGTGCCTGTAATCCCAGCTACTCGGGAGGATGAGGCAGGAGAATTGCCTGAACCCAGGAGGCAGAGGTTGCAGCAAGCGGAGATTGTGCCACTGCACTCCAGCCTGGGCAACAAGTGGGACTCTGTCTCAAAAAAAAAGAACTATGCCTGCAAATAGTTAATGCCTTAAAAGTATTTGCTAACATTCTTCTTCTTCTTCTTTTTTTTTTTTTTTTGAGACAGGGTCTTTCTCTGTCACCCAGGCTGGAGCGCAGTGGCCCAATCCCGGCTCACTGCAGCCTTGAACACCTGGGCTCATGTGATTCTCCCACTTCAGCCTCTCAAGTAGCTGTGACCACAGGTGCACACACCACTAAGCCTGGCTAATTTGTTTTTTAATTTTTTGTAGAGACAGGGAATCACTATGTTGCCTAGGCTAGTCCCAGACTCCTAGGGTTCAAGCAATCCATCCACCTCGGCCTCCCAAAGTGCTAGGATTACAGATGTGAGCCACCATGCCTAGTCTGCTAACATTATCCTTAATATTACACTGAATATGTCTGTGGATTTTGTGGGAGGTGAGGGTATAAAACATAATTAGAGGAAATAATGACATTCTAAATTTAATTTGACTTTATTACAAAAAGGGCAGAATGGAGCAACAGTAATCCAGGACAAAAAATTGTCCCAATCCCATCATTCAACCCACTTGTGTTTGTATCTGTTTGTGCCACTTCTGTGTGTTGTTTACATGCAGAGTCAGTGTTTGCGTATTTGCGGTTTTATATCATTCATTTCTCATCATACATACATATATTTATATTCCTGACATTTTTCTAGGGAATATCTTTATATTCCTGACATTTTTCTCTTTTTCCCTTATGTTCTTCCATACCGGGACTTATAGGACCTTGCCCAGACTCAACTTCCCTCTTCCCCATGGACCCAAGTTGCTGAGCTTCCAACAGGTGTTTACAGCAAAGGAGAATGAGACAGAGAGAAGCAGAGATGCAGAGAGAAAGACAGACAGAGAAGACTAAACTGATTGATCCCAACTCCATTATGATATCTGACTCCAACCACAGAATGACCCTGATCCAGCCACAGACTGACTTCTGATCCTGGCCACAGTCCACCTCCTGTCCTCAGCCACAGAACAGCTCTGACTCAAGCCAGGAACTGAGTCCCGACCCATGTTACTGACTTACTCATGATCCTGGTTGCAGGCTGGCCCCAGCCACATGCTGACCCCTGACCCTCACCACAGATGGATCTTTGATCCCAGCTATAGGCTGATCTCTGATTCTGGCTGCCCTGAACCACCACTCCTATATACTGATGACCCACCTTAGCGTGATCCCACCCAGGAACTGGCATTTCCTGGGACAGGCTCTTGGCCACCTGCTGCTCTGCCCTGGGCACACCAGGCCCTACGCATCCTCCCCCTTCCACCACCATCCATGATTTCCTGATTTCTAGCAGCAAATTTAGCTTGAGTTGGTCAACATAGCTGGGCTGCCTGACCTTCCTCTCTGCCATGGAACCACAGAGCAAGTCAGCAGTTCTCCTTCCTAATCAAAAAGCAGCATGGAGGAGAAGGCTCCTTTGCCACCTTCCTTTCTGCTTTGGATGGTGCTTTTGCAATCATGAGGAGACAAGCCTGGAGATGAAAGGAGGCATTCTGAATATGGTGGAGTGGAAGAAGAAGAAGGCCTGCCTGGGGCTTTGATTACATCACCAAGTGATCAAACCAACCTTAAATTCTTAAATAAACTGTAAGTGTGCTTTTCTTTAAACCACTGTGAGTTTTCTTTTGCAGTCATAAAGCAACCTTAAAAATTGTAGTAGGTACAATAATGAACCCCCCAAGATGTCCATGTCCCAATCCCTGGAACCTGTGAACATGTTACATTACATGGCAAGGGGGGGATTAAGGTTACAGATGGAAGCAGGGTTGCTAATCAACTGAACCTGAGATGTAGAGGGAGATTATCCTTAATTATCCAGACAGGCCCAATATAATCCCAAGGATCTTCATAAGTGAGAGATGCAGGAGAAGCCAAGTCAGAGAGAGATTTCAAAATATTATGCTGCTGGCTTTGAAGATGGAGGGAAGGGCCATGGGCTAAGGAATGCAGGTGACCACTTGAAACTGGAAAAGTCAAGGAACAGACTTCCCTAGAGTTTCTGGAATGAACACAGCCTTGTTAACACCCTGATTTTGAGCTCAGTGAGACCAGTTTCAGACTTCTGACCTCTGGAATTGCAAGATCATAAATTTCAGTTTTAGGCCACTAAACTTGTGGAAATTTGTCAGAGAAGCAATGGGAAATGAACGTGCAGGTGCATTCACGCATCCAACTTTAGGCTCTGGACTCTTCCTCAAGCTCCTTCCCCAATCCCCATCCTCTCCCTCTTTATTGGCACTCAATCTTCACTTCCAGAGGATCCTGCCAAATTCCTGCCCATTCCATATCGGCATCCACCCTTTCTTGTTAGAGTGGACGTAGGGCAGGCTGGCTCCACAGCTGTGCGCCAGGCAGCAGCCCGTACCCCCCTGCTCGGAGGACCCCTACTCTTCAGTGTCATGCTCTGAAGTCCCAGTTTTGAAATTCTTGGCCAGGCGCAGTGGCCCACACCTGTAATCCCAGCACTTTGGGAGGCCAAGGTGGGCGGATCACTCGAAGTCAAGAGTTTGAGACCAGCCTGGCCAATATGGTGAAACCCCGTCTCTACTAAAAATACAAAAATTAGCCAGGCATGGTGGTGCATGCCTGTAATCCCAGCTACTCAGGGAGGCTGAGGCAGGAGAATCACTTGAACCCGGGAGGTGGAGGTTGCAGTGAGCCAAGACTGTGCCACTGCACTCCAGCCTGAGCAACAGAGCGAGACTTTGTTTCAAAAAAAAATAAAAAAAGAAAAAGAAATTCTTAAAAATTTTATCTCTGAAGTTGTGTTTTATAGGGAGGTTTAATGGGACCAAGGAGCACCCATTGAGGGCTTGGAGCCTCAGCTCACACAGGGTCCCACCTCCTGCCTGCTTCCCTGGGACATCTGCCACCTGCCTGCTTCCCTGGTACAGGCTCCTGGCCACCTGCTGCTCTGTCCCCAGCACACCAGGCCCTACTCATCCTCCCCATTCCACCACCATCCATGACCATTGCTGCCTTCTGCCCTTGAAGGAGGCCTGGGCACAGGTGCAAAGGATCATCAAGGTCAGTAGCTCACCTCACGGGACCTTGGGGTGGAGCATGGTGACAGCCATTCCTACCCCAGAGGTATCTGCTGGGCAGCCAGAAGCCACAACTCAGCCCACTTCTAATCCAGGAACCAAGAGTGACCATCTTGATTTCTCAGCCCTTTTGTTTTTTCTTTTTGAGACGGAGTCTCGCTCTTGTCCCCTAGGCTGGAGTGCAGTGGCTCAATCTCGGCTCACTGCAACCTCTGCCTCCCGAGTACAAGCAATTCTCCTGCCTCAGCCTCCCAAGTAGCTGGGATTGCAGGCATGAGCCACCATGCCCAGCTAATTTTTTATTTTTAGTAGAGACGGGGTTTCACCATGTTGGCCAGGCTGGTCTCAAACTGCTGGACTCAAGTGATCCGCCCGCCTTGGCCTCCCAAAGTGCTGGGATTACAAGCGTGAACCACCGCGCCTGGCCAAATTATCAGCCCTTTTTGAATAAGAAGACCTGCATTTTTATTTTGCACAGTGCCCCTCCAATGATGCAGCCATTCCTGATGCGGGGTCATTCCCTCTCTCCCAGGCTGAGCTCTCTTCTCCCTCTGGACCCTAAAACACCATCACTCCCCTGTGTCTTCACCTGCCTCCCTCTGCTGGCCTTTCCTCATTGCCACACATATCTACTCAAGTCTTTCCATCTTCAAACAGCCCAAGCTTCCCTCCACCCCGGCTCCTATTTCTCTCTCGCCTTCTCTCCCCCAGCCACAGTGCTTGTGCTCAAAAGCTGTCTCCTCTCTTGGGCTTCACTTCCTTCCTCTGCACCCACTCCTCTACCCTCTCTGTGCAGAGTCGGCCTGACTCTGCTACTAAACTACTTTCACTGAAGCCAGCTCCACCACCCAAGCCAAGTCTCAGTTTCAATCCCTACTACTCTGTGGCACTAGCATCTCCCTCACTCCTGAAACTCGGCCCCTCTTGGTTCTCTGACACTGGCTGTTTGTTCCTGTCCAGTCTCTTTTTCTTTTTTTCTGAGGCAGAGTCTTGCTCTATCACCCAGGCTGGAGTGCAGTGGCGCAGTCTCAGCTCACTACAACCTCCATCTCCCAGGTTCAAACGATTCTCCTGCCTCAGCCTCCCAAGTAGCTGGGATTACAGGCACCCACCACCACCACACCTGGATAATTTTTTTGTATTTTTAGTAGAGACGGGGTTTCACCATGTTGGCCATGCTGGTCTTGAGCTCTTGATCTTGTGATTCGCCTGCCTCGGTCTCCCAAAGTGCTGGGATTACAGGCATGAGCCACCGCACCTGGCTCCAGTCTCTTTTTCCAAGGTCTTCTCCTCTGCCCTCTCTTACACGTTAGGGGTCCGCAGGGCCCATCTGGGGCCCTCCCCATCTCCTCTCCTCTTTCCACAGAGTTAATTACAACCTTCACTAAATCTGTACTGGAGTCGCATGGATCAGGAACTGTGTGGTCCACAGCCCAGCACTGTGCTTGGCACATAGAGCATACTCAATAAACATTTACTAAGTGAATGAATGAATGAATGAATGATGTCTTCTAAATATATCTCCCCAGCTGAGATCTCTTGCCTGAACTCCAGAGTTATACATTCAACTGCAGTTGGGTATGTCTCAGTTTCCACATCTCCCACCCAAACATTTTGCATGTCCTAGCTAGTAGCCATTCCTATCTCGTGTGACATATGTTATTATATATTGTATATATTATTAAGTCTTTTATTTCTTATTTCTCACCAGGTCTCCCATATCTCCCCCAAAGAAAGTAGACTCATGGTGGGCAGAGATTTCAGTTTGGTTGGCTCATTGCCTTATCCCAGGGCCTAGAACAGTGCCTGGCACATAGTAGGTGCTCAATAAATACTTCTTGGCTGGGCACCATGGCTCACGCCTGTCATCCCAGCACTTTGGGAGGCCAAGGCAGGTGGACTGCTTGAGCCCAGGAGTTTGAGACCAGCCTGGGCAACATGGCAAAACTCCATCTCTACAAAAAATACAAAAAGTAGCCAGGCATGGCGGTGCATAACTGTAGTCTCATCTACTGGGGAGGCTTAGGTGAGAGGATCGCTTGAGCCCAGGAGGTCGAGGTTGGAGTGAGCCACGATCACGCCACTGCACTCCAGCCTGGGCGACAGAGACCCTGTCTCTAAATAAATACACAAAAATAAGTAAATAAATAAATACTTCTTGAACAGATGAATGGATCTCCACAGAGACATCCCCACATCTCAGATTCAGTATATCCAAACGAGCTCTTTCTCATCCTCGCCAAACCTCCTCCTTCTGGTTCCTGGTTTTGATTGCTAAAGCAAGAGAGCGGGTGCTCCTCAATTGACTACCTCCTTCCTCCCTGCAGAACTTCCGGTACTGTGAGTCTGTCCCTGGGACCCTGCTCTCCAGCTCCTCTGTTCAGCCATGTCAGCCTCCCTATTGTAACCCCTGGGTTTATGCCGGTAGTGTCTTTATCAAACACTCCCCCATGCCAGGACCAGGACCATCTTTGTGACTGCGTCCTTCCCTGCTCCCTGGGGTCCCTAAGATGATTTTAGGTGGCATGTGGGCATAGTGAGCTGAGAAAACAATTCCTTTTTCAGTTCTCTTTCTCTTCTCCAGATTAGCCTACCACAGGCTGCAGCATCTAGCTGGAAGTTAATCACTCGGTTTTGGTTTCAATGGGCTTGTTTTTACAGTTCCCTTCTATTTACAGTAAAGGATCCTGATCTTTCATGTGTGATGGTGACAATGTTTCATTTGACAATAAAGTGATTTAAACAAAGCGAGGAGGCCAATATGAAGAAAATGTAATGATGGAGAAAAAATGTAAATACGGCAGAAATGACTTGTGTGCATAGGGATGAGAGTTTGGGCAACACTGGCGTACAGGCCCTGTCCAAACCTCTTTGTACCTGGCCCTGGTTCAAAGTGAGAAGTGAGGCTTCTCATGTCTTCAGACACATGACCTGACCCCTCTAGACACCATCATCTGACTACACGCCACCACCCAGCCACAGTTCCCAGCCCACACCATGCAATTTCAACCTCCAAGCCTTTTCTCATGCCTTTCCCTCTGGCAGGCACGCCCCTCCCTACCACTCTTCCGGACGAACCCGGCTATCCTGCCTGCCCTGTATCTACTCTCCCTTCTTCTGACATCACCACCTGGTGGTCCTTGCCGGGACAGCGTCTTCCCACTCGCAGTTCCAGAGAACTGATCTAACTGCCAGAGAACTGATCTAACTCCTAGCTTTCCAACAGGGCACATGACTCAGGCTTGGCCAATCAGAGCATTCCTTTCCCAATCTGAAGATTGGTTCAGGGACAGGCATATGATTAAAACTGACCAATGAGAGCTTTTCCTGGTAGCATCATTGGAACCATTAGGAAAACATGCCTTCTTTCCTTTGGGCTTTGAAAGCTGGTAGGTGGTAGGTCTTGGCTTCTGAGGTCCCTGCTTTTCTTTGGCCACCAATGAGGCTTCCTCAGCTTGCTTGAGAATGAGACTAAAGCCAATACAAAAGAAAGCAGATCCCAGAGTAGAACCTTCCAACCTGAAGAAATTATTTGAGAACCTTGATCTATCCATGCCTGAAACTATATTCATAAACTTCTTATTTATTTTTAAAATGTATTATTATTATTTTAGACACAAGGTCTTGCTCTGTTGCCCAGGCTGGAGTGCAGTGGCACGATTATGGCTCACTGCAGCCTCAAACTCCTGGGCTTAAACGATCCTCCTGCCTCAGCCTCCTGAGTAGCTGAGACTACAGGCACAAGTGACCACGCCTGGCTAATACTTGTATTTTTTGTAGAAATGGTGTCTCGCTATGTTGCCCAGGCTGAATGTTGCCCAGGCTGATTTCAAACTCCTAGTCTCAAGTGATTCTCCTGCCTCAGTCTCCCAAAGCTCTGGGATTACAGGTGTGAGCCACCATGCCCGGCCTAAACTTTGTTTTTAAACAGGCATTTTTGTCACTTACAACCAGAAAGCTCCCTGTGGTTGAAACATAAGCTTATTTATTTATGTATTTATTTGAGATGGAGTTTCATTCTTGTTGCCTGGGCTGGAGTGCAATGGCACTATCTTGGCTCACTGCAACCTCTGCTTCCCAGGTTCAAGGAATTCTCCTGCCTCAGCTTTCTTAGTAGCTGGGATTACTGGCACCCACCACCACGCTCAGCTAATTTTTGTATTTTTTAGTAGAGATGGCATTTTGCCATGTTGTCCAGGTTGGTCTCAAACTCCTGACCTCAGGTGACCCACTCGCCTTGGCCTCCCAAAGTGCTGGGATTATAGGTGCGAGCCACTGCACCCAGTCATAAGCTTATTTTTTATTGAGATAAAATTTATATGACGTAAAATTCACTATTTCAACCACTTAAAAATATATAACTCAGTGGGTTTCAGTGTATTCACAATGTTGTAGTACACACATCTCCACTATGTAATTCCAGAACATTTCCACCATTGCCTCTTCTCTAAAAAAAAACCAAAATCCTTATCCATATCTGTAGGTCCAAATCGTCCTCCCCTGATTCCCTGGCAACTGCTGTAAAATATCATCTTCTCAGGCCCAGTGGCAGCAGGCCTTTCCCCGTGAGTCCTCCCCTCGATGGGGGGCAGAATTGTTCTCTCCTTTGTCCTTGGGCCTCTTCGATCACTTATTGTAATCGTCATTTATTGCAATTGACTACTTGCGCCTGTAGTCCCAGCTACTCAGGAGGCTGAGGCAGGAGGATCGTTTAAGCCCAGGAGTTTGAGGCTGCAGTGAGTCATAATCGTGCCACTGCACTCCAGCCTGGGCAACAGAGCAAGACCTTGTGTCTAAAATTTAATATAAAAATTATTTTTTATATTAAATCATGGAATATTTCAAACATACAGAAAACCTTGTCTCCTGTATGTCTCCTATCATGCCCCTTGATGACAGGGACACAGATTCATTACTTCTTCTGTGCCCCAATCCTCAGCCTAGAGCCCAGCCCAGATTAAGTGTTCAGTAGAAAAACAAAACAAGGCCAGATGGGGTGGCTCACGCCTGTAATCCCAGCACTTTGGGAGGCCAAGGTGGGCAGATCACAAGGTCAGGAGTTCAAGACCAGCCTGGTTAACATTGTGAAACCCCGTCTCTACTAAAGACACAAAAAATTAGCTGGGCGTGGTGGCATGCCCCTGTAATCCCAGCTACACAGGAGGCTGAGGGAGGAGAATCGCTTGAACCCGGGAGGCGGAGGTTGCAGTTAGCCGAGATTGTGCCATTGCACTCCAGCCTGGGCAACAGGGCAAGACTCTGTCTCAAAAAAAAAAAAAAAAAAGGAAAAACAAAACAAAAATGTGAGCAGAGGTTCACTGCAAACATCCCAGTCCTAGGCCAGACCAAGACATAAAGATTCTGACAAATCTCTGTTGACTGGCTGACCGACAGCCTCGGTCAATGTGTCCATGATGGACAATACTCTTGTCTTTGTGTGTGAAGGGCTGGCAGGGAGCAGGGGAGGGACTGAACCCATCACTTCCCACACTCTGACATTTCATTAAACCCAGAATTAAATTTACAGTTGTTTCCCATATCTGGGTACCCCCTAAAATTTCCCCAAGCTGCACCTACTTCAGATGCTTCAAGGTAGCATCGTGGAGAGGAAGGGCAGACCAGTGATCTTGGGCATATTGACTTATTCATAACTTCCATCTGTCCCAGTGGTCCCATCTGTACAAAGGAGCTAAGAATATTAAATACCCCATAGGATCGTCTGAGGATTAAATGAGTGAATACTTGTAAAGCACCTAGGATGGTGCTGGTTCATTTACAAAATCTGCTCAACAGGATGCTTTTGCTGGGGGAACCCAGTGGTGCATGAGATCACTAAGCTGTTGCACATCCTATTTCCTCTGCTTGCAAATAACTCTTTTCTACCCCTCACTTGCTGCTTTACTCCCTTCCATTTCAGCTTAGATACTACCTCCTCCAGGAAGTCCTCTAGCTCCCCAGGCATTGGTTAATGCCTCTCTTCTGGGCTCCTTAACACCAGTACTTCCCCATCAGCACAGGCAGCAATGGTCTCAGCACCTTCAGGTGCACAGTACCTGGCACAGGGTAAGTGCTGAGTGAATGAAAGAACAGGTCGGAATATGCATCAAAAGATGAACAAGAGGTTTGGGTCTTGTCCCTGGCACTTCTAACTGAGACTCCTTACTCTGTTCCAGGCACCAAAGCTCTGGCTCTGTCCTCCTGGTGTCTGTGGGAAGAAACAGTGTGTTGAGTCCAGCTTGCACCAGCTCCTGTGGTCATCTTTGCCTCCGCAGCCCCTGACATCACCTTGGTAGCCTGAAATTGGCCACAATGAGACTATCTACACCATGCAAAGCAGCAAACACCGTGTTTCAGGATTTTGCAGCAAACACACATATTGGGTTTTTGGTTTGTTTCCTGTTGTTTTTGTTGGCTTACCAGCACACCACTGGTTGTGATTTTAGGGGCCATAAAAAATGGTTGTTTTGAGCTGGGTACAGTGGCTCACTCCTGTAATTCCAGCACTTTGGGAGGCCGAGGCAGGCAGATCACAAAGTCGGGAGATCGTGACCATCCTGGCTAACACGGTGAAACCCCGTCTCTACTAAAAATACAAAAAAATTAGCCGGGCATGGTGGCGGGTGCCTGTAGTCCCAGCTACTCAGGAGGCTGAGGCAAGAGAATGGAGTGAACCTGGGAGGCGGAGCTTGCAGTGAGCCGAGATCGCGCCCCTGCACTCCAGCCTGGGCGACAGAGCAAGACTCCGTCTCAATTAAAAAAAAAAAAAAAAGGTTGTTTTGGTCTCACCAGGGCACACTCTTTTGATGCCAGGTTTTGGACAAGCAGTTCCCTCTTCCTGGCCACTGTGTCCCTTGCTGGGTCAATCACAGCTCCCTCATGGCCCCTGAGCTTTTATGTAGGACAAGGCCTGTGCTTATTCATCCCCCCTCTCTCCCCAGCATGTGAGCAGCAGCTGTCTGTAAATGTTTGTTGATTGACTGACAGACAGTTCTTGGTAAATATTTTTGTGAGAGTCTGACCTTTCCCCCATGTGAATGCGGGGAAACCACGGCAACCTGAACTTTCAGTAAAGCAGAGCCTCTTTGAGGAAGGGAGTCTTTGCAGAAACTCACCACAGCTGCCTGGAAGCCGAGTCATTGCAGCCCATCCTCCGCCTGTGTGTGCAGCGTCTTGGAAGATCCAAATGTCTCCGTCCCACAGGTCCCTAAGGTGCAAGATGAGGGTAGGGGGAGGAGGTTGGTGACTTAGGGACAGGGGCTCTTGATAGGGCGGGAGGTCCTGAGGAGAATGGGGGACTGCTGAGGGACCTGCACACATACAAGCACGTGGAGAGATGTACACATGTCTGCAAATTGCATGTGCATTTTGTCGCACAGGCCATGGTCTCATCTCAGGGAAGTTGCTGGAGGCTTGAGGTCCTTGGGCCACGAGGGGGGCTGAAAATAATGCTGATCCCCGTCCCCTACACCCATCCACTCCTGTCAAGGGCCCAGGTTGTGCCATGTGGCTTCTGCAGGGAGGGAGGTTTATATTCATATGTGTGCATGTAAGCATGGGGGCTGTGGTGTTTACGGACCCCTAATGCATGAGGCAGATTCAGCTCTGCAACTTATGCATAATAAGCACTCCATAACTATGAGCTTTCTTTTTTTTTTTTTTTTTGAGATGGAGTCTTGCTGTGTCACCCAGGCTTGAGTGCAGTGGCACGATCTTGGCTCACTGCAACATCCTCTGCCTCCCGGGCTTAGATGATTCTCCCGCCTCAGCCTCCCAAGTAGTTGAGATTACAGCATGCGCCACCTTGCCCAGCTAATTTTTGTATTTTTAGTAGAGACGTGGCTTCACTATGTTGGCCAGGCTGGTCTTGAACTCCTGAACTCAGGTGATGTGCCTGCCTCGGCCTCTAAAAGTGTTGGGATTACAGGCATGAGCCACTGCACTTTCTATCTGATTTGCTCACGCATGCCTCCCCCTCCCCTGGATTACACACTCTGAGAGAGTAGAAACTCGGTTTTCTTCACTTTTATATTCCCAGAACCGGCACAGTGCCTGGCACATAGTAGGTGCTCAA
Source organism: Homo sapiens (assembly GCF_000001405.40). Lineage (NCBI taxonomy): Eukaryota > Metazoa > Chordata > Mammalia > Primates > Hominidae > Homo > Homo sapiens. Next base: position 27,380,071 of record NC_000016.10, read on the forward strand.
GAAATGTTTATATGCAAGTGTGCACACATATATATGTCTGTGCCTATGTGACAATGTGTGTGTACTTGCACATGTGTGAACTTGTGAGTGGCGGTTCTGCATGCTTTTCACGCAGGCATATTAACAGGGACATGCACACCTGTGTGTAAATGTGCGTGACTCGGGTGAATTCTCGCTGCCTATTGACGATGTATGATGAATTTCATGCTACAGGAGAATCTATGTCTTTGTGATTGGGTTGTATGTGTCCATGAGTGCATGAGCAAGAGCGGGATTTCATATGCTGATTTGCACATATATGTAAGTGAGATATGTTGATATGTACAGAAGGGGACTTGTGTGGGCATTTGTGAAAAAGATGAGAGTGTCATCGTTAACAGCTCAAGCTCTGCAGCCGAACTGTCCAGGTTTGAATCCCAGGTTCATGTCTTCTTATCTGTGTGACAATGAACAAGTTACTTAAATTCCCTGTGGCTTGGTTTCCCCATCTGTGATATGCGCTAGTAATAATGCCTGCCTTCTCTTGTTGGGGGGTGATATGGTTTGGCTCTGTGTCCCCACCCAAATCTCATCTTGTAGCTCCCATAATTCCCATGTGTTGTGGGAGGGACCCAGTGGGAGATAATTGAATCATGGGGACAGGTCTTTCCTGTGCTGTTCTCATGATAGTGAATAAGTCTCATGACATCTGATGGCTTTAAAAACGGGAGTTTGCCTGCACAAGCTCTCTGCCTGCCTCCATTTACATAAGATGTAACTTGCTCCTCCTTGCCTTTGGCCATGATTATGAGGCCTCCCCAGCCATATTGAACTGTTAAGTCTAATTAAACCTTTCTTTTGTAAATTGCCCAGTCTCAGGTATGTCTTTACCAGCAGCGTGAAAACAGACTAATACAGGAATACAGGGAGACAACAGAAGGCAGACATTATTATTATTACTAGCTCTTATCACAGACGGACAGAGATCAGGATTATTTTCAGCCCCACATGTGGCCCAAGGACCCTAAGCCTCCAGCAACAACACAGACTTGGAGTTGTTTAGTGGAATAAATAAGATACTAGCATCTGGCACCGAGTAAGTACTCAACACCTGCTACTGCTGCTGTTTTCATTTGTGTGTTGTGGGCACCTGTGGTGTGCACATCTGGGTCCTCCAGCATGTCCCCCATCCCAGCCCTAGAGAGACAAGGACAGTCTCTGATGGGTGCCAAGATTACCATGTGGGTTCCAAGAAGATAACCAAGTCATGGTCTCAGATGACTGGAGGGTGGGGAAGGGGTCTCTACTCAGCATTGCCCCTTCTTCTTGGGGGACCTCACTGCCCACTCATCAAAGAGGACATAGTCACCTGACTCCATCCTCCCCACCTGGAGAGGCCAGACTTTTCCAGGCCAGCTCACTGTTTAGGGGAGGCAGAAATGAGAGAATGGGTGGGAAGCTCTCTCCAAGGTAGAAGGTGGTCCCAGCATGTGCCATGGTGAATCCATTTGGAGGTGGTTCTAGGTGTGCCCATCAGAGGTCTGTTGGGCTGAGTTCTTTCACAAATGCCCATAAAACTGAAAGAGCCAGGTGCCTTTCAGGGGCCTAAAAAGAGCTGCAGTACTCAGGAAGAAAATATAGTGCTTCTAAAGGCGCCCAAGGAGATTGGCACCCACAAGAGTGATTAAGGAGAATGCTCCAGGTCCTTTGAGGTGGTGTCATTCAGAGCATTCATTCATCCACTGATTCACTCCAATCACGTTTCTTGAGTCCCAGCACTGTCCTAGGCCCTGGGGGATACAAGACTGGCCCCTACCTGCATGGGATTGGGATCAAGTGCATAAGCAACAACAATGCAGTGTGTTCATAACAAGACTCGGAAGCTTGGGCTCAGAGGAGGGACAATTGACCCAGACTTGGGCAATCAGGGAAAGCTTCCTGGAGGAGATGACATCTAAGTTAAAATCTGAAGGACTGGAACTAGTTTTCCAACAGATGGCAACAGAAAGAATGCACCAGGTAGAGGACACGGCCCATGTGGGAGCCAGGAGGAAACAACCCATTCCGGCTGAAGCACATCATGCAAGAAGGGAGGGTGAGGTGAGAGGCTAATTCAGCCGGAGGGAAAGGCAGAGCTGTGTGAGCCACATGTGAGATTTGAGACTGAAGAGGCCTTGCCATTTGTAGGCCAACCTGACTCAGGGGGGCAGGGGTGATTCTTTTTCCCAGAGTGAATCCTAAGTGGGGCTGAAGCAGGGCTGACTTTTTAGTGAGCACCTACTGTGTGCAAGGCACTGCCCTAAAGGGACTGAGGAAGGTTCTGCAGTGAGCAGAACAGAGTCCCTGCTCTCATGAAGTGACACCTAGTGAGGACAGAGAGCCAAAAGATGTGCAGGTGAGCCCACAGTGTGACGTCAGAGGGCTTGAGTGCTATGCAGAACAGACAGGCAGGGGAGGGGCCAGGGGAAATTAGCGGGTGGAGAGCTGTTTAGGAGGTGCCAGGAAAGACCTCACCAAGGAGGTCTGAATAGAGGCTTGAGTGAACTAGGGGAATGAGCCACGCAGATATCTGGAGGGACAGGGAGAAAGAGATTGTTCTAGGAGGAGGGAGCGGGCTGTGCGAAGGCCCTGGGAAGGGAATGGCGTGAAGGGGGTGCAGCCAGGAGGCCAGAGTCAGAAAACTGGGGGAGAGGAAAGAGACAAATTCAGAGGCAATGGGGATCAGCCACGGAGGGCCTTACTGGCCACACACAGGACCTAGGGTTTGTTTGACCAACCATAGGAAGGCTTTGGATGTGGAAGTGACTTGATCAGATGATTGTCTCAAAATGATCATTCTGGCTGCAGTTAGAAGGGGATGTTTTTGGTAGGGGAGGCCCTAATTTTCCAATGTCCAGAGCAGGCGGCGACCACAGCTGTGGATTCTGGGCATGTTTTGAAAGTGGAACCAACAGGAATTCCCAACGGGTGGGATTGGGGTGGTGAGAGAAAGCAAGGAAGCAAGAAAGATCATGCTATTGTCACCATGGGGACCCCGCCCCACACGCCGTTCAGCTCTTTAGCCTCGCTCCAGGTACAGGGGCAATGATTCCCACCTAACCTCTGCTGTTTGTGGCAGCCTGCTCTTCCAGGCACAGCATCCTCCTAATTATCCTGGGGGCAGGGGTAAGTATTCTCACCACAATTGGCAGGTAGGGGTTGTAGAGGCTCAGAGAGAGGAAGGATCTTGCCTGGGGTCATGCAGCCCTAGCGGATGAGTTTGGCACTGCCGACATCTTCTGTAGGACTCTGGGTCCAGTGCTCCTCCCCCTACAACATGAAATCAGAGGTTCTCAACCTGGGGGCAATTTTGCCCTCCAGGGGACACCTTTGGTGGTCACAACTGGGGGAAAGGCATCTAGTGGGAAGAGGCCAGGGATGCTGGTCACCATCCCACCATGCACAGGATGGCCCCCACCGTAAATGATCCAGCCCAAATGTCAACACTATCAAGGTGGAGAAACCCTGCCAAATATTCTATTGAAGGGCTGGAGATGCCGTAGCTCGGCAGCCTCCCCCCAGCCCTCCAGGGCCTTCTCAGACACCACTCAATGGGTCTGGGTGCCCCTCCCTGAAAGGGAAGCCAGCCTGTGCCAAGGTCGCACTGGACAGCCAGCAGCTGTGGTGGCAGTTTCCCCAGCGACAGAGGCCGGTTCCTGGAAAACTAAACTTGGTATCCTCTGTGGCTTATCTTCTCCTTTCCAATCAGACCTAGGCACACGGGCCACATACCCTCATCTGCAGACAGTCTCCCAGGACCCTACAAGTTCCCAGCCCAGTTGGATAGGGACCAAAGGTAGCTTGCTCCCATCACTCCCCTCCTGAGATCCTCTCATGGCTCTGGCCGTCGATGGGGTGGGGTTCTGCTCCCGCTGCTCTACAGGGAAACTTCTCCAGGCTCTGGCACTGTCTTCGCCAGCAGGCTATGGCCTCGACACTTCCTCCTTGCTCTGGTGTCCCCCTCTGCCCTCCCCACCCACACCAGGGCCCTCATCATTCCCCGAACAGGCGGGGAAGTCACGCCCTCATGTCTTTGGCTTACCAGAGAACCGACTCCAGGCTTGGTTGGCCCTCTGCTGTGCTTCCTTCCTCTTTCAGCCAATTCTGATCTTTATAATTTTCCTTTCCTTTCTTTTGGGTTTATTTCACTGTCATTTTCTAACTTCTCGAGAGAGACGTTTGGAACATTAATTTTTAGCTTTTCTTCTTTGCTAATCTGTGACTGTTAAGGCTACAAATTTCCCTCTGAGTACTTTTTTAGCTGCAACCCACAAGTTTACATGTGGTTGTTTTTTTAAAACCATTCAGTTCAAAATGTTTTCTAATTTTCCATTGCAATTTTTCTCATTGTCTCTTGGGTGATTTAGAAGCGTATTTCTTGGTTTCCTGTCCACATTTTCAGAACGTTTTGAAATGCACTCTCCTATATTTTCAACACGCTGAACTGTTCTTCATCCTTCCAAGGCCAGAACAAGTGACCCCTCCTCCATGCAGCCTTCCCTGACACTCCCTCCACACTGTGGCCAGTATCATCAGGGGTCGCTCGTGTCTGCTGTCATAGCACTTTGTACCAACCACCATTATAGCACTTTAAGGTCACACAGTAATGTATCTGTCAAGATTCTTTCAGTTTCAAGTGAAAGAAACTTACTTAATCCAAACTGGCTGAAGCCAAGAGGGAATTTATTGTCCTATTTAACTAAAATGTCTTGGCTTTCAGGCATAGCTGGATCAAGGGATCCTGATTCCTGATGGCCCAGTTCATCTCTTGAGTCACTTCTTCCAGGTCGACCCCATCCTGAGGCAGTTTCTCCCGTGTGGCCACAGAGACATACAGCAGCTGCAGGGAACACATGAATACGTTCTCCCGGCTCCAAGTGCGGAGTCTTTGCCCTGATCAATCCCTCTAGAGTCTCGTGGGATCTGTTAGACTCTGACTGGATCTGTTAATGTGGCTTAGGGAATATAGTGGATTGGTTTAGGCTAGAGTCATGCACGCTCCTAGGGAAAGGAACTGAGAATGGAGGGGGCATGATATCTCAGAAACAGCCGGGATACAGTGACCAGGAGAAGAGTAAATCAGGACTAGAAAACAAAACAAAACAAAACAAAAACAAAAACAAAAACAAAGACAATATGCTACTGCTGTTAATAATAATCATACTAGTCTAGTAAACAGCAACAATTATAAGTACCTTTATTTTTTAGATGGACTTTTGCTCTTATCACCCAGGCTGGAGTGTAGTGGCACGATTTCAGATCACTGCAACCTCCACCTCCCGGGTTCAAGCAATTGTCCTGCCTCAGCCTCCCCAGGAGCTGGGAATACAGGCATGTGCCACCACGCCCGGCTAATTTTTGTATTTTTAGTACAGATGGGGTTTCACCATGTTGGCCAGGATGGTCTCAAATTCCTGATCTTAGGTCTCGGCCTAAGCAATCATTTGTCTCTAGACTTCTCATTCCATAAGGGAATTAGCTCTTAAGTGTTTAAGAGCTTAAGGCCTCGGCCTTCCAAAGTGCTGGGATTACAGGCGTGAGCCACCATGCCCGGCAGTACCTCTTATACTTAGTACATGCCACTAACTCAAGTGCTTTGCTTTTAGACCTGTGTATCCGCCTTCCCATTGAATTTAAAACCTTTGACAGTGAAAAGAAGATCTGTTTTGTTAACTGTGAAAATTTTGGAGGTGGCAGGGGAGGGAGAAGATGGGCAATTCCTCCTCTGCCCTAAGACTGTAATCAGCTCACCCCACCGCACCCCCACCCCTGAACTTGGAGGCTGGGGCTCAGCCCCAGGGTCCCCTAAGAGAAAGCTTGCAGAGGTGCCCAATCAGCTCAGTGGTTGCTGTAACCCTCTGTCTTAGCTGCTCAGGATGCTATAACACAATGGATGGGTGGTTTGCACAACAGACGTTTATTTCTCACAGTTCTGGAGGCTGGAAAGTCCATGATCAACAAGTTGGTCCAGGAATAACATTAGGGATCAGAATGCAAAGGAAATTCCTTCGCGCATTTGTGCCAGTCTCTGGTAGGCACATTTTCAGTGCACCACCTGAATTCTCTGTGCAGCATCTGGAAAACTTTGGTAAACTCCCATCTCCCCAGCTCTGCAGTCAGAAAAGAAAGGCAGCTGAATCCATGCCTGATGAAGGCTCTCTTCCTGGCTGGCAGACAGCTGCCTTCTTGCTGTGAGGGAGATTGAGGGCAAACTCCCTGGTGTCTCTTCTTATAAGGGCACTAACATTATCAGATCAGGGTCCCACCCTTCTGAGCTCATTTCACCTTAATTACTTCCTTAGCGGCCTCATCTCCAAATACAGCCACATTGTGGGTTAAGCCTTCAGCATATGAATTTGGCAGAGGTTGAAAGCAGCACATTCGGTCCATAATTATCTCCCTCCATGGTAAGCCCTCCTATGTCTTTCTAAGAATCAGAGACACACAGACACTCAGCATGAAAGGAGACTTCATTGCCCTTGGTCCAACCACACACTCAGTTAATCCAACCATACCCCCACAGTGAGGAGTTGTTTACATACCAGGGACAGGGAGCTCACTGTCTTCTCCAGTTCATCAACTCTGACTATGCTGGTCTGGACCTGCTCATGACCCCCACCCTGAGTCTTCTCTTTCCAAATACTTCTGCTGTCTCATGGTTTTTTTTACTGTCTCCACACCAGCTGCTCTACCTTCTCGGTTGCCTGTTCTGAATATACATCAATTTGCCAATGTTCTTTAAAAATGAAGGTCCAGAACTGGACGTAGACTGAAGGTGTGGCCAGTGCAGTGAGAATAGCCTCCCTTGTTCTGGACACCATACCTCTATTAATGCAACCCTAGGGTGCTTCAGGTTCCCCTTGGCTGTGACACACTCTTGACTTTGGGAAAATCTCGCAAGCATTTTCCATGTGACATGTTGGTTCTGTGGTTCTAATCTTCATATACATGTAATTGAATATCTGGCTTGAAGTAAAGGACGTCACATGCTTCAGGGGGACCATGGCTCACATCTCTATAGATTTTTTTATACCTTCCCTTCTCTGCACCCTTTTCCCACCATACTGATGTTTTGTGATGTCCTTTTTTTTTTCTCTTCAAAATGGAAATAGCTTGGTTATTTTTCCCAGATTCCAGAAGTAAGATATCATTTTAAAAATCAGATAATACAGAATAACATAAAAAATTAAAAATAAAAATTCCCACCACCCAGAAATGGGCCTATTAACCCTTGAGGCTAGACGGCCCAGGTTCAAATCTTGACCCCGCCACTTACTGGCTATGTGCCTGTGGACCAGTTGCTTAGTCTCCTGCACCTGTTTTCTTATGTCTAAAATGGGGATATTAAAAGGTAGTTTGGGGCTGGGCACAGCAGCTCACGCTTGTAATCCCAACACTTTAGGAGGCTGAGGCAGGAGGACCACTTGAACCCAGGAGTTTGAGACCAGCCCTGGCAATATAATGAGACTTCATTCCTACAAAAAGCTTTTTAAAACTTAACCAGGCGCGGTGGTGCACACCTGTGGTCCCAGCTACTCGGGAGAGTGAAGAGGGAGAATGGCTTGAGTTTGAGAGGTTTAAGCTGCAGTGATCACACCATGATCACACCATTGCATTCCAGTTTGGGCGACAGAGTGAGACCCTGTCTCAAAAATACAAAATTAAAATAAAAGGTGGTTTTGATAGCTTATTGCAGATGGCAAGTCCCTTACAACTGTAAACAATTTTGTATTATTGTTATTAATAATTGTGTTGGTTACAGTTCTGTTTCTCCGGAGAACACTGACTAATACAGATACATCTGTTTTAGTCAGCTCAGGCTGCCATAGCAAAATACCATAGACTGTGTGGCTTAGGCAACAGTTTATTTTCCCACACTTCTGGAGGCTGGTAGTCTAAGTCAAGGTGGTTGATGGTTGTCTTCTGAACAACCTTTCTAGCTTGCAGACAGCCACCTTCTTGTTATGTCCTCACATGGCATAGCTACAGAGTATTCTGTTTCACAGATGTTTTATAAATTATTCATCCAACCCTCTCTTCATGATTTATTTCAACCTAGTCAGTACTTTATACACACAGCATACCTGGTTATTTCTTGCTTCACCAGTTTGGGTACACAGATAAGCCTCTTCATCCTTTTGATAGTCACTCAATCCCCTTGTATGGTTAGAAGTTCCAACTTCTAATAGAGACCAACCACAGTGGCTTAAACACTTAAGAGCTAATTCCTTTATGGAACGAGAAGTCTAGAGACAAATGATTGCTGACATTTGTTCATGACCCATGATATCAGGGCCAAGTTCTCTGTGATTATCCTATTCTTTTTCTTTAGTTCTAAATGGCTGCTTGAGCTCCAGCCATCACGTGTACACTTTAGGCAGGAGAAAGGAGGAAGGGGAATACTGGAAGGGCCACAGAGTGCTTCCAGAAGGTCCATGTGAACACTCCCATCACTAGCTGCAAGGGAAACTGGAAAGTGGTCTATTAGCTGGGTCTGTTGCCATCCAGAATTACACTATGGTCCTGATATGAGAAAGAAGGACAAGATGGAAGCTGGGACACAATTAATTGTCCCTATCATGGTCCCTGTAGCAGATGTTGAAGCCTTACCCTTAACTTCTCAGCTTTATACACCAAAGCATTTGTACTGCAAACACCTGCAACTCCCTGCGTGAGGGTTCATTTTTGGCAACAGGTGCATGCAATCGGCAAGCTGGAAGTGTCAGAGAGTCGTGGCCCTGGAAGCAGCCCTCAACTAACAACAAATGAAGTCCTGGAAAAGAAATATCCCAGATTTCTTGTTTCTCCTTTGGGACAAGTTGGAGACATGTTCTATATTGTCTCCCAGAGAGGTACCCAGTGGGATTCAGCTCCAGTTGCCAACAGCAGTGGCCTTCTCCTTAAAGCGCCCTTTACTGGCTTCCTCGCTTTGCCTGCCCCACTTCTCCATTCCCCTGTGTTTCCTAGGATTATTTCCCAAATCTATGACTTATCCTTAAATCCTTGTCTTAGAATTTGCCTCTGGGGGAACCCAACCAAGACACAACTCATGTGCCAAACAGCAAGTGATGTGATCAATGGCTAGGGCAGTCTGATCAGCCCATTAGAGATCCTAATTTTGGAAAGAAATTTACAAAATTCTTAGTCTTATCATCTGCTTAAATGATACCCCTATTAGTCCAGAGCCTAATACAAACCAAGATGAGCTTTTAAGGCAGGATAAACATATTCTTTCTGTGTTACTCATAACTGAGGGCACTATTTATTAGTTTTTTCTTTATATTCAGCCATCGCTCTTAAAATAAACCTGCTGTCTCAGGGTAACTGAGTGAAAAGGGGGTTCCCAGTTTCAGCCACATGTTGCGCACAATCCAGCCCTCTAGACGTCTCCTTCCTTTGTGGTTTGCTCCCCATGAAACATCCCCTGCCCTTTCTTGGCTGTGGCTCTCAGCAGACCATCTGGTCCATTACAGGAACCCCACAATGTTGGACCTCAGAAAGGAATGCATCAGTTAATACCACTGAACTTACACTTAAAATTGGATAAGATGGTACATCGTATTAGTCTGTTTTCACGCTGCTGATAAAGACATACCCAAGACTGGGTAATTTATAAAGAAAAAGAGGTTTAATGGACTCACAGTTTGATGTGGCTGGGGAGGCCTCACAATCATGGTGAAAGGCAGAAAGCAAAGGGCACATCTTACATGGCGGCAGACAAAAGACAATGAGAACCAAGTGAAAGGGGTTTCTCCTTATAAAACCATCAGATCTCGTGAGACTCATTCACTACCACAAGAACAGTATAGGGAAAACCACCCCCATGATTCAGTTATCTCCCACAGGCTCCCTCCCACAACACGTGGGAACTATGGGAGCTACAATCCCAGATGAGATTTGGGTGGGGACACAGCCAAACCATATCATACATGTCATGTGATGTGTATTTATTACAATAAAAAATTAATTTAAAAAAATGAATGGATGAGGAAGCGGTTGTCTGAGAAGAATTTTCAAAGATCTAAATAAATGGAGAGAGTGCCTATATCCAGGATTGAAAGTCTCCAAGTTTTTAAGGTGGTAGATTTCCTCAAACTGATCTATTGATTCAAGACAATCCTTGTCAAAATTCCAGTAGGAGTTTTTGCAGAAATTAGCAAGCTGAAACTTATATGGAATTTAATATTTATAATGGAAATGCAAAGGACTCAGAATGACCAAAACAATTCTGAAAAAGCAGAACAAATTTGGAAGACTTCTACTTCCTGATTTCAAAACTTACTACAAAGCTACAGCAATCAAGGCAGTAAGGTGCTAGTAAATGGATAGACATATAAAGCAATGAATCAGAATACAGGGTCCAGAAATTAACCCATATATTTATAGTCAATTATCAAAATAGGTGTCAGGGCAATTCAAAAGGGAGAGGGCAATCTTTTCTAAATATTGTGCTGAAACATTTAGATATTTATATGAAAAAAGATAAATTTAGATCATTACCTCACAGCATTCACAAAATTAAGTCAAAATCATAATTTTAAAAAGGTAAGGCTGGGCTCAATGGCTCACTTTGGGAGGTCAAGGCAGATGGATCACTTGAGCCCGGAGTTCAAGACCAGCCTGAGCAACATGGAGAAACCCCATATCTACCAAAAATACAAAAATTGGGCGGACATGGTGGTATGCACCTATAGTCCCAGCTACTCAGGAGGCTGAGGTAGGAGAATCGCTTGAACCCAAGAGGCCAAGGTTGCAGTGACCTGAGATTGCAGTGAGCCACTGGACTCCAGTCTGGGCAACAGAGCAAAACCCTGTCTCAGAAAATAAACAAATAATAAAAAATAAAAATGCAAGAGCTAAAACTATTAAACTTTTAGAAGAAAATATGAGAGGAGATTTTTGCTACTTTGGTATAGGTGAAGATTTCTTAGATATGGCACCCAAAGTCCAATCCACAAAAGAAAAAAATTGATAAATTGGGTTTCAATAAAATTTAAAAGGGTTATGCTTCAAAAGAAAAAAAACACCATTAAGTACATTATTTAAAAATGGCAGAGTAAGGAACTCCAAGGATCAGTTCCTCCACTAAAGCAAACATTAAGCTGGAAGAAAGTGTCAAAAGAAACTTTTTTGGAACCTGAAATCTAATCAAAACCCTTTAGCAACCAGAAAAGGCTGCTAATTCTTGGTAAGAAAATACTGTAGCATTTTTGCTTACTTGCCTACCATCTCACATTCATCAGCTTAGTCGTGGCTATGAGTACAGTAGCCTGCATTCTTGGCATGGCTTGCTGGTACCAGAAAGAACAACACAAGCCTTGGTCTCAAAGAATTGTGTTTCTACATTTTGATCTGTTTGGCATCTCCCTAAAGGATCCACTCAGGTGCTTGCCTTTGTTTTGCCCTCCCACTTCCCCTGAACTCTAGGCTGGAGCAGCTTCCCAGGCAATGTCTGTTGACAAACTTTAAAGACACACACTACCCATGTGGGGCAAAGGATGACAGACAAAGCAAAAAGCAGAGACCGACCAAAAAGCTGGAGAAGAAAAAGACTAAGGAGGAATGTATATGGGGGAATAAGGGCTTTGAAAAGCTTCCGTGTATACCAGGGAATCTAGAATATAACACATATGCCCAGGGCTGAAGTCATGCACAGAAATGATATGAGATGATCCTAGGCTTGCACCTCTGGCTAATTGGGCTCTGCACAAGCAGAGGTGAAGGCTAAGACAGAATTGTAGTCTGCCTGGCTAAGTGTAAAGGAGTATCCCAGCTCAGAGCCAATTTACAAAGACTAGGGGAGTATCTTTTATTTTGTTTTTCTTTTTGGCTGCAGGTATATAAGGAAACCTCTTACAGATCACTGACCAACTGCTGAGATAACAGAATGGAGATTTCAGTGAACATACACAAAAAGGGATATAGTCTTTGCAAAAATAGTTTGGAAAAGTCACTAAGTAAATGAATGGCTGAAGCTCACAGCAAATGACAAAAGCAAGCCTTGTGGACAGGGGAAGGGAGAATGTGATTTCTAGAATTATCACATTGTAACATTCAAAATGCCAAGTTTCCAACAAAAACCTATAACGTATACAAAGAAACAGGAACACCCAGCCCATTCACGGGGGAAAAATGGATAGAAAATGTCCCTAAAAAAGTCCAGACATTGGAGCTGCTAGACAAAGACATTAAATCAATTGTCTTAAATATGCTCAAAAAGCTAAAGGAAACCATGAGTGAAGAACTAAGTTAAACCAGAACTACGTGTGAACAAGTAGATAATATCAATAAGAGCTAGACATTATTTAAAATAACCAAATAGAAATTTTGGACCTGAAAAATATAATAGCCAAAATGAAAAATTTATTAGAGAGCTCCAACACCAGATTTGAGTAGGCAGAAGAAAGAATCAATAAGCTTGAAGCTAGGTAAATTGAAATAATCCAGTCTGAGGAGCATAAAGTAAAAAGGAATAAAAATAAACAGAGCCTGAGAGACCTGTGAGACAACAGAGCGAGACTCCATCTCAAAAAAAAAAAAAAGGTATAAACATATGCATTATGTGAATCCCAGAAGGAGGAGAAAGAAAGGACCAGAAAGAATATTTGAATAAAGGCCAAACATTTCCAAAATTTGATGAAAGGTATGAGTATATACATCCAAGAAGCTCAGTGAACTCCAACTAGGATAAAACCAAAGGAATCTACACCAAGACACATTATAATCAAACTGTTGAAAGACAAAGACAAATCGAGAATCTGGAGACTAGCAAGAGAGAAGTAACTTGTCACATACAAGGGGTCCTCAACAAGATTAATGACCAAAGTCTCATCAGAAGCCACAAGGCCAGAAGACAGAAGGATGATATATTTAAAGTGCTGAAGGAAAAAACCCTGCCAACTGAGAATTCTTTATCTGGCACAACTATCTTTCCAAAATGATTAAGAAATTAAAACATTCAAAGATTGCAAAAAAAAAAGGTGAAGTATTTCATCACTAGGAGGCTTTCCCTATGAAAAACACTAAAGGGAGTCTTTCAGGCTGAGATGAAAGGACACTAGGCAGTAAATCAAAGCCATATGAATAAATACAGAACACTAGTAAAGGTAAATATAAAAACTAGTATAATTATATTTTTGGCTTATGACTCCTCTTTTTGTTTCCTATATTATTTAAAAGATACATACATAAAAATAATTATAAATCTATGCTAATGAGCACATGCCACATAAAGATGTAGTTTGTGATAATGACAACAAAAGAGGGGGAGGGATAGGAGTAGAATAGAGTAGAGGGAGCTGTATAGGAGTAGAGTTTTTGTATTGCTATTTAAACCAAGTTGTTATCAATTCATACTATATTGTTATAAATTTCCTGTGAAGTGTAAACCTCAAGGTAACCACTAAGAAAATAACTAAAAATATACAGAAAAGAAATGAGGAGGCTATCAAAATGGTGCACTAGAAGAAAATCAATCAATACAAGAGAAGGAGGTAATGAGGGAATTGAATAACAAAAGAAAATTTGATATAAATGAAATGAATAGCAAAATGCAGTGGTAAGCCTTTTATCATGAATCACTTTAAATGTAAGTAGATTAAATTCACTGATTAGAAGACAGAATGGATTGACAGAAGGAATTAAAAAACATGATCCAACTACATGCTGTCTACAAGAGACTCACTTTATATCCAAAGACACAAATAAGTTAAAAGTGAAAGGATGGAAAAAGATATTCTATGAAAATAGAAACCAAGAGAGAGCTGAGGTGGCTATACTAATGTCAGATAAAATGAGTCTTAAGTAAAAAATTGTTACAAGAGACAAACAAGGACATTACATGTTGATAAATGTGTTAATTTGTCAAGAAGATTGGCCAGGTGGTGGCTCATGCCTGTCATCCCAGCACTTTGGGAGGCCAAGATGAGTGGATCACCTGAGGTCAGGAGTTTGAGACCAGCCTGGCCAACATGGCGAAACCCTGTCTCTACTAAAAATACAAAAATTAGCAGGGCACGGTGGTGCACACCTGTAGTCCCAGCTACTCGAGAGGCTGAGGCAAGAGAATTGCTTGAACTTGGGAGGCGGAGGTTGCAGTGAGCTGAGATTGCACCATTGCACTCCAGCCTGTGTGACAGAGCAACACTCTGTCTCAAAAAAAAGAAGACATAATAATTATGACCATACATGTGCTAAACATCAGAGCCCAAAAATATATGAAGCAAATATTGACAGAACTGAATAGAGGAATAGACAGTTCTACAATAATAGTTGGAGACCATCTAGACAGAAGACTAAGAAAGTAGGGGACTTGTACAACTATAAACCAACCAGAGCTAATAGACACACATAGAACACTCCACCCAACAATAACAGTGACCACAAAGTGCACATGGAACATTCTCCAGGACTGACTATATGTTAAGCCACAAAACAAGTCTTGATAAATTTTAAAAGATTGAAATCATATGAAGTGTCTTCTCTGATCACAATGAAGTTAGGTATCAATAGCAGAAGGAAAACTGGAAAATTTACAATTATGTGGAAATTAAATAGCATATTTTTAAACAGTCATCATGTCAATGAAGAAATCACAAGGAAATTAGAAAATACTTAGAGACAAATGAAAATGAAAGCACCAAAAACACACCCAGAATTATGGGATGTAGCAAAAGCAGTGCTAACAGGGAAATGTGTAGCCCTACATGCCTTCATTAAAAAAAAACAACAAATAAGATCACAAATCATAACCTAACTTTACTTTTAAAGGAACTAAAAAAAGAAGGACAAATGAAACCCAAAGGTAGCAGAAGGAAGGAAATAATAAAGATTAGAGTGCAAACAAGCAAAATAAAGAATACAAAATCAATAGAGATGAAAGAAACCAAGAGTCGTTTCTTCAAAAAGATTGACAAAATTGACAAGCCTTTAGTTGGACTAAGCAAAAGAAACAATACAAATCACTAAAATCAGAAATGGAAGTGGGAATATTACTACAAATCATACAGAAATAAAAAGGATCATAAGGGAGTACTGTGAATGACTGTATGCCAACAAATTAGATAATAATAGTTGTCAACTTAAATATTAAAGTTTGGTAACACAAACTGCCAAAACTGACTCAAGAAGAAATAGAAAATCTTAATAAACATACAACAAGTAAAGAGTTGAATCAAAAACCTCCCAATGAAGAAAAGTCCAGAGTCAGATGGCTACACTGGTGAATTCCACTAAACATTGGAAGAAGAATTAACATCAGTTCTTCTCAAACTCCTCCACAAAACAGGAGAGAAATCCAGACAAGAGAACCACAAGAAAACAAAACTACAGACTAATATTCCTTATGAATATAGATATAAAATTTCACAAAAATACAAGCAAACTAATTCTACAGCACATTAAAAGGATTATACAGTGTGACCAAAAAGGATTTATCCCAGGAATGCAAGGGTGGTTCAACATAAGAAAATTAATCAATACAATACATAACATTAATAGAATAAGAAAACCCACACGATCATCCAAATTGATGCAGAAAAGCATTTGACAAAATTTAACACCCTTTCATGATAAAAACACTCAGTAAAGTAGGAATAAGAGAGAACTCCCTCAACATGATAAAGACCATATATGAAAAACCTGGCTGGGCACAGTGGCTCATGCCTGTAATACCAGCACTTTGGGAGGCCGAGACAGGCAGATCACCTGAGATCAGGAGTTCGAGACCAGCCTGGCCAACATGGTGAAATGCTGTCTCTACTAAAAATACAAAAATTAGTTGG
The DNA here is from genome assembly GCF_000001405.40 of Homo sapiens. Lineage (NCBI taxonomy): Eukaryota > Metazoa > Chordata > Mammalia > Primates > Hominidae > Homo > Homo sapiens. The sequence continues at coordinate 27,395,871 of NC_000016.10, forward strand.
ATGTGGTGGCACACACCTGTAATCCCAGCTACTTGGGAGGCTGAGGCAGGAGAATCACTTGAACCCATGAGGTTGCAATGAGCTAAGATCATGCCACTGCACTCCAACCTGCACCAGAGTGAGACTCCATCTCAAATAAAAAAGAGAGAGACAGAGAAAGAAGGAAAGAGAGAAAGAAAGAAAGAGAAATAAAGAAAGAAAAACCCGCAGCTAACAAGCTAACATCACACTAAATCAGTGAAAGACTGAAAACTTTTCCACCAAGATCAGGAAAGAGGATGCCCACTTTCACCACTGGTATTCAACATTGCACTGAAAGTTTTAACCAGAACAATTCAGCAAGAAAAAGAAATAAAAGGCATTCAAATGGGAAAAGGAAAGAGTAAAAACTACTGTTATTCGCAGATGACATGATCATATATATGGAAAATTCTAAAGAACGCACAAAGAAATTATTAGAGCTAATAAATTCAGCCAAGTGACAGGGTATAAGATCAACATACAAAAATAAATTGTGTTTGTATATACTAGCAATAAACAACCCCAAAAGGAAATTAAATAAATTCTATTTATAATAGCATCAAAAATAATAAAATACTTAAGAATAAATTTAACCAAGGAGGTGCAAGATTTGTACACTGAACACTATAAAATATTGCTGAAAAAATTAGAAAAGACCTAAATAAAGTTTTTTAAATTCTATGTTAATGTAATGGAAGATTTAACATTGCACTCCTCAAAGTAATTTATAGATTTAATGCAATTCCTATAAAAGTCCCAATGGCCTTTTTTAAAAAATGGAAAAACTGATCCTAAAAATCATGTGAAATTTCAAGGGACCCAGAAAAGCCAAAACAATAAAGTTGGAGGACTCAAATTCCCATTTTTAAAATTTACTGCAGAGCCAAGATTGTGCCATTGCATTCCAGCCTGGGCAACAAGAGCGAAACTCTGTCTCAAAACAACACAAAAACAAAAACAAAACAAAACAAAACTTACTGCAGAGCTACAGTAATCAAAACAGTGTGATAATCCTGGCACAAGGCTAGACATATAGATCAATGGAATTGAACTTAGAGTTCAGAAATAAACCCATGAATCTATAGTCAATTTTTTTTCATTTTTTTTGCATTAAAGCACACTATCAACAAAGTGAAAAGACAGCCACAGAATGGGAAAAATATTTGTAATTCATATATCTGATAAAGGTGAGTTTCCAGAATATACAAAGAACTCTTAAAATTCAACAACAAATGATGAACAATCAAATTTAAAAATTGGCAAGGAGCTGGGCACGGTGGCTTATGCCTGTAATCCCAGCACTTTGGGAGACTGAGGTGGGCGGATCACCTGAGGTTAAGGGTTCGAGACCAGCCTGGTCAACATGGTGAAAACCCGTCTCTACTAAAAACACAAAAATTAGCTGGATATGGTGGCACACGTTTGTAAGCCCAGCTACTCGGGAGGCCGAGGCACAAGAATCGCTTGAACCCAGGAGGTAGAGGTTTCAGTGAGCCAAGATCACACCACTGCACTCCAGTGTGGGAGACAGATCAAGACTCTGTCTAAAAAAAAAATAAAATAAATAAAATTTGGCAAGGGACTTCAATAGACATTACTCCAAACAAGATATGCAAATGACTACCAAGCACATGAAAAGATGCTTACCATCATTAGCCATTAGGGAAATGCAAATCAAAACCACAATGAGATACCACTTCACATCCGCTAGGATGGCTATAATAAAAACCAACAGAAAATACATATTGTCTGCTGGGTGCGGTGGCTCACGCCTGTAATCCCAGCACTTTGGGAGGCCGAGGCGGGCGCATCACGAGGTCAGGAGATCGAGACCATCCTGGCTAACACGGTGAAACCCCGTCTCTACAAAAGAAAATACAAAAAATTAGCCAGGCGTGGTGGCAGGCACCTGTAGTCCCAGCTACTCGGGAAGCTGAGGCAGGAGAATGGCGTGAACCCGGGAGGCGGAGCTTGCAGTGAGCCGAGATCGCGCCACTGCACTCCAGCCTGGGCGACAGACCGAGACTCCATCTCAAAAAAAAAAAAAAAAAGAAAAAAAAAAAAAAGAAAATACATATTGTCAAGGACGTAGAGAAATGGGAACCTTCAGACATTGCTGGTGGGAATATAATACAGGGCAGCTGCTGTGAAAAACAGTTTGTCAGTTTCTTAATAAGTTAAACTTATTTAAAAGTTAATAAGTTAAACTACCTTTAACTCAACAAGTCTCCTTCTGGGTATATATCCAAAAGATTTGAAAATGCATGTCTACACAAAGACTCGCATGCAAGTGTTCATAGCATGCTTGTTTGTAGTAAAGGAAAAAGTGGACATACTCCAAATGTCCATCATCTCATGAAAGGATAAATGAATGTGGCATATCTATGCAATGTAATATTCTTCAGCAATAAAAATCAATTTTTATTTTTTATTTTTTTGAGATGGAGTTTCGCTCTGTCTCCCAGGCTGGAGGGCAGTGGCACTAGCTCTGCTCACTGCAACCTCCACTTCCCGTGTTCAAGCAATTCTCCTGCCTCAGCCTCCTGAGTAGCTAGGGCTACAGGTGCACGTCACCATACCTAACTAATTTTTGTATTTTTAGTAGAACAGGGTTTCACCATGTTGGCCAGGCTGGTCTCAATCTCCCGGCGTGTGCAACCACACCAGGCTAATTATTGTATTTTTTAGTAGAGGCGGGGTTTTACCATGTTGTCCAAGCTGGTCTCGAACTCCTGATCTCAAGTGATCCGCCCACCTTGGCCTCCCAAAGTGTTGAGATTACAGGCATGAGCCACCGCGCCTGGCCTAAAAATGGATTTTTAGATATGTGGTGCCAACACACGCTACAACGTGGTTGAACCCCAAACACGCGATGCTGAAAGAAACTAAACACAAAAGACAACATATTGATATGAGATGCCTAGGAAAAAAAAAAAGCAAAATCAGTAGAGGCATAAAGTAGACGAGTGGCCCTGGGAATGGGAATGGAGATTGACTATAAGCAGGCACAAGGAACCTTTCAGGAGTGATGGGATTGTTTTAAAATTGGATCGTGGTTATAATTGCACAATTCGATAAATTCACTAAAAATCATTGAACTGTACATTTACAGTGGCTTGATTTTATGTTATGTAAAACATAGCTAAATAAAGCTCTTAAAATAAAAATAAAAAAGAGGAAATGGGTTGAGGGAGGGGGTGTGTCAATTATTTTTTCCCAGGAGGCCCCTTGGCTGAAATGCAAATGTGACCACTTCCTCCCCGCTGACCAGCTATCAGCACTGAGGCATGGTTGGAGGGCCGCTGAGATCCTATGGCACCTTCCTTCCAAGGGTATAGAGGCCATACTTATGAGACATTTACAGACCCAGAGGAACCCCTCAAGGGACCACATGTCTATTTCTGAGGGGACTCATGTTTACCCCAGTGGACATGGGCCTGGCAGCTCCAAATGCATCTACTTTTTAAGCACCAAGGGACTGTGACCCCTGCTGATCCCACCCATTCCCCAACTCCTGGCCTGAACTGAAAATGTAAACTGGATTAAGCCACTCTTAAGATGAAACCCTCCAATGATGACTTCCCATTTCCTTTGGAACAATCTACCTTCCTCACCCAAAACCGTGAGGTCCCATGTGGTGTAGATGTGTGATTTCCGTGCCTTCACCTTCTACTATTCCTCCATTTGCTCACTGTATTACGCCATGCTGTTCTCAAGTTCCTGGAGCCAGCCACATTCTTTCCTACCTCAGTGCCTTTGCACTTGCAGATCCTTCTGCCGATAATGTTCTTCCCATGGCTGGGCACTTCTTAGCACCTAGTGTACCCCCAAATGTCACAACCTTGATCTCTCATTGGTTTTCTATGACATTTAGTACAGTTTACATTGAGTTTGTCTGTTACTTCTTTTTGTCTAACTCTCCCTACTAGAATATAGGCTCCATGGGGGCTGTCACTGTGTGTATATTTCTGTGGGCTAGCCCCAGGATGTAGCCAAGCTGCGTGATTTTGGACAAGTCACTTAACCTCTCTGAGCCTGCTCAATAAATATTAGGGGGAGGAAGCAAGGAATGGCTGGGTGGGTGGGTGCAGAGAAGAATGAATGGGTGGATAGGTAGGTGGGTGGGTAGAAAGCAGGTAGATAAAGAAGGCAGGCAGGAGGGAGGGAGGAGAAATTGAATATCCTTGTTTTCATACACACCCCAGAGCAGTGTAGTGAGTTAAGAGTGCGGGCTCTGGAGCCCAAATGACTGAGTTCAAATCCCAACTCTGGCACTCATCAGCTGTGTGACCTTGGACAAGTCACTTAACCTCTCTGAGCCTCAGTTTCCTCATCTGTAAAACAGGGACGATGATGATGATGATGATAACTATCTTCTAGACTCATTCTTTTTCATTTTGGGGATTTTATTTTTGAAGACAGAGTCTTGCTCTGTTGCCCAGGCTTGAGTGCAGCACTACAGTCATAGCTCACTGCAGCCTTCAGCTCCTTGGCTCAAGTGGTCCTCCCACCTCAGCCTCCAGAGTAGCTGGGACTACAGGCGTGCACCACCATGACTGTCTAATTTTTAAATTTTTTTATAGAGACAGGGTCTTGCTATGTTGCCCAGACTGGTCTTGAACTCCTAGCCTCAATCGATCCTCCCACCTCAGCCTCCCAAAATGATGGAATTATAGGTGTGCACCGCTGCACACAGCCTTCTCGAGTATTTCTGAGGTTTAAATGAGAGGGTGCATCTTTAAAGTCCTTAAAACCCTGGCACACAATGAGCTTTCAGCAAATATTAGCTCTTTTTACTGTCTCTTCTCCTGATCTTTCAACCACTACAAATTTCAGTGCATGTTATCAGAGAATTCACCCCGAAGATCAAGAGAAAGAAAAACAAAAGCTGGTGTCTTCCCAAGGTTCGTTCTCCAGAGAACACGACACACTTCGGTAGCTGGGAAGAGCTCTACAGGGCCAGGATCCCTCAAATCAACCACAGGGGAATTTGTACCAAGTTCCTCAAAAACAGCTAGAAAAAAAAAGAAAGAAAGAATAGCAAGACGCTTTCTCTTTTTTCTCTGGAGTGGTCACGAAAGTCAACAGCAAGTTGATTCCCAAAAATGAGTCAGCAGGGAGAGCTACAAATTGCATCTTGTTATCAAAACAGCATAAAATAGCCTCCCCCAACTGTGGGACATTTCATCCTGGTATGGCCCCGTTTTCACAGCCTGGTATAAGCTTAGGAATCAAACACACCCAGGTTCAAATCCCAGCTCTAATTCTTCTTGGCTTGTGTGACGTTTCACTCCTCTGGGCCTCAGTCTCTCCATCTGTAAAATGGGACTAATCTTGTCTGCCTCACACTTTGTGGGATAAAGTGAGATCATGTAGGCACCAAAGTAATTCGAGGTGGTGGTGATGGCAGTGGTAGTGGTGGTGGTGGTAGCGGTGGTGGTGGTAGCAATTCTCTTGCTCTCCTTTGGAGACTGCACTAGGCATTAAGCTTGTTACATTTTGTCTCCTGGTTTCTTGAATGTCTTCCAGAAACATCTGACCCTCTCATGGGCCTCTGGCATGTTAGCAAGATGAAAACTCTCTTGAGAATTTCTTTTCTCTATTTTCTTCTTGAATTCTCATGTGTTAATGTCTGCCCTCTTCCTCATAGCTAGGTGCCCCCATTTGACAGATGGGCAAAGTGAGGCATTCAGAGAGGTGATGTGACGTGCCCAAGGGGTCCTGCTCCCTGGAGCTCTGCAGCAGGAGACTGGATCCAAAGGAAATGGAGGCAGAGAGGCATGGGGGTCAAGCCAGAGCAGAGGGTCCCAAGCTCAGACCCTATTAGGCAGGTAAGGCTCAGGAATAAGAAACAGGCTGGTTTGCAAAGTCTGAAAAAGGGGCTTCCGTGGGACCTTGGGCAAGGTTCTGGTCCTTCTCTCTGTGCTGAGGGGCTGGAGTCGGCCACTGAGGACTCTGGGTCCACGGGTGAAACTGTGCCACATCTTCACACCTCTGGCCTCAGTTTCCATATCTGTGCAATGTGGTGGCTCCAGGAGGCACTGCCTGCCTCATGGGTTATGACTGAGAGGCCTGTGGGGATGATGTCACAGGTCCCTAAGAGGGAAGTGTCACCCCGATGGCCCCAAATGTCTTACTTGCAGGTGACCTTTGGTGACAGTGGGTGCCTGCTGTGGGGCCAGGCCCCCTCCCACCTCTTTCTCACTCCCTCCCAGGAGGAGCCCAGCTGCGGGTGGGCGGGGCTGGCGGGGAGCGGCTCACCACATCCTCCTCTTCCTCCCCACTCTGCACATGCGGCTGGGTGGCAGCCAGCGGCCTCAGACAGACCCACTGGCGTCTCTCTGCTGAGTGACCGTAAGCTCGGCGTCTGGCCCTCTGCCTGCCTCTCCCTGAGTGTGGCTGACAGCCACGCAGCTGTGTCTGTCTGTCTGCGGCCCGTGCATCCCTGCTGCGGCCGCCTGGTACCTTCCTTGCCGTCTCTTTCCTCTGTCTGCTGCTCTGTGGGACACCTGCCTGGAGGCCCAGCTGCCCGTCATCAGAGTGACAGGTCTTATGACAGCCTGATTGGTGACTCGGGCTGGGTGTGGATTCTCACCCCAGGCCTCTGCCTGCTTTCTCAGACCCTCATCTGTCACCCCCACGCTGAACCCAGCTGCCACCCCCAGAAGCCCATCAGACTGCCCCCAGCACACGGAATGGATTTCTGAGAAAGAAGCCGAAACAGAAGGTAATTCCAGCCCTGGTTTTCTGCTGGGACCAGGGTGCCTTCTCTGCCCAGGAGGGACTGTTCCCTGCCTGCTGCATCTAGTGTCACAGTGGGAGGGCTCGGAGGACTGTGCCCAAGTCACAATTGGGGACACTGAGGCAAAGAAGATTCATGCAGTGAGGCTGGGCAGAAATGAGGTTGGGGTCTCTTGTTCAGCACAGCTTAGGGGCCCAGCAGCAGGGATGTGGCTGAGACGACCCTCTATCTTGAAAACCAGCCTCCAAAATGTAGCGGGCTGGGGAAGGAAAGCCAGTTTCAAGCCAAACATAACATGTCAATCACCCGATTCTGGGCGGCTGAGTCGGGAGGTGACGGGCATGGGTGTAGAGCCTGATGGGACCCATTCTGTGTCAGTTTCTATGTCTTACCACCTTGATTCCACCCAGTCATTCAAAACAATGGCTGGTGTGCCCATTTCGCAGATGAGGCAATGAGGCTGCGAGAGGTAGAGTGATTTTCCCTCGGTGACTCAACTGGGACGTAGCAGGTCGGGCAGTCAAGCCAGGTGACCCCATGAGCTGTCGCTGCATCTTTCTCATGAAGCACGGGGAACGGGTCGGATGGTAAGAGGCCAACCCAGTTCCCTGTGCATGTGGAGGAGAGGAGGGTGGGGAGGTCAGTGGAGGCTGAGCCTTGAAGGATGGGAAAGGAAGAACATTCCTGGTGGAGGAGCCCTGGGGAGCGGGAACTTAGGACTTGCCGCAGGAATGACGTCTCTGCTCAGTGAAGGCAGAAGACCAGGTGCGGGACATTCAAAGCCAGGAGGCTGCTGCGAGGAGGACATCTGTGATTCCCTGGGGGGAGAGTGGGGCTTTCAGAAGCACATGGTGGAGTCGGGGAAAACCTGCCAGGTCAAAACCCGGCCACGCGCCTTCCTCACTCGGTGAACTTGGGCAAGTCTCTCTGCTTCTAGCCTTGAGAAGCCATGGTTTTCTCATCTATGAAATGGGGACCAAGGTACCCCCATCCTGGTGGAGCTAGTTGTGGGGACCTCAGGGCCGAACAGGGTGAAAGCTGTGCTCCTAATGGCCCTTTTCCTTTGAGGAAGAGAGTTTGTGGCATGAGAAGCTTTGAGCCCATGGAGACGGGCCCGACTCCAAGAGTGACAGAGGGGGAGCGACACACTCAGGCTGCTGTGGTCCTGCCTGGCCAGCCACCTGGCTCTGGCCCCCCCAGTGCCAACTCACCATGTTGTAGGCACTTAAGCGTCTCCCATAGTCCTCAACAGGTGAAGCGGGCAGCCTCATTCAGCCCATTTCACAGATGACAAGAGTGAGGCTTAGTGGGGACAACCTTGCCCCAGGTTAACTGTGACCAGATGACATGGAGCTGGGATTGGATGCCAGTCTGTAGGACAAGGCCACCACCTGCTAGATAGAATAACATGAAAACAAGACTCATGGGCTTGGGTAGCTTCTGGGAAGCAGCATTGGATGGGGATGGCGGAGTATTCATTCCCACGAGGACAGGCAACCCCCAGAGGAGAGGCCCTGCTCACCTGCTCCCCACCGTGGGCTCAGCGATGCCCCTGTCCTGCCCGCTCCTCTGCCAGGAGGGTGTCCGGATCCTTACTCAGTCCCACAGTGGAGGTAGCTAAAAGCCCTTGTGATAGGAGGAGGCAGAATCCAGGACCAGGAGAGGTGGGGAGAGCAAGGCAAAGACAGCTCTGAGCTCAGACTGCAGGCTCCCACTGCCCAGCGTTCCTGGTTTCAGGCTAGGAGAAGAAACTGGGAGGTGGGGATTAGAGCCAGTAAGGGGCTTGTGGGCAGTAGAGTAGGGGGTGGATACCAGAGGAGGAGGCCCATTCAAGAGAAAGCCAGCCACCAGAAGTTCTGGGAGGAACCCACCTCTTTGTAGCATCAGGACAACCCAGGTGCCTGATAAATAAATGAATGAAAGGAACGGGGTATCCGTTCCTTCCACAGCCAGAGAGGGAAGCTAGCGCCTTCAGCATCCTCACAGGCAGGCACAGGGGCCTTCTCCACACAACTAGGAAGGGGTGCCTGCGGTTAGATGGGGGAACTGGAACTGGCTTCCCAGCACACCACCCCTTGTGACTTTGAGCTGTGGAACTGGCCAGACCTGGGTTCAAGTCCACCGCTTAGTACCTGTGTGACCTTGAGGAAGCCACCTAACCTTTCTGCAGCTCAGTTGCTGCATCTGTAAGAGTGGAAATAGGAATAAGAATGCCTGTCTTAGGTCTGTGGTGAGGATTTACTCAACCTATTCTTCATGGAACATCTACCATGGCCCAGGCACCTCCCTAGGTCCTGAAGCTCTGGGGTACACAGAGAGAGCCAGTGTGATGGGGAAGGCAAAAGAGCTGGGCACAGATGGCTCATGAGAAGTGCCCGCTATCATGTTTTACTTTTTTTTTTTTTTAATTTTTTTTTGAGACAGAGTCTTGCTCTGTTGCCCAGGCTGGAGTGCGGTGGCGCAATCTCAACTCACTGCAACCTTCATCTCCCAGGTTCAAGCGATTCTCCTGCCTCAGCCTCCCGAGTAGCTGGGACTACAGGCACCTGCCACCACACCTGGCTAATTTTTGTATTTTTAGTGGAGGCGGGGTTTCACCATGTTGGCCAGGCTGGTCTTGAACTCCTGGGCTCAAGTGATCTGCCTGTCTCAGTCTCCCAAAGTGCTGGGATTATAGACATGAGCCACCGTGACCGGCCTATGTTTTACTTTAAATATGTAAGAGCTCTTTGCTTTTAGCTATGAAAATACAGAAAAAAAATAATAAATATTATTGGTCATATTGGCATATATGAGACCTCAGTAAATAAGAGCTCTTATGATGATTCTGCTTCCCCCCTTTTACAGATGGGGAAACTGAAGTTCAGAGCAGGGTGGGGGTTTTTCTAGGGTCACTCAGGGAACCGTCTAGAAGGGAGCAGTGAAAAGAGGGGAACAGATGCTTCCTCCAGGAAGAGGGTCTTCTTGCCCTCGCAGCCCCTTCCTCACATGCCCTCCTTCCCTGCCCTCCGGAGCCCCCGGACACGTGAAGGGGAGGGAGAGGGGGCAATGGGAGGAACCCACCCCCACCCCTGGCTCACAGGTGCCACCGCCCCCACTCCCTGCCCTGGCCCCAGGCCAAAGGGACTTTTCATGACAGCTCAAATGAGACCTCTGAGTAAACTTGGAACTTCTGAAACGACCTGAGAATATTCCCCAGGCTGGGGGGCAGGGGCCACAAGGAGGGCCCCCGACTGCCCAGGACATCTGCATCAGGAACCCAGCCTGCTGATCTCTGCAGCCCACAGGAAGGATCTGGCCACCCCGACCCCTGCCCTGAATTGTCCCCGGGGAGTTGGGGCAAGTGCACCAGCCCGGGTCCTAGCCCAGGCCCCTGCCATCCCCCACTGTGTGAACAGGACAAGGCCCTGGGCCTCTCTGGGCCTCCTTTCCCCATCTGCCAAGCGGGCTTGACTAGGACGAGGGCTTGCCAACTTTCCCCAGAATGAATCAGTAACACCAGTCCACTTTGGCCAGGGCCAGGGCGGGCTGATGGGGGCTGCTGGGAACTGAGGGGAGAGAGACGGTGGGTGGCCAGCTCCGCTCCATCTCGTGGCATAGTTCAAAGCCTCCTTTCACTGCTCTACAAGCGGCCCCTCCTGGGCTGGAGGAAATGGAGCTGGAGTGAGATCTGGCTGCAGAGGCTGAGAGATTGCAAGGTTTGGGCAAGGCTGCAGAGGATGGCAGGGCTTGCAGGGAGATAGAGATTGCACAGGCAGCGGGGGTGGGGAGTGGGGGGTGCGGGTGCTGGGACTGGGACCTCATGCTCCACAGCTAGGAGAGGTTGCACAGGCTGGAAGAAGTGCCAGGAGGGAAAGATTGCTGGAGCTAATAGAGATTTGCTGCCTGGCTAGGAGAGAGAGATAGGCTGAGAGGTCGCACAGCCTCAGAGGTTGCACGAGCTGGGGAGGAGAAGGCCCTTCCTCTCACCTTCGTCTTCTACTGATTAACTGTAAGCCTGAGGTCCCCAACATACCTGCCTTCAGACACCCATAACCCACCCCTTGCCACTGGCGAAAAAAAAAAAGATGAAAAGCAACTAACACTAACCACACACCTAATACTAACCACACTAACCTGCCTCACACTCCGCATCCAGGCTAAGCCTGCTGCCCCCATTCCACAGATGAGGAAAGCTGAGGCTCAAAGAAAGGCAGAGATACGGCCAAGTTCCCACTGTGAGTGAATGGCAGAGTCTGCTTTCTGACCCAGGGCCACTGGGCTAGTTCTTCCCCAGCCTGAGAACCCACTGAGATGAGAACTTGCTGTGTGACCCTGGGCAGCCCACTGTCCTTCTCTGAAAGTTCCTTGTTACTAATCTGATGACATTAGTCATGATTATTCACACTCTGGAAGCAGAAGATGTTGCCTGAGGTGGGTCTGGGGGGAGTTTCTGGGGACAGTGAGGAAGCTAATGAGGAAAGCAGGACCTCTTAGGGGCTGTCTCCATTTTTAGCCTCATTCATTCATTCACTTAACATTCTTCTTCAGCTACTTATGGGGCACCTACAGGTCCCCTTCTCTGCACTAGGGATACTGTGCTGAACAAAATAGGTCAATTACCCAGCCTCTGAGAGCTCATGCTTCAGTACAGAAACAAGTTACAAACACATACACAGAGACATTTACAAAACGATTCCTCATCTTACACCTGCTATGAAGGAGACAAACTAGGGGATGTGGGCTACAGAGATCTGTGGCGTAGACCCAGTTCAGATAGGGTTGCCTCTTTGAAGAGGCAACACTGAACTTGAAACCTGAGGATGAGAAAGGAAAGAAGCTGGGGGAAAAGCATTCTAGGCAGAGGGAAAGGCATGTCCAAAGGCCCTGATGCAGGAAAAAAAGATTGAAGCATTAAAGCTTTTATCCTCGGCCAGGTGCGGTGGCTCATGCCTGTAATCCCAGTATTTTGGGAGGCCAAGGAGGGTGGATCACCTGAGGTCAGGAGTTTGAGATCAGCCTGACCAACATGGTGAAACCCTGTCTCTACTAAAAATACAAAGTTAGCCAAGCTTGGTAGCCCATGCCTGTAATCCCAGCTACTTGGGAGGCTGAGGCAGGAGACTCACTTGAACCCGGGAGGCGGAGGTTGCAGTGAGCCAAGATCGTGCCACTGCACTCCAGCATGGGCAACAGAGCAAGACTCCATCTCAAAAACAAAACAAAACAAACAACAACAAAAAACGTATCCTCACCAAATACATAAGGCTCTCAATCCCCTAAAGCTCCAGAAAAATGGGTCAAAAAGGGTAAGATTTAACTTTGGAGTGTACGGTCTACATAGGTCTTAACATTGAGGATAATGTTTGTTCACAATTCGTTTCCATAGAAAGCATTCTCTTTCATTTAGTCACTCATGTAGCAAATGTTTTGAGCACCCACTGTAGGCACTGGTTAGTTACTGGGGATTCAGCAGTAACAAAGAAACACACTGTCCCTGCCTAGATGGTGCCCAGAATATAGATGAAAACACCATGAGCTATGTACTATGTGGAGGGTGGACCCCAGAGGAAGGAGTGACTCATGCTCTTTGGAGAGGTCAAAGATTGACAGAGGAGCTGCCATTTGAATGGGATTTTGAAGACTGAGTAGGAGGCTAACAGTCAGTCAAAAAGGGCAGATAGTTTCCGTGGCTAAAACAGCACATGCACAGGTGTGCAAGCCAGGTGAATGGAGCATGTTGGTGAGGCTGTCAGTGGTCTGATGAGCCTGAAGTCCAGTATGAATACTGGGGGCTAGATCCCGAAATGCCTTGAATACCAGACAAGGAATTTGGGGTTTTTCTTTTGTGGATAACAGAGAGCCATGGAATGACACGGTTGGAGTAAGAATGGAGTTGGAGGAACCACAGCTCTGTAGCTATAGCAGGAAGGTCAGAGAGGAGGACCAGCAGGAGAGCAGGTGGGCAGAAGTCCTTGAAGACCCTGGATAACTTTAGGAGTTCTTTCTTCTGTGTTCCCTCTCGGGAAGTCCCTCCGCCTTAACACTTCCTCTTCTGGTGACCTGTTGGCTCCTGTTCCTGGCACTTCTGGGGAGTCCCTCTTCGCCCACCTCATTTCTTTGTGATCCCTATAGGAAATAGGGCCATTTTACTTTTACCACACTACCCACCTTTCACTTTCAGCCCCATGTCCCTACCTGGGTCACATTGCAGAGAATGGCCGACTTGAGGAACTAGACGCATCCCATTCCTCAATCGTGTGACAGAAAAAAGATACAGGGAAACCAAGAACTTGGGTTCTTTCCAGTGTGGGGAGGTTGTAAATAATGGCTGCTATGAACATGCTGGTACATGTCTGCTTGGGCACATATGCTTGCATTTCTCTTTGGTTATATAACTTGGAAGTGGAAATGTTGAGTCTCTGCTCAGCAGAAGTTTTCCAAAGTGGTTGTGTCGATTTACACTCTTACCAGAATATTGAGTAGAGACAGAGAGTTTAGTTACTCTGTATCCTTTTCAGCACTTGGAATTGTGTTTATTTCTCTCTCTCTCCATATATATATTTATAAAAATAAATTATATATGTTTATTATATATAATTTATATTTTATAAATATATATAATATTTATAAATAAATATTTTTATATTTATATTTTATTATAAATTTACATATATATATAATTCTTTCCCTCTTCCTCTTTCAGTTTCTTTTCCATTCTCTTAATGGAAACTTTTGATCAATAAAAAATCTTAATTTTCATGAAGTTTATTTATAAATCTTTCTTTATGACCAGAACTTTCTATGTGCTGTTTAAGAAGTGTTGCCTGCAATAAAGTGATAAAAATATTATTCTGTGTTTTCTTCTAGACGATTTACTGTTTTACCTTTCACATTTAGGTCTACAGTCTATCTGTAGTTTATTTTTCTGTATGGTGTAAGGTAGGGGTCAAGGTTTACTTTTTCCATATGAATATTCAATTAATATACCATCATTTAAGAAAACATGTTTTCTCTCCACTGCCTTGCACTGGTGACTTACTGAAAATCAAGTGGTTGAATACATGAGTTTATTTCTACTGTTTCTGTTCTTTTCCATTGGTTAGTTTGTTTTTCCTTGCAACAATGCCATACTTTCTAAATTACTTTATAAATCTTGACATTCTTCTTCAAAATTGTCTAAACTATTTTCAGTCCTTTGTATTTCTATATAAATTTTAGAACTATCTTGTCAATTTCCACCAAAGAAAATCTTGCTGGAGATTTTTTTCTTGAAACTTTGGATTTTACTGAAACTTTACTTCAATTTGGGGGGGACTAGCATCCTTAAAGTATTAAATTTTCCAATCCATGAACATAGTATGTACCACCACTTATTTATGTTTTCTCTAATTTTTCTTAGTAATGTCTTGTAGGTTTCTGTGTAGAAGTCTTGTACATCAACTAGGTGCAGTGGCTGACACCTGTAATCCCAGCACTTTGGGAGGCCAAGGTGGGTGGATCTTTTGAGGTCAGGAGTTCGAGACCAGCCTGGCCAATGTGGTGAAACCCTGTCTCCACTAAAAATACAAAAATTAGCTGAGTGTGGTGGTGCATGCTTGTAATCCCAGCTACTCAGGAGGCTGAGGCAGAATTGCTTGAACCCAGGAGGCGGAGGTTGCAGTGAGCAGAGACTGTGCCTCTAGTGACAGAGCTGAGTGACAGAGCAAGACTCCATCTCAAAAAAAAAAAAAAAGTCTTGTACATCTTTCATTAGATTTCTTCTCGGATATTTGATTTTTTGATGCTGATGTAAATGGCATAATTTTAAAATTTCTTGACTGTTTGTAGTGTACAGAAATATAATGAGTTTTTATACTTTACAACTTTATTAACACTTTTTAAAGCTAAAGTTCCAGATGTTAAAAGAAATAGCTATCAAACCCAGCCCACTTCAACTGACCACCAGTTGAGGGCTTCCTGCCTTTCTTTGCTTTTGTAATGTTTATGGATCCTTTCCTTTGCTAATCTAACAAGAGAGGGTATTGTAGTGCAAAGTATAGTGTCCCGGGTTTGGATTTTATTAACCAGTAGATCTTTTTTACCCTTAACAATTTTTAGATGTGCAGTACAATATTGTAAACTGTATGCACATTGGTTTACAAGAGATCTCTAGAACTTTTTCCTATTGCATGGGTGAAACTCTATACCCATTGAAAAACAACTTTTCATTTCTCCCTCCCCCAGTCCCTGGCAATCAGCATTCCACTTTCTGTTTCTATGAGATTGATTACTTTACATACATCATATAAGTGATACAATGCAGTATTTGTTTTTTTGCAATTGGTTTATTTCACTTTGCAGAATGTCCTCAAGAAGCATCCATGTCGTAACATATGACAGGACTTCCTCCTTTTTAAAGTCTGAATAATATTCCATTATGTATGTACTACATTTTCTTTATCCATTCACCTATCAATAAATTTAGGTTACTTGCTCATCTTAGCTATTGTAAATAATGCTGCAGAAACAGGTGTGCAAATATCTCTTTGAGATGCTGTTTTTATTTCTTTTGGATATATGTCTGGTATTTCTATTTTTTTAATTAAAAAAATTTTTTAAAGTTTCGCATCATTTTACAATCCCACTAAAAGTGCACAAGGGTTTCAATTCTCTACATCTTCACCACCATTTGTTCTTTTCTTTTTTTTTATAATAACCATCCTAACAAGTGCAAGATGATATCTCATTGTAGTTTTAATTTGTATTTCCCTGATGATTAGTGATATTGAGCATCTTTTCGTATGCTTAATGGGCATTTGCTGATCTTCTTTGGGGAAATGTCTATTCATGTCCTTTGTCCTTTTTTTTTTTTTTTTTTTTTTTTTTGAGACAGAGTCTTGCTCTGTTGCCCAGGCTGGAGTGCAGTGGTGTGATCTTGGCTCACTGCAACCTCCGCCTCCCAGGTTCAAGCAATTCTCCTGCCTCAGCCTCCTGAGTAACTGGAATTACAGGTGCCTGCCACCATGCCTGGCTAATTTTTGTATTTGTTAGTAGAGATGGGATTTCGCCATCTTGGCCAGGCTGGTCTTGAACTCCTGACCTCAGGTGATTCGCCCGCCTCGGCCTCCCAAAATGCTGGGATTACAGGTGTGAGCCACCACACCCGGCCATTTTTAAATTGAGTTATTTGTTTTTGTGTTGTTATTGAGTTGTAGGAGTTCTTTGTATATTCTAGATATTAACCCCATATCTC
The DNA here is from genome assembly GCF_000001405.40 of Homo sapiens. Taxonomy (NCBI): domain Eukaryota; kingdom Metazoa; phylum Chordata; class Mammalia; order Primates; family Hominidae; genus Homo; species Homo sapiens. The sequence continues at coordinate 27,411,848 of NC_000016.10, forward strand.
TTGTATGGTTTGCAAATATTTTGTCCCATTCCATAGGTTGCCTTTTGATTCCGTTGATTATTTCCTCTGCTGAACAGAAGTTTTAAAGTTTGATGTAGTCTCATATGTCTATTTTTACTTTTGTTGCCTGTGCTTTTGTTATCACACACAAGAAATCATTGCCCATTCCAATTTCACGAAGATTTTCCCATATGTTTTCTTCTAGGAGTTTTATAGTTTCAGGTCTTATGTTTGGGTCTTTAACCCATTTTGAGTTAATGTTTGCATATGGAGTAAAATAAGGATCCAACATCATTCTTTTGCATATGGATATTTGGTTCTTCCAGCACTATCTCCTTGAACAAACTTCCTTTTCCCTCTTGTATAGACTTAGTGCCTTTGTAGATCATTTGACTATATACACAAGGGTTTATTTCTGGGCTCTCTATTCTTTTCCATTGGTCTGTATATCTATCTGTATGCCAGTACCATACTATATTGATTACTGTAGCTTTTTAATACATTTTGAAATCAGGAAATGTGAGGCCTCCAGCTTTCTTCTCCTTCTCCTTCTCCTTCTCCTTCTTCTTCTTCTTTTTTTTTTTAGAGTGTTCTTCTTTCTCAAGATTATTTTGGCTATTTAGGGTCCCTTGAAGTTCCATATGAATTTTAGGATGAATTCTTTTTTTATTTCTGCAAAAACTGTCATTGAGATTTTGATAGGGTTTATATTAAATTCAGTTTTCTGTGAGTAGTATTGTCATCTTAACAATATTAAGTCTTCCAATCCATGATCATGGGATGTCTTTTCACTTATCTGTGTTCTTTAATTTCCTTCAAAAATGTTTTATACAAGTCTTTCTCCTCCTTGGCTAAGTTTATTCCTAAGTACTTTTCTCTTTTTGATGCTATTGTAAATGAAATTTTTTGCTTAAGTTTCTTTTTGGATTGTCCATTGTTAATGTAAAAAATGCAACTGAGTTTTGAGTGTTGACTTTGTATCCTGCAACTTTGCTTAATTCATGTATTAGTTCTAACCATTTTTTTAATATTTAGGGTTTCCTACATATAAAATCACGTAATCTGTGAACAGAGATAATTGCATTTCTTCCTTTCCAATTTAGATACCTTTTATTTCTTTTTCTTACCTAATTGCTCTGGCTAGAACTTCCAGTTGAATAGAAATGGCAAGTGTGGGCATCCATGCCTTGTTCCTGATCTTAGAGGAAAAGGTTTCAGTTTTTTACTGTTGAATATATTCACTGTGGGCTTTTTATATATAAACTTTGTTATGTTGAGGTAATTTATTTCTATTTCTAGTTCCTTGAATGTTTTCTTTATCATGAAAGAGTATTGAATTTTTTCAAATACTTTTTCTGCATCAGGTGAGATGACCATGTGATTTTTGTCCTTCTTTGTGTTAATTTCATGTATTACATTTATCTGATTTTTGTAACTATCCTTGAATTCTGCAGATAAATCCTACTTGGTCATGGTGTATAGCCTTTTAATGTGTTGTTAAATTTGGTTTGCTAGCATTTTGTTGAGGATTTTTGCATCAGTATTCATCAAGAGTACTGGTCTATGGTTTTGTTTTCTTGCATCTTTGTCTGGCTTTGGTACTGGGGCATCATAAAATGAGTTTGGAAGTGTTCCCTACTGTTCAATTTTTGGAAGTGTTAGGGATGAATTGGTGTTGATTCTTTAAGTATTTGGTAGCATTCTCTAGTGAAGCCATTTGGTCTTGGCCTTTTTTTTTTTTTTCTAGGAGGTTTTCGATTACTGATTCAATCTCCTTTCTAGTTTAGGTCTGCTTAGATTTTCTATTTTGTCATGATCAGTATGGGTAGGTTGTATATGTCTAGGAATTTACTAATTTATTTGAAGTATCCAATTCGTTGGCATATAATTGTTCATAGTAGTCTCTTAGAATCCTTTTTATCTCTGTGACATAGTTACAATGTCTCCTCTTTCATTTCTGATTTTAGTTAATTTGAGTCTTCTCTCTTTTTTTCTTAGTTTAACTAAGGGTTTGTCAATTTTGCTGATTGTTAGAAACACAATAGATTTTTATATTGATCTCATCTTCAGCTTCTTTGAATAATAATAACAATTATTATTCTAATAGTTTATTTGTTGAGTATCGTGGACTTTTCTGGTTCCTCAATTCTTATATAACTTAAACACATAGTTTTCTAATCTTTATAAATTAAAAGTTTCTTATCATTGCCTTATTATGTTAATTAGCACCTCTAGTATAAGATGTTTTTGTTTTTGCCCTGACCTCAGTAAGGAAGTGTTCAATATTTCACAATTAAGGATAATGTTAGCTATGTATAGTGTGTGTGTGTGTGTGTGTGTGTGATCGTAATTAGATTAAAGAAGACTCCTCTATTTCTGCTTTCCTGACAGGTTTTAAAAATCATGAATGGGTGTTGCAATTTATTAAATGTGCTTTCTGAACTTATTAAATGATAATATAAATTTTCTTGTTTATTGAGTTAATGTGGTGAAATTGATTATGGTTTCTAAATGTCATACTAACCTTACATTCCTGAAATAAACCAATGTGATAATAATATGTTATCCATTTTTATAAATATTATTAGATTTGACTTGTTAATATTTTGTTTCAGATATTTTTTAGATTATTTATGGGAAAGATTGACCTGTAATTCTACTTTCCTTTAATGTCAAGTTTTGGTATTAAGACTGCCTTTTATTTCAGACATCAATGAAAGCACTGATGTGTCTGGGATTATGTCTACCATCTTGCTATTTGTTTTCTTTTTTGACCTATCTATTCTTCCTTCTTTGTTCTAGTTTTTAGAAAATCAAGTTTTAAAAATTATTATTCCATTTTTCCTATTAGTTTGTTCATTGTACTTTCTTTTATATTCTTTTTGTGCTTATCTTAGAGATTACAACATGCATACTTATTATTATTAGGATCTACCTAATATGAATTCTTCCAAAAGTTCATGGAAAATTCAAATTATGAAAAAACTATGCATAAAGTTCAAACTTTTTTCTGCACCAAAATAAACTTGTACTAACTTGCTATAACATGTCTGAACAGGATCTAGTTTGAGGCACTAAGAAGGATAAGGCGTCTGTTTGCAAAAAAGCCCCTATCATTGCAACATGAATTCTGCTAAAATTGAAGCAGGAACAAACATCAAATTTATGGTGCAACTAGGGTGGAAGGATGGCGAAATCAATGATAAAGATAAAGCCCTCCGTGGCCGATCATCCATATCAATTTGTTAGGAAAAAATTCATCTTGTTCATGCCCTAATTGAAGAGGACCAACTATTAACAGCCCAAACAATAGCCAACACCATAGACATCTCAATTAGTTCAGGTTACACAATTCTGACCAAAAAATTAAAGTTGGGCAAACTTCCCACTTACTGGGTGCCAAACCACTGTGCCCAGATCAGCTGCAGACAACAGCAGAAACTTCCATGCAAATTTTAAACTAATAGGATCAAGATTCAGAAGCATTTCCTCACATAATTGTAACAGGAGATTAAACGTGGCTTTACCAGTTCATCCTGAAGACAAAGCAGTGGCTCCAAAGAGGTAGACGAGGTTCAGTCAAGACAAAAGCAGACCGGTCAAGAAAAGCAAAGGTCATGGCAACCGGTTTTTGGGATGCTCAAGGCATTTTGCTTGTTGACTTTCTGGACAGCCAAAGAATGATAACATCTGCTTATCATGAGAGTGTTTTGGGGAAATTAGCCAAAGCTTTAGCAGAAAAACGCGCAGGAAAGCTTCACCAGAGAGTCCTCCACCATAGCAATGCTCCTGCTCATTCTTCTCATCAAATAAGGGCAATTTTACAGCTTCCATGAGAAATTAGGCATCCACCTTAAAGTCCTGTTTGGCTCCTTCTGACTTCTTTTTGTCTCCTAATCTTAAGCAATCTTTAACGATCACCCATTTTTCTTTAGTTAATAATGTAAAAAAGCCTGCATTGACATGGCTATATTCCCAGGACCCCCCAGTTCTTTGGAGATGGACTATGTGCCTGGTATCATCACTTACAAAAGTGCCTTGACCTTGACTGAATTTATGTTGAGAAATAGAGTTTATTTTTTAATTGTTATCTTTAATTCCATGTTTCCATGAGCTTTTTGAAGTCCTCTTGTACAATTTGAAGTCCTCTTGTACAAAGTCCTCTTTAACTTTATTCACCTCTTCTTACCTTTGGGGTTTCATGGTCGTGTATTTTAATTCTGCATATAGTTTACATCATTAGTATGTTAAGAAATTAAAAATCATAGTAATTCACTTATTTATTTATTTATTTTGATACAGAGTCTCACTTTCTCACCCAGGCTGGAGTCTCACTTTCTCACCCAGGCTGGAGTTGCAGCTCACTGCAAGCTCCACCTTCCGGATTCAAGCGATTCTCCTGCCTCTGCCTCCCTAGTAGCCTACACTACAGGTTTGCGCCACCACACCTGGCTAATTTTTTGTGTTTTTAGTAGAGACTGGGTCTTGCCATGTTGTCCAGGCTGATCTCGAACTCCTGACCTCAGGTCATCCACCCACCTAGGCCTCCCAGAGTGCTGGGATTACAGGCGTGAACCACCGCACCCAGCCTAATTCATATATTTAGAGTACTTTCTGTTGCTCTTCATTTCACCCTACAGTAACTTGCTTCCCATCTGGAATTATTTTTCTTTTACCTGAAAAACTCACTGTTGTATATCTCTTGATGCAGGTCTATCAGTGACAAAATCTCTTACTTATTTTTGTCTGAAAAAAAATCCTTATTTTGCCTTCATTTTCAAAAATCTGTATTTCAGATGTAATTCACAAAACTGAAAATGTACTCTTAAGATGTGCAATTCAACAAAGTTGTGCAGTCATCACCACTAACTCTATATTTTCATCACTCCAAAAACAAACCTACATCCATTGCTGTTACTCTCTATCCCCCCTCCCCTCAGCCTCAGCTCCTGGCAACCACTAACCTACTTTCTGTCTCTATGGATCTGCCAATGCTGGACATTTCATACATATGGAGTCATACAATATGAGGCCTTTTGTGTCTGGTGTCTTTACTTTAGCATGAATTTTTAAAGTTCATCCATTTTGTAGCACGTATCAGTAGTTCATTCCCTTATATGGCTAAATAACATTCTACTGCATGGATATACTACATTTCTTTATCCATTCACCAGTCGATAGAAATTTTGCTTGTTTCCAGTTTTTTGGTATTATGAATAATGTTGCTGTGAATATTTGTCTACAATGGTTTGTACATTTCTTTCTGGACATATATCCGCAATTGTTTTCTTTCCTTTTTCTTTCTTTTTTCTTTTCTTTTTTTTTTTTTTTTGAGACAGGGTCACACTCTGTCACCCAGGCTGGACTGCAATGGTGTGAAAACAGCTCACTGTAGCCTCAAACTCTTGGGCTCATGTGATCCTCCCACCTTAGCCTCCTGAGTAGCTGGGGCCACAGGTACATACCACCATGCCCAGAAAATGTTTTCATTTTAATTTTTGTAGAGATGAGGTCTTGCCATGTTACCCAGGCTAGTCTCAAACTCCTGGGCTCAAGCAACCCTCCCGCCTTGGCCTCCCAGTATGCTGGGATTACAGGCATGAGCTACTGCATCTGGTCAATTCTTTTCACTATATAACTAGGTGTGAAATTTCTTGGTCATATGGAAACAGTCATACATTGCTTAATGACGAGGATACATTCTGAGAAATGTGTCATTAGGTAATTTTGTCATTGTGTGAACGTCATAGAGTGCACTTACACAAACCTAGGTGGTATAGCCTACTACACACCTAGGCTGTATCTTACAGCCTATAATTGGCTACAAACCTGCACAGCATGATACGGTACTGAATACTGTAGGCAACTGTAACACAATTGTAAGTATTTGTGTATCTAAACATAGAAAAGGTACAGTGAAAACATAATATAAAATATGAAAAAACGGCACACCTGTGTAGGGCACTTACCATGAATGCAGTTTGCAGGATTCGAAGTTGCTCTGGGTGTCAGTGATTAAGTGCTGAGGGAATGTGAAGGCCCAGGACATTGCTGTACACTCCTGTAAACTTTATCAACACTGAACTCTTAGGCTACTCTAAATTTATTTGAATTTTTAAAATAATAAATTAACTTTGGCTTACTGTAACATTTTTCCTATTTTATTTATTTTATTTTATTTTATTTTATTTTATTTTATTTTATTTTATTTTATTTTATTTATGTTATTTTATTTTATTTAAGACGGAGGTTCGCTCTATCGCCCAGGCTGGAGTGCAGTGGCGTGATCTCGGCTCACTGCAAGCTCCGCCTCCCGGGTTCACGCCATTCTCCTGCCTCAGCCTCCCAAGTAGCTGGGACTACAGGCGCCTGCCACTGCGCCCGGCTAATTTTTTGTATTTTTAGTAGAGATGGGGTTTCACGTGCTAACCAGGATGGTCTCGATCTCCTGACCTTGTGATCTGCCCGTCTCGCCCTTCCAAAGCGCTGGGATTACAGGCGTAAGCTACCGCGCCCGGCCCTATTTTATTTCATTTTTTGAGACAGAGTCTCACTCTATCACCCAGGCTGGAGTGCAGTGTCGCGATCTCAGCTCACTGCAACCTCCGCCTCCCAGGTTCAGGCAATTCTCCTGTCTCAGCCTCCAGAGTAGCTGGGACTACAGGTGCGCGCCACCACGCTCGGCTAATTTTTTTGGTATTTTTAGTAGAGACGGGGTTTCACCATGTTAGCCAGGATAGTCTTGATCACCTGACCTCGTGATCTGCCCGCCTTGGCCTCCCAAAGTGCTGGGATTACAGGCATGAGCCGCTGCGCCCCGCCAACATTTTTTCTTTATAAACATTTTAACTTTTTAAAACTTTTTGAATAACACTTTTGTAATAACAGTTATCTTATTGTAATAACACTTAAGTGTTTTCGTGCACTCTTGTACTAACACTTAAGACACAAACACATTGTACAGCTATACAAAATATTTTTCTTTATATTCTTATTCTAAAAGCCTTTTTATATATTATATTTTAAAATTTTTTATTTTTTATTTTTTTACTTAAAAAAATTTTTTTTTGTTAAAACCTAAGACACGCGGGGCATGGTGGCTCATGCCCGTAATCCCGGCACTTTGGGAGGCCAAGGAGGGCGGATCGCCTGCAATCAGGAATTCGAGACCAGCCTGGCCAACATGGTGAAAGCCCCATCTCTACTAAAAATACAAAATTGGCCAAGCATGGTGGCGGGCGCCTGTAATCCCAGCTACTTGGGAGGCTGAGACAGGAGAATCACTTGAACCCGGGAAAACCAACACCACGCCATTGCACTCCAGCCTAGGCAACAAGAGCAAAACTCCATCTCAAAAAAACCCAGAAAACAAAAAACAAAAAATCTAAGACACAGGCAGACACATTAGCCTAGGCCTACACAGGGTCAAGATCACCAATATGACTGTCTTCCACCTCCACATTTTGTCCCACTGGAAGGTCTTCAGTGGCAAAAACACACATGGAGCTGGCATCTCCTATGATAATGATGCCTTCTTCCGGAATCCATCCTGAAGGACCTGCCTGAGGCTGTTTTACAAGTTAACATTTTTTGTTTGTTTTTAAGAGTCTTGCTCTGTCACCCAGGCTGGAGTGCAGTGGCACAATCTTGGCTCACTGCAGCCTCCACCTCCTGGGTTCATGCGATTCTTGTGCCTCAGTCTCACGAATAGCTGGAATTACAAGCACACACCACCGTGCCTGGCTAATTTTTGTATTTTTAGTAGAGATGGGGTTTCACCATGTTGGCCAGGCTGGTTTCCAACTCCTGACCTCAAGTGATCTGCCTGCCTCAGCCTCCCAAAGTGCTGGGATTACAGGCGTAAGCCACTGTGCCCCTCCAACATTTTTTTTTAAGTAAGTACAAGGAGCACACCCTAAAATAGTGATTTAAGATATAGTATAGTAAATACATACACCAGTAACATAGTTTATTATTATTATTATTATTATTATTATTATTATTATCAAGCATTATGTACAATACATAATTGTATATGCTATCTTTTTTTTTTTTTTTTGAGACGGAGTCTCACTCTGTTGTCCAGGCTGGAGTGCAGTGGCGCAATCTCGGCTCACTGCTACCTCTGCCTCCCCATTCAAGTGATTCTCCTGCCTCGGCCTCCTGAGTAGCTGGGACTACAGGCATGTGTCACCACGCCTGGCTAAGTTTTTTGTGTTTTTAGTTGAAACGGGGTTTCACCATGTTTGTCACACTGGTCTTGAAGTCCTGACCTCAAATGATCTGCCTGCCTTGGCCTCCCAAAGTGCTGGGATTACAGGCGTGAGCCACCGCACCTAGCCCTGCATATGCTATACTTTTATATGACTGGCAGTGCAGTAAATTTGTTTCCACCAGCATCATCACAAGCCCATGAGTAAAGTGTTGTGTCATGACGTCACTAGACAATAGGAATTATTCACCTTCATTATAGTCCTATGGGCCCGCCTATGTACATGCAGTCTGTCATTGAATGAAATATCATTATGCAGCACGTGACTGTATTTAACATTTTGAAGAACTGCAAAACTGTTTTCCACAGTGGCTGCACCATTTTACATTCTCACCCTCCGCCCCCTCATTCACACTTGTGATTGATTATTATTATTACCATCCTAATGCATGTGAAGTGGTATCTCATTATGTTCTTGATTTGCATCTCTCTAGAGAGTAATGTCAATGGCCACCTTTTCATGTGTTTGTTGTTTGGATATCTTCTTTGGAGAAATGTCTATCCAAATCTTTTGCCCATTTTAAATTTTAATTCTTGCCTTTTAGATCTTGAGTTGCAAGAATTCTTTGCATATTCTAAATACCAGACCTTTAACAAATACGTGATTTGCAAATGCTTTTTTTCCCATGCTGTATGTTATAGTTTTACTTTCTTGATAGTATTTTTTGAAGCACAAACATTTTAAATTTTGATACAGTTTAATAGATCTATTTTTTCTTTGTTTACTTATGCTTTTGTGTCATATTTAAAAAACTATTATTGTCTCATACAAGGTCATGAAGATTTACACCTAGGTTTATTCTAAGAGTTTAATAGTTTTACTTTTTACATCTAGTCTTTAATCTATTTTGAGTAAATTTTTGTATACGGTGTGAAGTAGAAATCTAGCTTCATTATATTGCATTGTGGATATCCATTTGTGTGGTACCATTTGTTTTAAAGACTATTCTTTCCCCCATTGAATTGTTTTGGCACCCTCATCAAGAATCGGTTAAACATAAATATATGCACTTCTTTCTGAACTCTCAGTTCAATCCCATTGATCTATATGTACATCTATGTGTCAGTACCACAGTGTTGATAAGTGTAGCTTTGTAGTAAGCTTTGAAATAAGGAAGTTTGACTCCTCCAACTGTGTTCTTTCTCAAAACCTTTTTGGCTATTCTAGTCCCTTACATTTCCCTATAAATTTTAGGACTAGTTTGTCAATTTCTGCAAAAAAAAAAAAAAAAAAAAAAAGAGCCAGCTGGGATTTTTTATAGAGATTACTTTGAATCTGTAGATCAATTTGAGGCGTCATCTTGATAACATTAAGTTTTCCAATCTATGAACATGGTATATCCTCCATTTATTTAGGTTTTCTATAATTTATTTCAATAACATTTGTAGGTTTTATTGCACAAGTCTCACACTAATAAACAAATTCATCTCATATTAACATAACTAATGAATTTTGTTAAATTTACTTTAACCATTTTGTTCTGTTTTGTATTATTGTAAATGAAATCACTTTCTTAATTTCATCTTCAGATTATTTATTGCCAGTGTGTATAAAATATCATTATTTGTGTCTATTAATCTTATATTCTACAACTAGGCTAAATTTGTTTATTAGCTCTAATTGGTTTTTGTTCGTTTTAGGTGTAAATTCCTTTAGTTTTGTATATACAAGATCATATTATCTGCAAAGAGAAATGGTTTACTTCTTCCTTTCCAATCTGAAAGTCTTTTATTTCTTTTCCTTACCTAATTGCCTTGGCTAGAACCTCTAGTAAAATGTTTTATAAAAGTCACAAGAGTGAACATACTTGTCTTGTTCATGATCTTAGGAGCAAAGCTTTCATTTCTTTACCATTAAGTATGATGTTAACTGTAATATTTTTATAGCTGTCTGTATCATATTGACCTTACTTTTATTTTTTAAGAGATTTTTTTCTGGATATAAAATTCTAAATTGGCTTTTGAAATTTCAGCATTGAAAGAAGTTGTTCCATTGTCTGCTGTCTTCCATCATTTTGTTAAAAAGTCCCCTGCCAGTCTTATTGTTTCTTCCTTGAAGGTGAAGTGTCTTTTTTTTCTGCATACTGCATATCTTTGTCTTTTATTTTTTAAAATAGTTTTTCTATGATATGCCTAGATGTGGTTTTCTTTGTATTTATCCTATTTGTGGTTTGTAGAGCTATTTAAATCTGTGGCTTAATGTCTTTTGTTAGTTTGGAAAAAAATTTTAAGATCACTGCTATTTCTTCTTACTTGTTTTCTCTCTCTTCTGCTTCTTAATTGCAAATGCATGTATGTTAGATCATTTCACAATGTCTTCTATGTCTCTTTTGCTCTTTTCTGTATTTTTGAACTTTTTTTCTCTGCATGCTTCAATCTTGGTATTTTCTATTGACCAATCTTCCAGTTTACTAATCCTCTCTTCTGATGTTACTAGTATGTTGCCAAATCCATCTCTTCAGTCCTTATAAACTTCAGTTATTATATTTTTCAGTTCCAGGATTTCTACTTTTTAAATAGGTTCCAAATTTCTGATAGAATTTTTGAACACATTAATCATAGTTATTTTAAATCATATCTGATAATGCCATTTTCCAATTCACCTAAGTAACTTTTCTATTGTCTATTTTATCTTCATTGTTGATCATTTGATACTGCTTGTTGGTTTACCTTGTAATTTTAACTGAAAGTTGGACATTATGTATAAAAAGTATAGAGGCTTTGGATGAAGCTAACTTTTTCTAGATCAATTTAAATTTTCTTCTAGCAGACATATAGCATATAAGCAGATTACACCTTGATGCAGTCAAGAATGAACTATTTCTAATTTTTCCTTATTCCCAAGGAATAGTATTTTCTAAATAGCTGGGTACTCACCAGGGCCCATCTTTTTTTTGCCAGGCCCTGAACTCTAATTCTTCCCTCAGCTTGTAAAACTGTGAAAATTCCTTCTTAGTTTTCCCACCTATTAGCAGGTGTTTTTTTGCTAAGTTTCTTGGCATGCTACTTATTTTCAATGACTTTGCACATGATTTGAGGGGAAATTGCATGCAGAATTTCAATGCATTTTTCCTCTCTTAAGTACTATATAAGTTGGCACTCTCTTGTGCAGTTTTTTTTTTTCTGCTTAGTAGTTGCCCTCAGTGGGAGGATTAGTGTGACAACAGCTACTTCATTATAGCCAGAAGTGGAAGTCCCTCATCCATATTTTATTTTACAAAACTAAGCCTCACTTACATTTAAAATGGTATGAAATAGTTTGAACATACAAAAGGGCATAAAATATAATCAACACCCATGGTAGCTTCACCAAGCTTTACCAAACTGTTGAGACCCTTGAACATTCCTCCTTCTCACACCCCCTCCTTTTCCACACTATTCAAAATTTGATGTTATTATCCCCATGAATTTTTAAATATTTTTATGATGGGTGTGCTTACCTAAACAATATATAGGATGATTTTGTATGGTTTTCAGTGTGGTGTCAATGGTGTTATTATGCTTATGCTGTTCTCTAACTTCCTTTTTTCACTCCAAATTTTGTTTGTGAGAGTCATTCACTTTGTTGTGTGTGGCTGTAAATGATTCATGTTTACACTGAGTGACAGTATTGCGATTTATTTTTTCACTCTCCTGATGATGGCTATTTAGATTGTTTCCAATTTTTCACTATTAAAATCAATGCTGCTATAGACATGCAGGAAGAATTTCTTTACCAGTTTACATAAGAGTGAAGTTACTGGGTTTTAGGTAGGGCATGTGTTCGCTTTTATTAGGTCATGCCAAACTTTTTACCAGACCAGTTGTAATAATTTACATTTCCTCTGGCTATAAATGAGAGTTCCTATTATATCATATCCTGAGCAATATGTGATGTCATCAGACTTTCAGTTTTTGCCAATCCGACAAAATTAAAATGGTATGTCATTGTGGTTTTTCTTTGTATTTCTTTTCTCTTCTTTTTCTTTTTTTTGAGATGGAGTCTCGCTCTGTCACCCAGGCTGGAGTGCAGTGGTGCAATCTCGGCTCACTGCAACCTCCACCTCCCGGGTTCAAGCAATTCTCCTGCCTCAGCCTCCAGAGTAGCTGGGATTACAGGTGCCCACCACCACACCTGGCTAATTTTTGTATTTTTAGTAGAGATGGGTTTCACCATGTTGGCCAGGCTGGTCTCGAACTCCTGACCTCAGGTGATCCACCCACCTCGGCCTCCCAAAGTATTGGGATTACAGGCATGAGCCACCACGTTGACCATGAAGTTAAGCACCTTATATTCTCCATAGCACTCACTTCAATCTAATTTCCTGCCCCAAGCTTCTCCATTTCCCCAGAATCTCTTGAAATTTGGTCAACTTTTAGGGTGAATTACAGCAACTCCAGGAAACATTTCTCAGCACTGAAACTGGTGGATAAATGCACCTACAGGACTTCAAATTCGATGACACTTTTAATGCTCATGACAAACCTGCAGCAAAGATTGATGACCTCCATTTTATGGATGAGAAAACAGAGAATCAGAGGGGTTAGAGAACTTGCCCAAAGACGCACAGCTGGGACCTGGCACACTCCAAGTCAGGTGCACTTCACTCCTCCGTAGGAGACTGCAGAGGTTGGGTGCTGCAGCGGTGTGTCAGGCCATTCTTGCATTGCCATAAAGCAATACCTGAGACTGGGTAATTTATAAAGAAAAGAGGTTTAATTGGCTCATGGTTCTGCAGGCTGTACAAGCATACTGCCAGCATCTTCTCGGCTTCTGGTAAGGAGGCCCTCAGGGAGCCTTTACTCAAGGCTGAAGGTGAAGCAGAAGCAGACACATCACATAGCGACAGCTGGAGCAAAAGGGGGAGGCGCCACGCACTTCTGAACAATTAGATCTCAGGTGAACTCACTCATCACCAAGCGGATGGCACTAAGCCATTCATGAGAAATCCGCCCCCATGATCCAATCACCTCCCACCAGGCCCCACCTCCAACATTGGGGATGACATTTCAACATGAGATTTGGGTGGGACAAATATCCAAACCATATCAAGGGGCTCCTGTAGCAGGAAGCCTCCTAAGACACCTTCTGTCCTTGTAGGAAACACACATGGTGGCCCGATCTGTATCTGAGGATAAGGTGCTGTTGCCCTCAGGGGTCAGCCTGCGTGCAAAGACCCAAAAGGGGATGGATTCGGGGCAGAGAAGGCAGTGGAATTAGGGTAGGCCCCATTTGGTGCTGTGGGAGCATGAGGAGGGAGTGATGGAGAAAGTCTGTGTTTTTAAGCTGATGTTTCCCAGAAGTGAGCAGTTTATTTTAAACAGTGTTAAATATCCCTGGATCCCCTAGTGAAAGCGTAGGCTCTTTCATCACTTGCCCTGCTGATGGAGGAGGCAAGATTCTCAATTTGGTGCTATCGCATCTTAAACACTACTCTCTCTTTTTTTGTGTTTTGTTTTGTTTTTTTTTGAGACAGAGTGTCTTGCTCTGTTGCCCAGGCTGGAGTACAGTGGTGTAATCTCTGCTCACTGCAACCTCCGCCTCTTCCTGGGTTCAAGCAATTCTCCTGTCTCAGCCTCCTGAGTAGCTGGGATTATAGGCACACACCATCACACCCGGCTAATTTTTGTATTTTTAGTAGAGATGGGGTTTCGCCGTGTTGGCCAGGCTGGTCTCGAACTCCTGACCTCAAATGATCCTCCCACCTCGGCCTCCCAAAGTGCTGGGATTACAGGCATGACCCAGTGTGCCCGGCCTCCCTTTCTTAACTTTAAACAAAGACAAACCACATCTCCAGTTTCTAGGACTCTCAGGCAGGCAGTAGCATGTCACTAAAATTCAATTACTGCCTTTGTTTTTCTTGTATTTAGTTTTTATGTTGTATTGTATTTAGTTTTATGGTAAGTTGATTGTTTTGTTTAAGTAACACTTATATAATATCTGCTATATGCCAGGCACTGTTCTAAATGCTTTATAAATGTTGACTAATTTAATTCTCCCAAAGACCTATGAGGCAGGTGCTGTGATTATCATTACTCCCATTTTACAGATGAGGCCCAGAAAGGTTAAGCAAACTGCCCAAGGCCACAAAGCCTATAAGTGGCAGAGCTGGGATTTGAACTGAGACCAGCCAGCTCCATAGTCTGTGTCTTGACCAGCATGGCGCACACTGCCTATTTCATGCCAGTTATCTGCTGATGGTCATGATATAATATTTTTGAGACATGTTTATTGGAGTAAAAAATAGGAGGCAAGGTAAAGATCAATAGTAAGTGGATAATTAATAGTAGCACCAGTGAAAACCTCAAACGCAATAGGCTAGTGGCAGGAGTTCTGGAACACTCCAGTGTGGCTGCAGGGATACAGCACATGGACCATGAAAGTTGAGTTGAGAGGATGGGAGGGGAAAGGTGTTGGAGGGCAGGAGTCTGCTCCAGCAGAGGCAAAGATGCATGACGAAGCCTGGGCTGCCGGGGAGACGATGAGTAATTCAGGGCAGTCAGCCAGTAATGGCAGGAAACCCGTGCACTGGTACAGCACTTCACAGTCCGTGAAGCACTACCACATCTGCTTTCTCACAGCCTCTTCTTCACTGCCAGGTGCAGTGAGCACTATTGTCCCCATTTCAGAGATGGTAACTGAGTTCAGAGAATAAAAGAGCCAGAGAAGAGCTACTATTTGCTTCAAGATCTTCTGGCTTCAAATTCTGAGCCCTTTTCTCAACTCCACTGTGTCAGGGATCTTTGGTGGCAAGTGACAGAAATAGAATTCAACATGATTAAGCAACATAGGTGGTTTTTGGCTCATGGGAATGAGAAATCCACAGGGTGGACATCAGATATGGCTGGATCCAGGACCTCCCATGATGCCATGGGGACTCCTGACCTGTATTTCTCAGTATGGCTGTCATTTTCAAGGAGGCTGTCTCTAAGAGGTGACAAAGATGGCTACAAGCTCTGAGAAGATACCAAAAAAAGTGTCAGTTTTCTAGAGTTCTAGAAAAAAAATCTCAGGACTGCTTTCACTGGCCTTGCCTGGGTTGACATCCATCCCTGATGCAATCACTGTGGTCAGACAGATGGGGTGTTTTGATTGGCCAAGCCTGGGTCAGGAGCCCACTTTGTGGAGCATGGGGTGGAGTCAGCCTCAGGCAAACCACTAGAGGCAGCTCAGATAGAGGAGCTCTTTGGGAAGAGACGCCGGGCAGGCAGAAGCAGCAGGTACCCCCTCCACATCCCTAGGGCTCTGTGATGTAGGCAGAGGTAAGAAATTAGGAGGGATGAGGAGTTTTTTGTTTGTCTGTTTGTTTTTTTAAAGACAGGGTCTCACTCTTTCATTCAGGCTGGAGTGCAATAGTGCAATCATGGCTCACTGCAGCCTGGACCTCCGGCACTCAAGTGATCCTCCTTCCTCAGTCTCCCGAATAGCTGGGACCACAGGCACACAGCACCCGGCTAACTTATTTTTACTTCTATTTTTATTTTTGGTAGAGACAAGGTCTTGCTATGTTGGTCAAGCTGGAGATGAGGAATATTGAATCTGGGCAAAGGAGTTTGCACTTTTTGCTGTGCTGTGGTCAAGATAAAACCATCAGGGAGTGACGGGGACAGAGCTATGTCAGGACTCGCACCGTGGCTGGGGTGATGGATGTGGACAGAATAGTGAGGGGGCAGACACAGACTCCCCCTCCTGCGATCAGAGGCCACATCTTCAAAGTGTGATAACAGGACCTCTGCAGGGGTTGGAATCACACAGGATTCATATTCCTAAAAGCAGGTTGAAACTGCATCTACCTCAACATTATTTTATTTGAGTAGTGATGTTATTGCTTAGGATGATGCTGGAGTTAAATTTTTAAGTGTGCTTATCTATAGAAAATATATTAAAATATGTATTAAAATAAACAACAGTGCACACAATATACAAATATGGCCAAAATTTTGGATATGAGATATTTTGGCAACTCTTGGCTAGATCATTCTGAGACCCCCTCTGTTTCTGAGGCTCTACCTTCTCCATCAATTACAGCTGTTGTTTGAGTGTTTATGTGATGGGGGCCATCTGCAGGGTTTTATGCAAATCACCTCCTTGAATTCTCACAAGCCTGGAAGCAGGCCTTGCTGTTTCCACTTTACAAGGCTCAGAGAGGGCAAGGGACTGGCCCGGAGCCACACAGCTGGTCATCTGAACCTTCCTGGCCCCCCAGCCTGTGCCCTGCCCCAGGGTTCTTTGATGGCTCTGTGAGGGAGGTCAGAGGGAACTATGGATGGGGCCAGAGTAGGATCTTTGGGAACCCCGGCACAGAGGAGGAGGATCTTCCCCTTGTGGAGTCAGGGATGGCGTCTGGAGAAAGCCATGCCTGTGACTTGGGTCCTGCATGGGGCATCCCTCTTAGGTTTAGCTTTAGCTCCATTCTTGTCTATAGGGGCTGGTCTGGGAGGGGCTCCTGAGTCTGGGCAGGTGGACCACTGCCCTCTGGCTGGCACTTCCTCAAACAGACACAGAGCTGGTGGGTGAAACAGACAAGTCCCAGGAGAAGCCTGGCATCGCCAGACTGGTGGGGCATTCCTCTGCCCAAGACAGTAGAGGGCACTCTTTCTGGATAAACTCACTCTGCTCCCCAAAGAGGTTCCTTCTCCATCCTGGCCCAAATTAGGAGGTCAGGTTGTCTCTGTTTGGTCAGGCCTGGATTTCCTAGCATGCTCCCGAGTGGGCTAATCTGGGCTTTGTGATGGAGTAAGGAGCCTCATTATTGGGCTAACCTTATCTTAAGTATTCAGCAGTGGTTAACTTTGTGGGTTAACTTTGGATTTATTATTCAGTAAGAAGCCAATTTATTGATGGCTGGGTGCAGTGGCTCATGCCTGTAATTCCAGCACTTTGAGAGGCTGAGGTGGGTGGATCACCTGTGGCCAGGAGTTCGAGACCAGCCTAGTCCACATGGCAAAACCCTGTCTCTACTAAAAATACAAAAATTAGCCAGGCGTGGTGGCGGCCACCTGTATTCCCAGCTACTTGGGAAGCTGAGGCAGGAGAATCGCTTGAACCTGGGAGGTAGAGGTTGCAGTGAGCCAAGATCGGGCCACTGCACTCCAGCCTGGGCGATAGAGTGAGACTTTGTCTAAAAAATAAACATAAAAAAGCCAATTTACTGGCTTTTTTTTACAACATGGATGTTTATAGGAAGGAAGATCCAAAATTGCTCCTCAGCAGATCCCCCTTTCCAAACTAGTTTTTTCTCCTTTTCTCTCTCCCTTCCTCTCTTTTTCCCTCCCTCTTTCTTTGTTAGATAGATAAATACACAAGTTTAATTTCACACACAATGCTACATCAATAGGCTCAGCAAGGGCAAAATAGTCAGCAGTCTCCTCCCTCTTTAAATTCACCTTGTGCTGGGCGTGGTGACTCATGCCTGTCATCCCAGCACTTTGAGAGGCCGAGGTAGGAGGATCATGTGATCCCAGGAGTTTGAGACCAGCCTGGGCAACATAGCAAGATGCCGTCTCTACAAAAATGTTTTAAAAATTAGCCAGGCGTGGTGGCACGTGCCTTTGGTCCCAGCTACTCGGGAGGCTGATGCAGGAGGATCGCTTGAGCCCAGGAGGTTGAGGCTGCAGTGAGCCGTGATTGCGCCATTGCACTCCAGCCTGGGCAACAGAACATGACCCCATCTCTAAAAATATTAAAATAAAATAATAAAACAAATTCACTTTGCATTTGTGACGTGATGGGGCGGGGGCAGGAAGAAGGTGGGAGAAGGGATTCTTGGGGTGAATCTGCCATTTCTAAGAGGTGGGAGTTCTTGGGGTCATCCACAGGCCCCTCGGGATCTTGCATTTTTCTTAAGACAGTTCCAAGAATCAGGGGCAAGTCTGCCTGGGAAGAGACAGGATGAGGGGGAGGCCGGGGGAGCCCTGAGCCCGCCTGGCTCACCCTCCACTGTACGTCTCTTGCAGGCCCGTGGGAGTCAGCATGCCGCGTGGCTGGGCCGCCCCCTTGCTCCTGCTGCTGCTCCAGGGAGGTAAGTGGCTGCCCCGTGGTCTGCGGGTGGGGAGGGCCCCCATCACAGAGCTGAGCCAGGGCCGGGCTGGCTTTCTGGGCTCAAAAACACGGCTAGAGTCCACAGATTCAGAAAAGATGACATCCATGCCCTTGAGGCTGACACGAGTCCAGTAGCCGGCTCTCCACTAATCAGAATCCATCCACCAAAGGGCTCCATGAAACAGAAGCGGTAGACATGAGTCTCAGGTGGCCCAGCCCACAGGCTTGTGTCTTCGGGTGTCACTGGGGGGATGAAAGGCTTCGTCCTTCATTTCCCCTGACCTCTGCCTTGGCTGGCTCCCAACTCTCTGAGTGAGGAAGTTCTGCCTTCCATCTAACCTCAGTTTCTCCTTATGTAATGACTCTCCTTGGAAATGTTTTTCAACAATTGCTGCACCGGGTGCGGTGGCTCCTACTGGAATCCCAGCCCTTTGGGAGGCTGAGGAGGGTAGGTCGCTTGAGCTCAGGATCTCAAGACCAGCCTGGGCAACATGGTGAAGCCCTGTCTCTACAAAAGAAAAAAAATTAGCCAGGCATAGGAGCGCATGCTTGTAGTCTCAGCTTTTTGTGGGGCTGAGGCGGGAGGATTGCTTGAGCCTGGGAGGTGGAGGTTACAGTGAGTCAAGGTGACAACTGTACTCCAGCCTGGGCAACAGAGCGAGACCCTGTCTCAAAACAACAGCAACAACAACAACAATAAACAAACAAAAAAATCGCTAGATTCTTAGCAGGCACTGGTGGTCCCTGGGCTGGGGACAGGAGGAAGAGCCAAAAGGAGACTGAACCTTGGTAGGCAGCCCCCAGAGGACCAGATGTTGTGGTTAGAGGGGGTGACGTTAGAAAGCAGAACTGGGAAGACCAGGAGTCCGACTGAAAGGGCACTGCCTAGGACTAAGAGATCCTGGAGGGCTTCCTGGAGGAGGGGGCCATGAGGAGGCGGGATCCAGCACAGACTTGTGTGGAGGCCGGCCTAGGGGCAGGGGAGGAACTCAACAGCTGCTCTGCTGACTCATGGGCATTTTTCTCTGGTTTTTACCAGAAGACCCAGGACCTCAAATAGCTCCTTCAGGAAACAGATGTCAAGCTTTGATTTTCCCTTTCTGAGTGGCAAGCATCCTCATCTTGGTTCTAAAAAGCCTTTGGGTCACCCACCATGGCTCCACATCTGGCGGGTGCAGATAACAAGCCCTGGCTGCATGCAAAGCTCGGAGCGTCATCCCATTCCACTGTCCCAACAGCCCCACAAGGCGCATGTTGTAATGACGCCCAGTTTTTTGGCTGAGGAGGCTCAGAGAGGCTAAGAGACAGGTGCATGGCCACACTACCCGGAAGAGGCAGAGCTGGGATCAGTTTGCTCTTGGGGTCTGTCTTAGTCTGTCTGTGCTGCTGTAACTGAATACGTGAGACTGGGTAATTTATAAATAATAGACATTTACTGCTCGCAGTTCTGGAGGCTGGGAAGTCCAAGATCAAGGCACCAGCAGTAGCTTTGATTCCGGTGAGGGGCCCATCTTTGCTTTTTTTTTTTGAGACTGAGCCTTGCTTTCTCACACAGGCTGGAGTGCAATGGTGCAATCTTGGCTCACTGCAACCTCTGCCTCCCAGGTTCAAGCAATTCTCATGCCTCAGCCTCCCGAGCAGCTGGGATAACAGGCACATGCCATGGCTAATTTTCGTATTTTTAGTAGAGTTGGGGTTTCACCATGTTGGCCAGGATGGTCTTGAACTCCTGACCTCAAATGATCCACCCGCCTCGGCCTCCCAAAAGTGCTGGGATTACCGCACCCAGCCCCCATCTTTGCCTTTAAGATGCCACATTGAACGCTGCACCACCCCCAGAGGGGACACACGCTGCATCCTCACATGGCAGAAGGGCAAAAAGGGTCTGAATGTTGGGTTCGTCCAGCCCTCTTATAGCATCAATAATTCATTCAGGGGGGCTCTGCCCCCATGACTTAATCATCTCCTAGAGTCCCCACCTTTTAATATGATCACATTGGCAACTGAGTTTCTGGGGAGACACAGACGTCAAACCGTAGCACGGCCTTCACCATGCTGTGCTGCTATCTGTGGAGTGATAGCCATGTGCGGGCAGCATGCAGGCACAGGCATGATCTCATCTCAACACCTCAACAGCCTCTAGGGCAAGCAGTGTCTCCGGCTTACACATGGGGAGGAGAAGCAGTTTTGAGTCACATGTTTGCAGTCACAGAGCTACTTTGTGCACCTCTCACTGCCTCCTGCACGCTTTCATAACCCCAGACATGGGATGGCCCTGGGGCTCTCTGCCCTGTGGCTGGGGTACTGACAGGGCATTTTCCCACCCTCTCATCCCTGGTGCCACCTCCCTGCCACTCAGGGGCTGCCGTTGCCTCCCCAAGTTTGGAGACAAACCCTGTCCCTTGGTAGCTTTGAGCCTGGCTAGGAATGGTAGCTCCTCTCCAAATTCCCAGAGCTCTGAGAAAGAACCACGAGGATACGAACTCAGAGATGACACAGCTACTTAGAGGCTCTGTGTTGAGGTTTTGCCAAAATCAGTCCTGTTTTCTCCACCAAGTGCTGGAACTAGCTCCTTTTCACTCCACCGACAAGTTCTGTGTGTCTCCCTGAGGAAAGCCCCCTCCTAGAGCAAGATTTACTTCCATGACTCAGATCCCTTGGTAGCCACTGCCTCGAGAGAAGTTGAGAAGCATTCCGAGGTCACACCTAGGGGAGGGAGTGCTGTGATCCATTAGCAATATCTGTCATGTGTGCGGCTATGAAAAACTAGCACAGACTAGGTATTTCCTTCCCTGGGTGAGTGTCTCAGCAGCCCAGACCAAGAGAGACAAGAGGCATGGTCTAGTCTTGGAGCCTCAGTGTTCTCATCTCTACAATGAACTAAAGGATATTTCCAGACACAGTATTCTTGGCTCCGCATATAGGTTCTGTCCTAGAGTGAGACCCAGGAAGGGAATCTACCACCACCACCTCAGGGGTCTTCATTAGTCCAGGGAAAATAGGAAAAAGCCACCAAAAATGAACCTACTTAAAAAGGGGAACAAGGTCAGGCACGATGGCTCATTCTTACAATCCCAGCACTTTGGGAGGCTGAGGCAGGTGGATCGCTTGAGCTCAGGAGATTGAGACCAGCCTGGGCAACATGGTGAAACCCTGTCTCTACAAAAACACAAAAATTATCCAGGCATGGTGGTGCACAACTGTAGTCTCAGCTACTCAGGAAGTTGAAGTGGGAGGACTGCTTGAGCCCAGGAGGTGGAGGCTGCAGTGAGCTGAGATCGCACCACTGCATTCCAGCCTGGGCAACAGAGCAAGAGATCCTATCTCAAAAAGAGGTGAGCGGTACAAGTTTCTAGTAAATAGCAGCAAAAAATAGTGGAATTGGCACTCGAATATACAAAACAAAGCTACAAATTATTCCATTGATTTTGTCCACATTTAACAAAATGTAGATGATGATTGCACCCCTGTTTTAGAACACAGCGAAACAATTAATGTTTGGGGAGCAGGATGGAAAGGTGTTAAATCTTCCAACAAAATTGCCTCATAGGGCAATACCTAGAAGACTTCTTGGTGGCGGTGGCATTTTTGGCCGCAGGATCACGCAGACCTTTATGCAAAAGTGTCCGAGGGCTTTTTAATTCTCTCACGGTTTCCTACTCCTTGAAGCACTTCCTGAATCTCCGAGAGTGGGTGTCCTGTGGATCCAACTTCTGTAGAGCCGAGTCCTCTTCCTTGTCAGGGTTTTGGGACATTTTCAGCATAGCTGTCCTTGACTCTATGAGGTCCTGACCCTCTTGGGGTGTGTGCGTGTGCTCTGGCTGGGTTCCTACCACATCTGGGGCATTTAGGATATTGCCATTCTGAGTGGGAGCTTGGCCAGGAGGGACACAGACCTGGTGGCCGGGCGCAGGGCTCTGGAGGAGGGTGCTGAGCTGGGGACCAGCTAGTTTTATATTATTTGCCATCACATGCATCCTGTCTTCATAGCCAGCCTTGAAACATTGGTGCTCAAACAAGGAATTTCCAGGTGGTGAGGCCCCCTGGGTGCCAGGCCTACATCTAAGCAGCTCCTGAGTCCTCATATTTGTCCCGGCCTGGGGACCCCTGCACCCATTCTTCCTCCAGCCCTCGAGGGGATGGAGAGGAAGCTCTGCAGTCCCAAGCCACCCCCCACCAAGGCCTCTCTCCCCACTGACCCTCCAGGCTGGGGCTGCCCCGACCTCGTCTGCTACACCGATTACCTCCAGACGGTCATCTGCATCCTGGAAATGTGGAACCTCCACCCCAGCACGCTCACCCTTACCTGGTAAGTAGCCGGGCCTCACCAGTCCCCGGGGATGCAATTCAGGGTGCCTGCTCAGTGATTCCCCCAGGAGGACACTGTGCACTGAGGACCACTGTGTCCGCCTTTCAGACAACCACTCAGGGCTCACAGGACTTGAAAAGTCAGGAGCCCGCAGGGTTGGTCTATCCACCAGCTTCAAAGGCCACTCTCTCACCCACACAGGTCGGCCATGGTTTTGAGACCCCGGGATGGCTGGTTTCCCGCATGATTTTTCAAGCACTTAGGTACCAGGCCCCCAACTACACGCTTCCCATGAATGGTCACCCCCAACCCTCACAATGATTACTCCCATTTTACAGATGAGGACATTGAGGTTCAGAGAGGTTAAGCAACTTGCCTAAGGTCACACAGCCAGTGAATGCTGGAGCTGGGATTCAAATTCAGACCGCCCAACTCCAAAGTCCATGGGTCCCTTTTAGACCCTATGCAGCTCAGGATAAAGAAGAGCTTCTGTTATCCATCAGCTCATTCATTCATTCAAAACCATTTATAGGCCAGGTGCAGTGGCTCATGTTTCTAACCCCAGCACTTTGGGAGGCCAAGGAAGGAGGATCACTTGAGCCCAGGAGTTTGAGACCAGCCTGGGCAACATCACAAAACCCTGTCTCTACAAAAAATAAATCAGTCGGGCGTGGTGGCACAATCCTGTAATCCCAGCTACTTGAGAGTCTAAGGCAGGGGGACCAAGCTCAGGAGGTCGAGGCTGCAGTGAGCTATGATCACGCCACTGCACTCCAGCCTGGGCAAAAAAGCAAGATCCCAACTCAAAAACAAAACAAAACAAAACAAAACATGTATTAAGTTCCTGCCAGACACTGTTGCAGGCACTGGGGATTCAGCAGAGCAAGACTGACCAGGCCCCAGATGCCTTGGAACTGACGTACCACGGTGGGGCGGAGGCTGGGGGAGACAGACACACAAAACAACCAACAAGGTGCTTTCTCTTTTTTATTTTATTTTATTTTATTTTATTTTATTTTTTTGAGACAGGGTCTTGCTCTGTTGCCCAGGCTGGAGTGCAGTGGTGGGATCAGAACTCACTGTAGCCTTGACCTCCTGGGCTCAAGCAATCCCTCCACCTAAGCCTCCTGAGTAGCTGGGACTACAGGCATGCATCACCATACCTGGATAATTTTTGTAGTTTTTGTAAAGACAGGGTTTTGCCATGTTACCCAGGCTGGATTCAAACTCCTGGGCTCAAGCAATCTGCCCACCTCAGCCTCCCAAAGTGCTGGGATTACAGGTGTGAGCCACCATGCCAGGCCCAAACAGGACACTTTCTTTCTTTCTTTTTTTTGGAGACGGAGTCTCACTCTGTTGCCCAGGCTGGAGTGCGGTGGCATGATCTCGGCTCACTGCAACCTCCACCTCCTGGGTTCAAGCAATTCTCCTGCCTCAACCTCCCAAGTATCTGGGATTGCATCCAGGTGTGCACCACCATGCCTGGCTAATTTTTGTATTTTAAGTAGAGACAGGGTTTTGTCATGTTAGCCCACCTGGTCTCGAACTCCTGGCCTCAAGTGATCCGCCCACTGTACCCGCCTTTCAGACAACCACTCAGGGCTCACAGGACTTGAAAAGTCAGGAGCCCGCAGGGTTGGTCTATCCACCAGCTTCAAAGACCACTCTCTCGCCCACACAGGTCGCCCATGGTTTTGAGACCCCGGGATGGCCGGTCTGCCGCATGGCCAGCCTCCCAAAGTGTTGGGATTACAGGCATAAGCCACCGTGTTCTGCCCCAAACAGGATACTTTCTAATAATACTGGGTGCTATATCAAGGACAGAACACTGGACCTCAGGTAAAGGGACCACAACTGCTAGTGAGAAGGAGGAAGCCAGGGAGCTGGGCAGAGGGCACTGCCAGTGCAAAGGCCCTGTGGGAGAAGAGCTGGTGCGTTTGAGGAATAGGGAGGAGGTCAGTGTGGCTGGAGTGGAGTGAGGCAGGGTGAGGGGGAATAAGGAGCAAGTTCAGGCTGGGAGGCTTGGAGAGCATTTATTCAGCAGGAACTTGTATTCCAGCAAATTTGGCAGAGAACTCAGTCCACACATCCCTACTGGGCCTAGAGAGTGGTCATGTTCAGATCCTGAACATCTAGGTAGGGAAATTAATATCCGGTAAACTACTATACATACTTCAAAACCCATCATTTTTGTCCAGTGGGAGTTAAAAAGCCACAGCATTTTCCCTAATCCCATCCCACCAACTTTCCCAGAAGTCCACCCAGAGGAGGAGATGAGGTTCATTTAGCTCTTTTCCTGGCCCTCAGCACAGGCTATTATTAGATATTCAGTGGATTTGGGGACTGGGCGAGGTGGCTCAGTCCTGTAATCCCAGCACTTTGGGAGGCCAAGGCTGGCAGATCACTTGAGCCCAGGAGTTTGAGACCAGCCTAAGCAACATGGTGGGACCCCATCTCTACAAAAAATACAAAAAGTTAGCTGGGCATGGTGGTGCATGCATGTAGTCCCAGGTACTGAGGAGGCTGAGGTGGGAGGATCAGCTGAGCCTGGGAAGGTCGAGGCTGCAGTAAGCCATGATCACACTACTATACTCCAGCCTGGGGCCAGAGTGAGACCCTGTCTCAAAAAAATGGATGTTGGACAGAAAGGAGAGAAGGAAACCCAAAATGCCTAGCGCCCTTCCTGCAGGACAGCCATCTGGTTGTTGGGACCAACAGGGACAGATTTAGGCTTAGTCCAAGCAAGAATGGCCCAAATTTCCAAAATTGAGAGCTGCTGCCCTAAATGAGGTAGTGAGTTCCTGGCCCCTGGGAGGTGTGCAAGCTGAGCCCGGACACAATTCATTGAGGATGCTGTAGGGGAGGTGATACCTTCCCTGGGAAAAGGTTGGTTGGACCAGGTGACCACCCCCCAGCCCTGCCTCAAATCCCTCCCAGCCCTGAGAGTCTGGGCTTCTGCCCTGGCCCTGAGCACTGAGCCCACCACCATCCCCCCTGCCCCTGGCTTCCAGCCATGACCGGCTGCTTTGTCCTTGAAGGCAAGACCAGTATGAAGAGCTGAAGGACGAGGCCACCTCCTGCAGCCTCCACAGGTCGGCCCACAATGCCACGCATGCCACCTACACCTGCCACATGGATGTATTCCACTTCATGGCCGACGACATTTTCAGTGTCAACATCACAGACCAGTCTGGCAACTACTCCCAGGAGTGTGGCAGCTTTCTCCTGGCTGAGAGCAGTGAGTATCCTGGGACCCCAGGCTTAGGGTGGCACTCAATCTTAGCTCACCGCAGCCCTGACCTCTCTGGGCTCAGGTGATCCTCCCACCTCAGCCTCCCGTGTAGCTGGGACAACAGGTGTACACCACTACACCCAGCTAATTTTTGTATTTTTAGTAGAGACGGGGATCTTGCCATGTTGCCCAGGCCAGTCTCGAACTCCTGGGCTCCAGCGATCCACTTGCCTTGGCCTCCCAAAGTGCTAGGATTATAGGTAGGGGCTGGGTCCCCTACTCCCTGCCCTCTGGGCCAGCTCTCCTCCTTCCATCAGATCTGACCTGGCCTATGTCCTCACTACACCTTAGAGTTCTGTTTTGAGTTGCGCTATTTTTTACTAAAGTGTGAAAGGTTGATAATAGGTTTGAGAGGTATTGAAGGAGCTAGGCTGGGACCCGGGACTTCTGGGTTCGTGTTCCGGCTCAGCTCTGCCCATCTGTGTGACCATGGATGAGGCATACCTACCTCTGGGACAGCTTCCCTATTTGTAGAGCAAATGTCCTTTTAACCCTGACTTTCTGGGATCCTGACCCCATAATGAGGCGAATGGACGACACTGAGTTACAGAAAAAAAAAACCCTCTTGGGTTTTTTCCCCTTCATAAGCTCCAGGGAGGCCTGGAATTTCCCTCCAGGCTGGAGGTAGAGGGGGGTCCCAGGGGCAGGAGGGCCTGGTTGGTGGGAGCAGTTTTATCTGTGAGTTCAGAATTAGGGCAGGTGGCAGGGCGAGGTGGCTCATGCCTGTAATTCCAACACTTTGGAAGGCTGAGGCAGGAGGATTGCTTGAACCTGGGGCTTTAAGACCAACCTGGGCAATATAGCGAGACCTCATCTCAAAACACAAAACAAGAACCAGGGCAGGGGCCAGGCACTGTGGCTCACGCCTCTAATCCCAGCACTTTGGGAAGCTGAGGCAGGTGGATCGTTTGAGGTCAGGTGTTCGAGACCAGCCTGGGCAACATGGTGAAACCCCATCTCTACTAAAAATACAAAAAAATTTGCCGGGCGTGGTGGCACACGCCCGTAATCCCGGCTACTCGGGAGGCTGAGGCAGGAGAATTGTTTGAACCTGGGAGACAGAGGTTGCAATGAGCCAAGATCATGCCACCGCACTCCAGCCTGGGCGTCAGAGTGAGACTCCGTCTCAAACAAAACAAAACAGAACTAGGCAGGGCATGGAAGGGCCTGGGAGGTGGCTTTGGCATGGTGTGTGTGTGTGTGTGTGTGTGTGTATGTGTGTACCCAAAGCGGCCCCAGAGGCAAACACAGGCTGCAAAGGGAGCCTGCCCTCAGGAAGGCCCCGCCCATGAGCTCGGGAGTTTCTGCCGCTAGATTCCCAGCAGAGGGGCTGGGGTATAAGAGGTGTCTGTGATTCACACTCTGGGGGTCCAGGTTTGCACCTCTTTGCTGAGTGGATGTCACACCACAGAGCGTGAGAGTGAAGCTTCACACACTCCCAGACACATGCACACTCACGCAAATTCCCAGGGTCACAGACTCACGCACACACAGACTCATAGATGCGCCCTCAAACTCACAGATGTCTCCCCAGCCCCAGCCTGCATGGCATGGACACAGAGGCCCACACTGCCTCTCTCTCTTGCTCTCTCTCACTCTCATACACACTCACACATACATACACACACACACACACACACACGTACACAATACACACACACTCACACATATACTCTCACATCACTCATACATGGGCACACACACGCACACACTCACACATGCATTCTCACACACGTGTAGACTCACACATGCACACACATATACACTTTCTCACACGTGTGCACACACGCACATATACACATACTCATACACTCTCACATCACACACGGGCACACATATGCACACACTCACACATGCATTCTCACACACGTGTACACTCATGCACAGACACACACATTACTCACGGGCACACATGCACACACTCACACATGCACAGACTCACAAGGGGACCCTCCTTGCCACTTGTCTTGCAGCGTGAATCCAAGCATTTCTCTCTGGCATTCCCTCCCTCCCTGCCAGGATCTGCAGCTAGCCTGGTCCCAGCTGGGGCAGGAAGTGATTTTCTAACCACCTCCCGCCGAGGGTCCCTTCCTCCTCCTGGGCCCTGGGCCTCGCTGGGCTGAGCAGCCCCTCTTCACGACCCCCAGGCTCTGCAAACATCTCCCGAGTACCCACGGGGCAGTTCTCAGTACCCTGGTGTCTTCTGGGACTCATCCTCACCCAGCCACACAGGGAAGCCGAGAGCCGGCCTCCACCTGCCCCGGGGAAGACAAAAGAGGGGTTAGAAACGATTTCAGTCAAAAACATCCCATTACTGGAACAGCAACAGCAACAACCCAGTGTTCACCATGGCATTCTGTAAAATGTGCACCTCTGTCACCTCGGGGCGTGGTGGGAGCCCTCAGTGCGGGTTTCAGGATCACAGGCAGCCTTAGAGCTCCTTTCTGGAGGCCTTGCAAGGTTCATTAGTTAATCTGACAAATATATATATATATATATATATATATAGAGAGAGAGAGAGAGAGAGAGAGAGAGAGAGCGAGCAAGCGCGCGCCAGGGTGTAGCTTTGTCCTCCAGCCTGGGGTGCAGTGGCACAACCATAGCTCATTGCAGCCTGGAACTCCTGGGCTCAAGCGATCCTCCCACTTCGGCCTCCTGAGTGGTTGGGACTACAGGTGCACATCACCATCCTGGCTAATTTTTAAATTTTTTGTAGAGCTGGGATCTTGCTGTGTTGTCCAGGCTGGTCTTGAACACCTGGCCTCAAGCAATCCTCCCACCTCAGCCTCCCAAAGTGCTGAGATTTTTGGCATGAGCCACCTTGCCCAGCCTAATTTGCCAAATATTTATTGAGGGCCTACTGTGCCCCAGGCTGTGTTCTAGGAGCTGTGGGCACAGACTGAACCTGGAGGACAAAACCTCTGCCCCAAGGAGCTAAGAGCCCAGTGAGGGAGGCACATAGTAAACAAAATCACAGGGTGAGAGGTGCAGAGTGTTAGATGGTGGCAGATTGAAAGTGAAGAAGGTGGCTGGGTGTGGTGGCTCACACCTGTAGTCCCAGCACTTTGGGAGGTTGAGGTGGGTGGATCACTTGAGGTCAGAAGATCAAGACCAGTCTGGCCAACATGGGGAAACTACTTCTCTACTAAAAATACAAAAATTAGCCAGTCATGGTGGTGCGCACCTATGGTCCCAGCTACTTGGGAGGCTGAGGCCGTGTAATCGCTTGGGCTTGGGAGGTGGAGACTGCAGTGAGCTGAGATCACGCCACTGCACTCCAGCCTGGGTGACAGAGATTCTGTCTCAAAAAAAAAAAAAAAAAAAAGAAAGAAGAGAAAAAAGAAAGGGAGGGAGGGAGGGAAGGAGGGAGAAAGGAAGGAAGGAAGGAGAACAAAAAAAGAAAAAGTGGAGAAGGTGAGGGCAGAGGCCTGCAACTCCTCTCTGACACTAATAGACACTTGTCACTCAGTTCCTCTGAAGTTACTGCCTTCTGCTAAATAGCTTCATCCCTTTGAACTTGAAGCCCCATGATATAGGAACTGAGCCCATTTTACAAGAGAGGAATTTAAGGCCCTTAACATATTGTGTTCTGCTCAAGTTCATGAAATGTCCTTCGAATGGAGCAAAAACAGAATGCCGGCTTTGACCTTCACCTGGAGGCCGCCCATGAAAGCTTGCTGTTATGGCTCAGAGCTCGGCTCTTGCACTTGCCAGGAGACGCTGAAAGATGAGGACCATCAGATTGGCCTCCCAGGGCCACTGTGGGGTGTCAAACTGCCCAGAGCAGGGCAGCCAGGCAGGCTCTGTGTAAATGGCAGCCCTCACCATTAGCATTCATGCTAAGAAGAGTCATCAACTGCTTGAAGTAGCTGGGGTTGAAAGAAAATGATACCATCATTTAGAACAGAAATGGAAAATGAATGGATTTGCCAGCACGTTGCTGAGAACATTTTTGGATGGGTTGCTAACTTTAAAACTTAATATAGGCCAGGTGCAGTGGCTTGTTCTTGCAATCCCAGGATTTTGGGAGGCTGAGGTGGGAGCATCACTTGAGGCCAGGAGTTTGAGACCAGCCTGGGCAAAGATAGTGAGACCCCATTTCTACAAAACAGACAAATAATTAGCCAAGTGTGGTCGCATCCACCTGTAGTCTCAGCTACTTGGGAGGCTGAAGTGGGAGGATGGCTTGAGCCCAGGAGGTTGAGGCTGCTAGTGAGCTATGATCGCACCACTGCACTCCAGCCTGGGCAACACAGTGAGATCCTGTCTCTAGGGGGAAAAAACCCTTGGAGATTTCACATGATAATTCCAGGGGTCTCCCGTTTCCCATTCTGCACCTCATATTGAAACTTGCCCTTCAGTGCATAGAAAGCAGGGTTTCAGATTTCATGTGTGTGCGTGTGCATTTGTGTGTGTGCATGCTGTGCGTGTGCATGTGTGTTGCATGTGTAGGCATGCGTTTGGGTGTGCATGTGTGGGCATGCATGTGTGTGGGTGTGCATGTGCACATGTGTTTGTGTATGCGTGTGTGTAGGCATGTGCGTGTGTGTTTCCCTAGAAAACTTAGAAAAGCTGACCACTCTGTGCTGCTGGGGCCATTCACTTTTAACTCTTTTATTTATTTATTTTTGTTCGTTTTTGAGATGGAGTCTCGCTCTGTCGCCCGGGCTGGAGTGCAGTGGCGCAATCTTGGCTCACTCCAAGCTCTGCCTCCCGGGTTCACGCCATTCTCCTGCCTCAGCCTCCCGAGTAGATGGGACTACAGGCGCCCGCCACCACGCCCGGCTAATTTTTGTATTTTTAGTAAAGATGGGGTTTCACCGTGTTAGCCAGGATGGTCTCGATCTCCTGACCTCGTGACCCACCTGCCTTGGCCTTCCAAAGTGCTGGGATTACAGGCATGAGCCACTGCACCCAGCCAGACTGTTTTATTTCGTCACAGTCCCTAAACCTGCTTCACTCCTCTCTGTGACCTGCCCGCCCCTGAGTTTGCAATCCTGATCAGGTCTAAATCTCCCAGGTCCCAGATGAATAAACTGAAGCCCAGAGTTGGGAGTACTTTGCCCAAAGTCACTCAGGGTTGTTGGTCTTCATCTCATCCATGATGGGTCAGGCATGGAGGCAGGGGTGGGGGCAGGCAGGACTTCCTCCCATCACCAAATCCTTTTCACCTGCAGCAAATTCTCACCCCATTTTCTTTTCCTGGGTTTTTCCACCAAGTCAAGCCGGCTCCCCCTTTCAACGTGACTGTGACCTTCTCAGGACAGTATAATATCTCCTGGCGCTCAGATTACGAAGACCCTGCCTTCTACATGCTGAAGGGCAAGCTTCAGTATGAGCTGCAGTACAGGAACCGGGGAGACCCCTGGGCTGTGGTGAGGAATGTGGGGATCAGTGCAGCTTTGTGGGAGGGGAGGGGAGATGACGGAGTGCAAAGGCATCTGGGTGGGAGAGACGGGTGAACAACATCATTCATGGCCAAGAACAGAGACCAAGGGCACGAGCACTCCCTTACAGCGGGCCCTCCTCCTCCCCTCACTTCTCCCCAAGGTAGGAGACCCCTGAATAATCTGTCCTCCCCAAACTGGTCTCCTCGGCGGTCAGCATGCCAAAGAGACTGTCCCTTCCCCAGACTCCACCCCAGGTCTAGCATAGTCACAATAGAAGAAGTTTCAGAAATGGGGCAACCTGGAAGCTTCCCAATTGCTTAGAATGGCCATAGTTGGAGAGTTCCAGAAATATCAATTATTAAGAAGGTCCAGCCAGGTGCGGTGGCTCATGCCTGTAATCCCAGCACTTTGGAGGCCAAGGCAGGTGGATCTCTTGAGGTCAGGAGTTTGAGACCAGCCAGGGCAACATGGTGAAACTCTGTTTCTACTAAAAATACAAAAAATTAGCCAGGCGTGGTGACATGCACCTGTAATCCAGCTATTCTGGAGGCTTAGGCAGGAGAATCACTTGAATCCAGGAGGCGGAGGTTGCAGTGAGCTGGGATCGCGCTACTGCACTCTAGCCTGGGCAACAGAGTGAGACTCGATCTCAAAAAAAAAAAAAAGGTCCAGTGTTAGAGGGCCCATTGTTTCAAACATGAAGGTGTTGAGTGATGTCCTTCCAGCCCACTATTTAGAACAGTCACAAGTGATGTACTGTCTCTAAAAAATAAAAAATAGTAACAATGATAGAACAGTCACAGCTGAAGAGTTCTAGAATTGCCCATCCTTTAGGATAGTCCCAGCTGAAGATGTCCATGAGTGCCATACTTTAGAAAGTCCCCAGTGGAAGACTTCCAGAGGTATCCATTGCTAAGATGTCTGTAGTTAGAGTTCTAGAAATGCCTGCTGTTGGGAATGTCAGTATGTCAACTCTTGGAATTCTTCAACAGTTGAAGACATTCTCCACTGATGTACTGAGACTTATATCAGTAGTACATCGGTTGAGAATGTCCTCAACTGTTGAAGAATTCCAAAAGTATGCATTGCCTGGAATGCTGCCAGACCATTACCACTCCTGAGATATGCCCAGTCCTGCAGGGAGAGTCCACTGCCAGGACTGTGAGTGGCTGAATTGGATCAAAGAGAAATCAAACAGAGCATCCTATCACATGCACGGGCCAGGCAGTGCTGGTGAGTCTGTGCTCCCCATGCCTGAGTCCAGCTACTCAGGCATAGGCTTGATTCTTGTGGGAAGAGAAGAGACACTCAGCCCCTTTGATGGAAGCTGGGAAAAGAGGTGGCTCTGCTGGAGGCAGGGGCTGGCCTGGTTTAACCCTGACCTGGTGCATCCTTTCCTTGTACTGGCAGAGTCCGAGGAGAAAGCTGATCTCAGTGGACTCAAGAAGTGTCTCCCTCCTCCCCCTGGAGTTCCGCAAAGACTCGAGCTATGAGCTGCAGGTGCGGGCAGGGCCCATGCCTGGCTCCTCCTACCAGGGGACCTGGAGTGAATGGAGTGACCCGGTCATCTTTCAGACCCAGTCAGAGGGTAGGTGTGAAGCTGGGATGGACACCCCACTCCTGGTATCAAATTTTGTCCTGTTCTAGCCACCCTAAGCCCTGAGCTTTCTG
This sequence comes from Homo sapiens, assembly GCF_000001405.40. Taxonomy (NCBI): domain Eukaryota; kingdom Metazoa; phylum Chordata; class Mammalia; order Primates; family Hominidae; genus Homo; species Homo sapiens. The sequence continues at coordinate 27,444,803 of NC_000016.10, forward strand.
GCACAGCTGGGAGGTATTCAGTTGTTCATCCTCAGATGTAGCCCTTCAATTACATTTCTAGAGCCCCTGCTGGCCAGGCCCTGTTGGGTGCCAGCTGCTTCTTCTGTTAGGCATTTGATCCCCCTAACTCTGAAGTGGGAATCAGCCCTGTTTTTCAGACGAGATAACTTAGGCTCAGAGAAATGAAGTTACTTGCCTGGGGTGAGGAATGAGAACAAGATTTGAACCCAGATCCATCTCACTTCAAGACACTAGCAGTAACAGCCTCTCCTACCCTCTTCCACTCTACCCCAGACCCATTTCCCACCATGCCCACCCCATATGGCCTCTGGTAGAGTTGGTGCCATTTAACCCTTTCTTTGCTTCCTTCCCAGAGTTAAAGGAAGGCTGGAACCCTCACCTGCTGCTTCTCCTCCTGCTTGTCATAGTCTTCATTCCTGCCTTCTGGAGCCTGAAGACCCATCCATTGTGGAGGTGAGGCCAGGGGATGAGGAAGGCAGGGAGGTGGTCAGCCTGGGCCACTGCCCCTGTATGATACATGCAGGGTTGGAAAACATGACTGTCATCATGGTAACAATGATGATGATGGGATAATAACCAACTCACAGCCACCATGTGCTGGACACTGTGGAGGGCACTCCCTTCACCCCCATGGCTGCCCTATGAGCTTGAGACACTGCAGTTGCCCTTATTTTACAAATGGAGAAACTGAGGCAAGGAGATGTCAAGGACAAAGTCACACAGCTCCAAGGTGGAGAAATTGGGATTGAAAATCTGTGCCCTTAAACAGGGACCTCAGCTGTGATCTTGTCCAGTGGATTTTAAGCTTTGAGGCTTAATGGGCTTAAGGGGCCACTAGGTGGTGGTGAAGAGGTGGCTGTAATAGTCCACACCTCTGAAATGGCCTCTCTGCGCACCCCTGGTTGCAGATAAAGAAGTTGAGGCTCAGAAGGGGCAACATTTGCCCAGCACGCAACAGGCAGCCAAGAACATAACCACGATATCCCTTCAGGAGCCTGTGAGGGAGACTTACTTCTCCCATTTTACAGAAGGGGAAACCAAGCCCCAGGGAAGGAGGGAGGCGCCTGGGCTGAGTCTTGGGATGCTCGGAAGCTCCTGTAGGATGAAGCTGGGGAGCGTCCGAATGGGAGGCCAGGCTGCCCTCTGGTGATGTCAGGGTCCTCACCCCTCTCTGCCCCCTCAGGCTATGGAAGAAGATATGGGCCGTCCCCAGCCCTGAGCGGTTCTTCATGCCCCTGTACAAGGGCTGCAGCGGAGACTTCAAGGTGAGCTCCCGACCCTGTGATGAGCTCCTCGGAGCCCCTCCTCCTCTTCAGGAGCCCCACCTCCCCTCACCCCAGGCTCCCCAGCCTCACCCCACAGGCCTAGAGCATCCAGGTCTCAGCCAAGCCACAAGCCAGGCCTCAGTTTCCCCATGTGCAAAGTGTAGACAGTCATTCTTGTGGTGCAGAATTGGCAGAAGAATTAAACAAGATTTGACCAGGTGTGGTGGCTGACATCTGCAATCCCAGCACTTTGGGAGGCCAAAGCAAGTGGACTGCTTGAGGCCAGGAGTTCAAAAACAGCCTGGGCAACATAGGGAGACCCTCACCACCACTCCGCCTCCCCATCTCTACCAAAAACTTAAAAATCATTCAAGTGAGGTGGTGCACGCCTGTAGTCCCAGCAACTCGGGAGGCTGAGGCAGGACGATCGTTCAGAGGCTGCCGTGAGCTATGATCACACCACTGCCCTCCAGCCTGGCCAACAGACAGAGACTATATCTTAAAAAAAAAAAAATCAAAAAGAAAAAGTAAACAAAATAATGCAGCATTGGCCCAGCCCAAGGAACCAGACTGGGATAGGGGGTGAGGCTGGTGGTCTCCTGAGTCACAGATTGCCCCACTGGTCCTTTCTTAGGTGTCCTTAATCTGGGTTGGAGAGGGAATAGGTTCTGGAAAGAGCCTGGCCCACGGGGCAAAACACACTAACATTTGCCAAGCCTCCAACTCACCACCACCCGCCAGCACCCACAGGTTGTCTGTGCCCATTTACAGCCGTGTCACCCACCCTGCAGCAGTGGGAGTGGCTGCCACAGAGAGGATGTGGTGACAGAGGTGGGAGGGCCAGCCCCACCTGCTGCAGCCCAGCCTGAAAGTCAGACAGTGTAGACCTAGACCATTGATTGAGCTCCTGCTGTCTGCCTGGTGCTGCGCTGGACACCCTTCCTGCCTCACTCATTCTCATATTCACAGCAGCCCCTGCAGAGTGGATGTTCCACTGCCCCCAGGGCACCCATGAGGAGGCCAAAGAGTGGGCAGGGAGGAACATGGACCCCAACCCACATAAGACCCACCCTTTCCTCTTCCCTAAAGCTCAAATATCACATTGATTTTGGGTTGATTTTTACCAATACTCATATAGCACTTGCTATATACCAGGCAGTCCCCTAGGAGCATCACAAACAGTGACTCATTTAATCCTCACGACGGCCCTACGGGTGGGTGCTATTATTAGGTCCATTTTACAGATGAGGAAACTGAGGCACCGAGAGGGTAAGTAATTGGCTTAAGGGCACACAGCTGAGAAGCGACTTTGAATCAGTGGTGGTGGCCACATCACAGTTCTGAGATGAGTTTTTGAGGAAGATGAGCTCAAAACAGGGAGATACCCATTCCTGGGGATTTTCCTTGCCAATTGCATGAGGATTCTGGTGTCGTGAGTGGGAGTCCTGGCAGGGGAGGGAAGGGGAGGGTCCTTCAAGTTTAAGGGCCACCGCCTCAGCCAGCATCACCCACATCCTTTATCCTCAAAGTGTACAAAGGCCTTTCCAAGTGGCTTTTCATTGATCCACTCCACCCATTCATTTCGTTAATAAACATTTATTGAGCACCTACTTTGTGCTAGGCACTGGGGCTACAGCCATGGACAGAAGAGACAAGACTTATGTCCGGGGGCCAAGTGTCTGTCTGGTGGGGACACATAAACCAGGAGAGTGCTAGGTTTCAAGAAGCATCAAGGAGGCGGGAAAGCAGGAGATGGCTCAGGGGTACCTCAGACCTCAGGCCCTCCTGCCCCCATGTCTCCTTGACTCAGGAATCTTGGTCCCTGCCTGGACTATGGGGCCACCAGTTGTCTGACTGGTCACACTACTAAGGGTAGCAACTCCCTTCTACAAGTAGGGAAACTGAGGCCCAGAGTAGGAGGGGGATCCACTAGGGTGGGAGCACATTGTGGTCCTGATTCCTCTCTCTCTCTCTGTCTCTCGGTGTCTTTGTCTATCTTCATGTCTCTGTCTGTCTCTCTTGATGTCTCTTTGTCTTGTCTCTGTGTCTGTGTCTGTCTTTCTGTCTGTTTAAACCCTCACCTTGGCTGGGCACAGTGACTCACGCCTGTAATCCCAACACTTTGGGAGGCTGAGGCGGGTGGATCACCTGACGTCAGGAGTTCAAGATCAGTCTGGCCAACATGGTGAAACCACGTCTCTACTAAAAATACAAAAATTAGCCGGGTGTGGTGACAGGCGCCTGTAGTCCCAGCTACTTGGGAGGCTGAGGCAGGAGAATCACTTGATCCTGGGAGGCAGAGGTTGCAGTGAACCGAGATGGCACCACTGCATTCCAGCCTGGGCAGCAGAGCCAGACTGTCTCAAAAGAATAAAAGTAAAAGAAAAATAAACCCTCACCTTACCCTCATCCTGTGCTATGACTCTCTCTTTTTCTCTCTCACAGAAATGGGTGGGTGCACCCTTCACTGGCTCCAGCCTGGAGCTGGGACCCTGGAGCCCAGAGGTGCCCTCCACCCTGGAGGTGTACAGCTGCCACCCACCACGGAGCCCGGCCAAGAGGCTGCAGCTCACGGAGCTACAAGAACCAGCAGAGCTGGTGGAGTCTGACGGTGTGCCCAAGCCCAGCTTCTGGCCGACAGCCCAGAACTCGGGGGGCTCAGCTTACAGTGAGGAGAGGGATCGGCCATACGGCCTGGTGTCCATTGACACAGTGACTGTGCTAGATGCAGAGGGGCCATGCACCTGGCCCTGCAGCTGTGAGGATGACGGCTACCCAGCCCTGGACCTGGATGCTGGCCTGGAGCCCAGCCCAGGCCTAGAGGACCCACTCTTGGATGCAGGGACCACAGTCCTGTCCTGTGGCTGTGTCTCAGCTGGCAGCCCTGGGCTAGGAGGGCCCCTGGGAAGCCTCCTGGACAGACTAAAGCCACCCCTTGCAGATGGGGAGGACTGGGCTGGGGGACTGCCCTGGGGTGGCCGGTCACCTGGAGGGGTCTCAGAGAGTGAGGCGGGCTCACCCCTGGCCGGCCTGGATATGGACACGTTTGACAGTGGCTTTGTGGGCTCTGACTGCAGCAGCCCTGTGGAGTGTGACTTCACCAGCCCCGGGGACGAAGGACCCCCCCGGAGCTACCTCCGCCAGTGGGTGGTCATTCCTCCGCCACTTTCGAGCCCTGGACCCCAGGCCAGCTAATGAGGCTGACTGGATGTCCAGAGCTGGCCAGGCCACTGGGCCCTGAGCCAGAGACAAGGTCACCTGGGCTGTGATGTGAAGACACCTGCAGCCTTTGGTCTCCTGGATGGGCCTTTGAGCCTGATGTTTACAGTGTCTGTGTGTGTGTGTGCATATGTGTGTGTGTGCATATGCATGTGTGTGTGTGTGTGTGTCTTAGGTGCGCAGTGGCATGTCCACGTGTGTGTGTGATTGCACGTGCCTGTGGGCCTGGGATAATGCCCATGGTACTCCATGCATTCACCTGCCCTGTGCATGTCTGGACTCACGGAGCTCACCCATGTGCACAAGTGTGCACAGTAAACGTGTTTGTGGTCAACAGATGACAACAGCCGTCCTCCCTCCTAGGGTCTTGTGTTGCAAGTTGGTCCACAGCATCTCCGGGGCTTTGTGGGATCAGGGCATTGCCTGTGACTGAGGCGGAGCCCAGCCCTCCAGCGTCTGCCTCCAGGAGCTGCAAGAAGTCCATATTGTTCCTTATCACCTGCCAACAGGAAGCGAAAGGGGATGGAGTGAGCCCATGGTGACCTCGGGAATGGCAATTTTTTGGGCGGCCCCTGGACGAAGGTCTGAATCCCGACTCTGATACCTTCTGGCTGTGCTACCTGAGCCAAGTCGCCTCCCCTCTCTGGGCTAGAGTTTCCTTATCCAGACAGTGGGGAAGGCATGACACACCTGGGGGAAATTGGCGATGTCACCCGTGTACGGTACGCAGCCCAGAGCAGACCCTCAATAAACGTCAGCTTCCTTCCTTCTGCGGCCAGAGCCGAGGCGGGCGGGGGTGAGAACATCAATCGTCAGCGACAGCCTGGGCACCCGCGGGGCCGTCCCGCCTGCAGAGGGCCACTCGGGGGGGTTTCCAGGCTTAAAATCAGTCCGTTTCGTCTCTTGGAAACAGCTCCCCACCAACCAAGATTTCTTTTTCTAACTTCTGCTACTAAGTTTTTAAAAATTCCCTTTATGCACCCAAGAGATATTTATTAAACACCAATTACGTAGCAGGCCATGGCTCATGGGACCCACCCCCCGTGGCACTCATGGAGGGGGCTGCAGGTTGGAACTATGCAGTGTGCTCCGGCCACACATCCTGCTGGGCCCCCTACCCTGCCCCAATTCAATCCTGCCAATAAATCCTGTCTTATTTGTTCATCCTGGAGAATTGAAGGGAGGTCAAGTTGTTTGTCAATGATTTGTCAGAGAACCTGTTGAAATGTGAATTAAGAAGCTAAGAAAATATTTCTTAGCAACATTTTCTTTTTCTTTTTTTTTTTTTTCTTTTGAGACAGAGTCTCACTCTCGTCGCCCAGGCTGGAATGCAGTGGTGCGATCTCGGCTCTCTGCAACCTCTGTCTCCCGGGTTCAAGCGATTTCCTGCGTCAGCCCCAGAGTAGCTGGAATTACAGGCACACACCACCACGCCTGGCTAATTTTTGTATTTTTAGTAGAGCTGGGGCCACCCTGGCCCGGCCCCGTCTTCCTCCCCAAAGGTCAGACTGCAGGCTGCAGGGCTGTGCTGGAGGAGCCAGCTCTAGCTCACCCATGCTTTTGCAACAGGGTCGGGTTGGAAGTCAGCACAGGTCAGTCCTGCGGAAGGTTCCTTCGTGACTCATCTGTGAAGTGGGGTGGTTGGGAGAGGTAGCTGAGAGAATGCATGAGAGTCCTCGGTGCCTGGCAGGAGGCTGGAAGGTTCTAGAACACTGATGGTTATAAGAGTGGGACTGTGAGCCTGGGATCGGGGGGTGTGAGACTTGGATGGGAGCACAAGAGTGGAAACACAGCTTCTGCACGGAGCAGGCGCAGCCCTCAACACCCCGTGCACCTGCACCCTAGGGACTCTTGGGTCCAGATGTGCTGTGGTTTTCACACCTTCTTGGGGGCAACAGGTTCCAGGAGCCACCTGTGGGTGCCACCTGAGCCACAGGCTCCCAGGAAAGCAGCACAGCTCTCCTGCACCCAGAGCTTGCTGGGTGGCGGAGGGGAACACAGATGGTTGGGGAAGGCCTGAGGCCAGATTGGGGGACTCTGGACTGGGGCAGATGAGGCTCCTCAGAATCCCACCTTTGAAGGGAACTCAGCTTATAAACACAGAGGAGCAAAGTTGGAGGGCCGGGCGTAGTGGCTCACACCTGTGATCTCAGCACTTTGGGAGGCCAAGGAAGGTGGATCACTTGAGGCCAGGAGTTCGAGACCAGCCTGGGCAACATAGCAAGGCCCCATCTCTACAAAAATTATTATTTTTTAAAAAAATTAGCCAGGTGTGGTGGTGCTTGCCTATAGTCCCAGCTACTCGGGAGGCTAAGGTGGGAGGATCGCTGGAGCCCAGGAATTTGAGGCTGCAGTGAGCTGTGATTACACCGTTGCACTCCAGCCTGGGTCACAGATCAAGACCCTGTCTCTTAAAAATAAAAGTTGGAGACAAGAGCTGGCTCACCTGAAAGGAGGGATTAGTAGGTAGGAGGGTGGATGGAGGATGGATGGATGTGTGGGTGGATAGGAAGATGGTATTAAGTTGGTGCAAAAGTCTTTGATATTACTCTTAATGGCTTTAATAAAAAGCTTGAAGGAAGAATGATTGGTTGGATAGACAGAGATAAATGCATACTGGAAACAAAGATAAAGATAAAACACAAGTTATACCAGGCCAGCAACTCTATTTTGTTCACTGCCTTTAGTCCCAGCCTGGCACATAGTAGGCACTCAATAAAGCCTGATTTGTAGCATTTGCTTATTTCCATGGTGTAATTTCATGCTCCTGATTTGAGTCTAAACACAGAGTTGGGAAGAGATATGCACAATCTGCCCTCCTGGCTGGTATGAGTGAGTCCCAGCTCACCGATGGTAGCCCAGAGAGAACATCAAGAGGAGTAGGGGGCTTCAGGGAGGAGGTGGTGTTGGTTGGACTTCGAAAAATGAATAGGAGGCTGGGAGTGGTGGCTCATGACTGTAATCCTAGCACTTTGGGAGGCCGAGGCGGGCAGATCATTAGAGGTCAGGAGTTTGAGACCAGCCTGGGCAACGTGGTGAAACCCAGTCTCTACTAAAAATACAAAAATTAGCTGGGTGCGGTGGCGGGTGCCTGTAACCCCAGCTACTCAGGAGGCTGAGGCAGGAGAATCTGAGAGATGGAGGTTGCAGCGAGCAGAGATCACACCACTGCACTCCAGCCTGGGTGACAGAGCGAGACTACGTCTCATAAAAAAAAAAAAAAAGGAAAAATGAATAGGCGTTGTTACATGTACCAGCTATTTGGGGCAGAGGGAAGAGCTTGGACAAAGGCCTGGAGGTACGACCAAGGGTCAGGAGCAAGTGGGACAGGCGCTCCTCGCCCTCCAAAGACCAGGCCAGAATTGCTGACAAGACTCACTGAAGAGGAAGGGGGACCGATAGCAACGTCACTTTCCCAGCTGCCGCATTCCTCACCTTGCCGTCTGCAAGCTCTGAGGGGCAGAGTCATCCGTCTGACAGATGAAATGAAGGCACAGCTCAGGCTGGTGACCTGCCTGAGGTCACACACTGAATGAGTGGTCGGAGCTGGAACCAGAACTCTGGGCTTCTGATGCCACTTTCAGCTCTTTTTCACCTTGCTCTGCTGGAACGTACCTAGATCAAGAGGTGAGGAAGGTTTAGCAGACGCCGTGGGTGCCTGCTGCATCTGCCTGTGCAGCAGTTTGGAGACGTGGCTGACCCCAGCTCTGGGAGTGGCTATGTGAACCAGGCCTGCCCAGTAGGACATTTCTTCCCCCTGGCAACAGTACAGTTTAGGGACAGACATACCCTAGCTGGTCCATGCTCTCTTTCTGCTGGGATTACTAAGCTGTAAGGAGGGTACTGGGAGGGGCAGCAAGAAACACACAAGAAAGCAGAGCTGAGAGATGGTAATAGCTCTTGAGATCCCGGATCCAGCCATGCCTGAAACCACGTTTCTCCTGGACCGTTTAGATACATGAGTATGGAAGTCATTATGCTGTTCACCATATGCTGGGCACATGGCAGGATTGTACATCCTGACCCTCTGTAGCCAGATGGGGCCATGTGACTGGCTGGGACTGGGCAGTTGTGAGCAGAAGTGATAAGTCTCACTTCTGGGCAGAGCATTTTTCAGATGGCTACCACACCCCCTGGGGTGTTTTTCCTCTGTCACAGAGACAGATGATGATGGTGACTGCTCCATCTGCCTGGGCACCTGGGTCCTTGAGCAAGGAGATACGGACTGAAGTTTCAGTTCACTTGTGATAGACGTGTATCGTGAGCAAGGAATCAATCCTTTGTTGTTCTAAGCTGCTGAGATGGGGCTGTTTGTTACCACAGCATAACCCTGCCTACCCTAGCTGAATCAATGAGCTGATAAATTTCCTTTTTTGCTTAAGCTGGTTTGAGGTGGGTTTCTGTCCCTTGCAGCAGAAAGTGTTCTAGCATTATTCTGATATTATCCCCACAGTAAGGACTCTCCTTCTATCCTAAGGAAGGACCTTGTATTAGTCCTTGTGTCACTATAAAGAAATACCAGGCTAGGCTGGGATCACGCCTATAATCCCAGCACTTTGGGAGGCCGAGGCAGGCGGATCCCTTGAGGCTAGGAGTTCAAGACCAGCCTGGCCAACATGGCAAAACCCTGTCTCTACTATAAATACAAAAATGAGTCTGGCATGGTGGCACATGCCTGTAATCCCAGCTACTCAGGAGGCTGAGACACGAGGATCACTTGAATCCGGGAGGCAGAGGTTGCAGTGAGCTGAGATGGCGCCACTGCACTCCACGCTGAGCGACAGAAAGATCCTGTCTCAAAAAATAAAAAAGAGAAATACCAGGGTCTAGGTAATTTACAAAGAGGCTTAATTGGCTCTCAGTTCTGCAGGTTGTGCAGGAAGCATGGCACCAGCATTTATTCTGGGTGAGGCCTCAGGAAGCTTCCAATCACAGCAGAAGGCTAAGGGGGAGCCTGCGTGTCACCTGGCAAGAGTAGGAGGAAGAGAGCAAAGTGGGAGGTCCCAGACTCTTTTAAACAACCAGATTGGCTGGGCACGGTGGCTGACGCCTGTAATCCCAGCACTTTGGGAGGCCGAGGTGGGTGGATCACCTGAGGTCAGGAGATCGAGACCAGCCTGAGCAATATGGTGAAACCCCATCTCTGCTAAAAAAAAAAAATACAAAAATCAGCTGGGCTTGGTGGCTTGTGCCTGTAGTCCCAGCTGCTTGGGAGGCTGAGACAGGACAACTGCTTGAACCCAGGAGGCAGAGGTTGCAGAGAGCCGAGATCACACCACTGTACTCCAGCCTGGGCAACAGAGCCATACTCTGTCTCAAACAAAACAAAACAAAACAAAAACAAACAAACAAACCCACCAGATCTCCCATGAAGTGACTGAGCGAGAACCCACTCATCACCAAGGGGATAGTGCTAAGCTGTTCAGGAGGGTCTGCCCCCATGAATCACCTCCCCGCAGGTCTCACCTCCAACGTTGAGAATCACAGTTCAACATGGGATTTGGAGGGGACAAAGAGCCAAACCATATCACCCCATTCAAAGGGCCCAGAAGACCAGGCTCCAAGGGCAAGTCATTTGCTGTCGCTGCGCCTCAGTTTTCTCTTTTATAAAGTGGAGGTTAGGAATCAGCCTCTTGGCTTGCTCCAGGAATGAAAACAGAGGGTGGAGCAAGCCCTTATTAGATGTCAGTTGTCTTAGTGTTTTTGTTTGTTTTTTGTTTTTGTTGTTTGGTTTTTAGACAGAGTCTGACACTGTCACCCAGGCTGGAGTACAATAGCGTGATCTCTGCTCATTGAAACCTCCGCCTCCCAGGTTCAAGCAATTCTCCTGCTTCAGCCTCCTGAGTAGCTGGGATTATAGGCACGTGCCACCACACTTGGCTAATTTTTGTATTTTTAGTAGAGACGGGGTTTCACCATGTTGGCAAGGCTGGTCTCGTACTCCTGACCTGAAGTGATCTGCCCGCCTCAGCCTCCCAAAGTGCTGGGATTGCAGGCGTGAGCCACCACGCCCGGCCAGAGGTGCGTTGTCTTTCTATCATCACCTTGAGCTAGGCTCCAGGTCAGAGGAGAAGAGGGCTGTGGCCCCAGCCCTTCCCAATCTCCTTCCCAGAGAGTTCATAAATGCTTCCCTCCAGATGCCTTGAAGCTTGCACTGCTTTCTGCTGGGATTCAACGAACACATAACCCCAGCTCTCCAACCATCAACAGTTCCTGCGAGATCTCAGCCTGGGATGCTGTCTGGGGGTCCCAGATGCTCTAACAAGGGAAGGAGACAGAGGGAAGTGAAGGCCCAGAAAAAGGCAGTGATTTGCCTGGAGTCCATCATGCTCTGCCCCATTCCTGAGCTCCTTTTGGTCCCCCCGCTGGAGGTGAAAGCCCCTTCCTCCCTCCTATCTGGGGATGTTGTTTGCCTGAGCCCGGCTGCTGGCCCCATGGTATGGCACAACCCTGCACAGCCCACCCAGTCCCAGGGCACCGGTGGAACCCAAGAAGGGGACTTCCGGTGGAAGATGGAGCAGTGAGCACGTGCACTGCCCCTCCCAGGAGCCCATTCCACTGACAGTAAAGGAAGCAGGCGCTTCCTTTAAACTCTCGACAGGAAAGAAAGCAGGCGCTTCCTTTAAACTCTCGACAGGAAAGAACAAGGAGAGGACTTGTCTGCCATCAGGAAACACCCACGCATTCGTGTAAGATGAGAGGATGGAGTCAAGTCTGCTCGGACGTCACCTTCTCCACTCTGGGTTGGGTCCTTTATTCAAAGTGCAACACCCCACTGCCTGGTTTTGTTTTTTCCATCACACTTATTATACCTTCTCATACATTTGTGTTATTTATCCATCATATTTACTGTCTATCGCCACTACAGCAGGGATCTAATTCTCCGCTGGGTCTCAGAGCCTAGAATAGTGCCTGGTATAGAGCAGGTGCTAAAAAATATTGAATAAGTGAATGAATGAATGAATCAATCAATGGTAGAGCAGTGACTGGCAAAGCAGTATGGAGAGAGGAGGCAACCATCTGCCCCAGACCTAGAAAGGGCACAGAATGAGGTGTGGAGATGAAAACAGGCCGCCTCCTGGGGAGTCTGTAATGAGAGCAAGAGCCCTTCCTTCATTGCTCAGACCATGGGGCAATCATAGGTCTTCCCCCTGTGTCTAAGGGTGACAAATGTGAAGGTTCTTTCAAAAATCGATGGCCCCAGGCCAGGCGTGGTGGCTCATGCCTGTAATCCCAGCACTTTGGGAGGCCGAGGTGGGTGGATCACCTGAGGGCAGGAGTTCGAGACCTGCCTGGCCAACGTGGCAAAACCCCGTCTCTACTAAAAATACAAAAATTAGCTAGGTGTGGTGGTGGGCGCCTGTAATCCCAGCTACTCTGGAGGCTGAGGCAGGAGAATCACTTGAATCCAGGAGCCGGAGGTTGCAGTGAGCCGAGATCGCACCACTACACTCCAGCCTGGGCGACAGAGTGAGACTCTGTCTCAAAGAAAAAAAAAAAATTGATGACCCCAGATAAGAAACCCTTTCATCCTACTCTTTAGGGAGTCTCCCAGCACAATGCTGGCTCCCCCCCCACCCCAAAACAAATCCCATCCCTGGAAGGCGGTGTGATGGGGAGGTCCCTGAGGCTGGCAGACTGGGAATACCAGCAGATCCGCTTTCCAGCCTCCAGCCCTGTGGACATGATTTTACCTCCTGCACCTCAGCTTCCTCATCTATGAAATGAGTATACTGATCAGGCAGACGTCTTAGGGCTATTGTGGGGCCAGAAGTTAATGTGTGTAATGTGCCCAGAACAGTGTCTGGCATCTGGCAGATGCTCAGGAAATCTTGTTGCTAGGATATCATCCATTTTATGGATAAGTCATGCCCTGCCCCAGTCAGTTCTTACTGGCCTCACCCTGGAGCCTGTATGGACCAAGAGCACCTGACATTTGGAAACCAAGGCGAAGTAATGGGAAACAGAGACGCTTGGGTGGCTGCTGCCACCTGCTGGTAAGCACTGCAATATGCAGGTGTCGGCTGAAGGCAGTGCCCGCTCGCTCTGCTGTCCAGGGGGAAAGGGCCACAGAAGTGCATCTGCCTGGCGCTTATAAAGGGGACCCTGGACAATCACCACAGCAGCCCTCTGCGGTAGAGAATACGGGCGATGAGGACAGGGTGAACTGGCAGGGGTTTGCTTAATTCAACAAAGGCTGACTTCTACCCTTTGGGTGGATGGACCTGCGTTGGGCATTGGAGGTAAGGAGGGAGACTCCACGCAGGCACATACATGCACACTCACACACACACATGCCCACACACAAATACATACATACACAGCATGTATGTGCACAGATACACACATTCGCGACTTCAAAACGTTTGTGGAGGCCGGGCGCGGTGGCTCACACCACCAACATGGAGAAACCCCGTCTCTACTAAAAATACAAAATTAGCCGGGCGTCGTTGCGCATGCCTGTAATCCCAGCTACTCGGAATCTGAGGCAGGAGAATCGCTGGAACTCGGGAGACGGAGGTTGCAGTGAGTCCAGATCACGCAATTGCACTCCAGCCTGGGCAACAAGAGCGAAACCCTGTCTCAAAAAAAAAAAAAAGAAAAGAAAAAGAAAAAGAAAAAAAAAAAGTTCATGGAAAATGAATTCAAAGATTAAAAATAAGAAACAAACTGTCTTTCTCAACATAAGTTCCATCAAGGTCAAGACACTTTGGTGGGCGATGAGACCAGCCATTCAGCCCCTCCCTGAAAAACTGAGGGTCCTGGGAATTTTACCATGGCAATGCCATCTTTTTACATTATTAACTGAAGAAAAGTGCCCTTTAAAGTTTTTTTTTTCTTTTTTAGGAAACAAAAAGAAGTCAGAAGGAGCCATATCAGGACTATAAGGTGAGTGCCTAATAATTTGTCATGGAAACGCTTGCAAAATTGCCCTTGTTTGATGAGGAGTGAGCAGGGGCATTGCTGTAGTGGAGAAGGACTCTCTGGTGAAGCTTTCCTGGGTGGTTTTCCACTAAAGCTTTGGCTACTTCCTCAAAACACTCCCATAATAGGCATGCTGATGCAGATGTGCCAGGGGGTCGGTGAGTGAGCCGTGCTGAGGGCGTGTTTTATGTTACAGGCCCGGGCTTCCCAGGGCGTGCACAGACAGATATGGATGGAAATGGGAAGAGGGAAAGTGGGAGGGGCCCTGAAGGAGAGGGGCCCACAGGCTTTAGCCAGATTTGAAATGTTGTATTTAACAGACAATGCATTCATGTATTTGCTTATCTAAGAAAAAGAAAAAAGAATTAAGAGTGAGGAGGGCAAGACTGGGGGGTATATGGAAGCTGGGGACACAAAGCCAAGGTGTCCGGGCCTCGTGCAGGTGCCCATCTGGGCTGTGCATTCCCTGGCCTCTCTGCAGGAGACCAGGAGCCACCACCTAGCACTGTTCTGGCAGCTGCAAAAGGGCCAGAGACCCATTTTTGCCCCTTCGTAGGTTTTGTTTGGTAGTTAGTGCTTAATGTTTCTTTCAAATTTGCATTCCTTCACAGCCTGGGCATACACATTTTAGTTTTCCACAGTTGCTATCACTCCCTAGTATTTAACCCAAGGCCCCTTTCCTCTCATTTGTTACCTGCCTGGCCCCTGAAGGCATCTCAGCTCACAACTACTGGTCAATGCTGTGGCTTCTGGAGATTTCTGTGCAGAGCTTGGAGGGGCAGAGAGCTGTCTTGGAAGGATGGATGGATGGATGGGTAGATGGATGGATGGACAGATGAATGAATGGATGGGTAGGTGGATGAATGGACAGATGGACAAATGAATGGGTGGATGGGTAGGTGGGTGGATGGATGGATGGATGGACAGATGAGTGGATGGATGTGTAGATGAATGCACAGATGAATGGATGGTGGGTGGATGGATGGGCGAATGGATGGATGGATGGATGGATGGATGGATGGGTAGGTGGATAGTTGGGTGGATGGATGTGCAGATGGATGGATGGACAGATGGGTGGGCAGATGAGGGGCTTCATGATGGGTAGGAGGGAGGGGAAGAAGCAACAGATTATCCTTGGGCAGAATGGGGATGTGGACTGGTGTTCACAGAAGCCCCATTTCACCATCTGAGAGCTGTCCCCACCATCCCTATGTCCCATCTCCCAACACATGCCCACACTCTCCATCATCTGGGAGGCACAGGCAAAGAAGGAAACTTGCTGAACCCGACTATGCACTTGCATCCGGTGCTCTTCAGCTCATCTGGCCCTCCCTTGAGGGAGATACTCTTCCCCCAGTTTTCAGACGACAAAACGAAGGCTCTGAAATGTGAATGCAGGGTCAGTTTTTTAGGAAACACTTACTGGATTCCCAAACCTTTCTTCCACCATGCCACACTTTCCCAAATAATTAGTATTTGTACAGTATTTTATTTATGAAGCAGACCACATCCACTATTCTACTTGATTGCCTCAAAAAATCCCATAGAACACTATTGTTTCTACACTTGAATGAAACTTTAAAGGGAAAAAAAATAGACACTAAGACCTGACCAGGCTAGGCAGTGCGGGGACTCACTCTCAGGACTCTGACTCCCAAGTCCCTGCCTTTGTCCCTCCTCATCCAGAAGTGTGGCCCAGAGTGACCAGGGCCCTGGTCCCTCGTAGAGGGAGGATGGAGACATAGGTTGGAAGGTGGGTCAGGTCAGGGGTACATGTTCCCCAGAGGGGACACTTTTCTAGGTGAGAGAAGCTGCAGGTGGGTGTGAGACACAGCTGGCCAGGTCGGGGCACATCCCACCTAGAGGGAGTGGCCTCTGCTTAGCACTTCTGACTGCCACAGGCAGGAAGCTAAGCCCATTGTTACTGGAACTTTCCATTTTAAGAGAAGACAGAAATCTGAATTTTTTTTAAAAAAATGTGAACTCTACATTTTAAAAATGTTGGCAACTAACTTAAAAAAATGTAACAATGTGAGCTCAAGAGAACTTCAAGGGGCCAGACCCATCCCGCAGGCCCTGCCAACACCAGCTGTGCTGAGCTGAGCTGATCGTGGGCCTGGCACTGGGCTGGGAGCTGCTCTGTGGGGGACAGGCCTGGGACCAGCTGAGAAGGTGGTGAGGGAGCTGCCTGTGCCCCTCTCCATCCTGGAGGCCATCTCTCACCTGCTGGCTGAGGCTGGGCGGGGCTGCCGAGCTTAGGATCAGGGCCTTCCCTCTTCCTTTGGTTTCAATGGGAACAGCCATTCCAGGTTGTTCTGCAGCCAAAGCAGGGAGTCCCCTAGGGGAATCACTGATTCTTTAGGAAACACACAAAACAGAATGCATTTTACTTCCCTTTAATCAAAAAATAAATAAGTACACTCCACAGGGACTTTTTTTTTTTAATGAGGAAAAAAGGTGAAAGAACAAAATAAAACAAACAAAACCAAAACCTACAGGGACTCTTCATTTCTGGCCTGCAAGGAATCACCAGCCAGGCTGAGGGACACGGACAGCCAGCCCAGCTGGGGCCTGCCAGGTGACTCACAAGGCTGAAAAGGGAGCCGCTCCGCTCTGGGTGGTTCAGTCCCAGCCAGGGGTTGGGATGTCCTGCCTGCGGAGGGGCCACAGCCCCCATGGGGGGCCCCTCGCAGCGGGGCACACCGATCCCTATTCTGCAAGGTGTATCCCACAAGGCCCTTCCTCTTGGTGGCACCTGGGCACTCAAGGAGCCAGGAGATCCTGCCGAGATGGCTAGAGTCTGGAATGTGAGGTGTGCACAGGCGGGGCAAACTCTGGAGACCCAGAGACAAGAAGCACCAACTCCCAGTGTGATGAGGCCAGTTCCCAAGGGGAAGGCCCAGAAGAGCCTGGGGGATGGGCAGGTCGGGGAGCCCCTCTTTCCAGAGTTCCAGTACAGTGGGAAACGTGTCAGTCTGTGACTCTGGCCAAAGCACCCGTCCCCTGCTGCAGGAGGCTCGGCAGACCCAAGGCCAGGGCACAGTGGGGTCTGCCGAGCACCAGGCAGGAGTGGTGTGGCAGGCGGTGGCTGGGAGGGAGGGGACGCCCACAGGGGTCCTAGAGGTGGATCCACTTGTTCCAGTTGACCTCGTGGGGGAACACACGGCCCAGCCGGAGGGTACAGTCCAAGGTGGGCTCATAGAAAGCCATGGGGCTCTCGTCCAGGCTGGAGGGCACTTCCACCTCTTCCACCACGGGTGTAGAGAAGAGCGAGACAGGCCTTGGCTTTCTCAGCCAGCGCTTCCGGATGCAGCCGAGGGACTCCAGGCCCTGGAGACACCAGACACACAGGTTACAGCGGCACTGCCCTCGCCTGCTTGTTGATTTATTCTTCAAGCATTTATGGAATGCCCCCTCTGTACCAGGGAGCCACTTCCCAGAGCAGGGGGCACCTGAACTGGGCATGAGGCAGATGGGGATGTACCAGGAGGGTTCAGGCAAAGGCCCTGGTGGGAGAGGCAGCTGCCTGAGCAGCACGTGTACAGCGCTGGCTGGAGCCACCACGCTGAATCTCATTTGTGGAGGAGAGGCCTGCAGCGCGGGATAAATCCCAGCTTCCTGTGAGCCAAGACTGGCTTCCAGGTGGGGTTTTGTTTGGCTCATGGGGAATTTGACACTCAACTTCAAGCTCCTAGCTGCCAGAGGAGCTGGAGGCCCCAGGCACACATGGGAGTCAGCCAAGCAGGAAGCAGCTGCACCAGGGGGCAGCTGCTTGACCCGTGGGGCCCGGCGGACTCATGAGTTAGTGACCCCTGGCACAGAGAAAGCATCAGAGACAAGCACCCCGGGCACCCCATCTTCCAGCCTGGTCAGCAGCATGGAGCTGGTGAAGGACACTGAGGGACAGCCTGAGAGGCAGGAGCCCAGGACAAGCTGGGGGAGGAGGTGCAGGCAAGCAGTATGGTGGTACTGCATGTTGCCTGGGGCCTGAACATCACAGCCGGGCCACTGAGTGCACCCAGCCGCCTCCACACCCTGCTGAACCCAGGAAGGCCCCACACCTGGAGCAACTCCAGCACGGCGACGGGCTGCAGGACCCCCTGGTAGTGGCGCAGCAGGGAGCTCTCGGGGATGCCAGGCCTGGTCATGATGTGGTACAGCATGGCCTCCATCATACCCTTGCATACAGGAAGGTTCAGGTGGCCATCCACGACACGCCACGGCCGGCCGATGAAGCAGACACTCTCACAGTCCCTGCAGGGAGAGGGCTTGACATCAGGGCTTGGTGGGGGCAGGAGGGCAGCTCGTCCAGACAGAACACTGAGGCTCAGGGGCGTCCTAGGCCTGGCCCAGGTCACAGGGCTGAGACCAGCCACCTCTTGCTCTCTGCTTTCCAAACTCCCTGCTTCTCTCCTGTCTGGACAGAGGGGCCCTTGACCGCCAGCTGGGTGGAACCAGGACGTGGTGTCCGCTCTGATGTAGCTGTAACTGAGGCCTCAGTGGGCCCACCCACATTGGCAGGAGAGGGACAAGGGTTGTGACTCCTGGACTTGCCAGCTCTACTGGCAGCCCAGGCAGAAACCACCTCCAGGCTGTGGCAAAACTCACGGGAGCGTGACCCTGAAGCTCTGCTCCACGCCATGTGCAGAGTTCCAGGCACACTTTCCTCGAAACAGACGTTTCTGTTACTAAACCAGAGACTGAACAGCCACCCGGGGCCCACGAGTGGGGCGGACCCAGAAGAGCTGGACACCAGGCTCTCATCGCTATGGCTGGGCCTTGGAGGGGGCACACCTGAGCTCTTGAAAGCCAGGACACAGGGCACTTGGGCCCTGCCAATCTGGGGTCAGCACACACACTCATGGGAGGCGCCCCCACCAGAGGGGCTTCTGCGGCCCCCTTGCTTCCTGTAACTCTGTGGCATGGTTGTCCCGGGGGCAGCTGGGCATTCAGGGCTTATCCCTCTGTGGACCCCTGGCTCATCTGCAGGAGTGGGTGAGGTGCCTGTGGGCCATGAGGAGCCAGTGAAGCACAGCTGACAGCACCAGGCATGGTTCTCCACCAGCGCCCTGGGCATTCTGGAAGCGCAGCCCTCATTCCAGGCCGACCTGGGCACTGCCAGTGCTCAGCACGCCTGCTGCTCGCCCACTGCGCCCCTCCAAGTACCCCTGCCAAGAACCAAGGTGCCGGGCAGGCTGTCAGAGCTGGTACCTGGGGAAAGACCCTCAAAGACCCTCACACAAATCCTTACACTCGGTCCCTGTCAAGAGCCCCGCCCCAGGCCCCGGAGCCAGAACCCCACACCCACCTTTCCCGTGCTGCCTGGGAGATGTTGGCAGCTCCGAAACTCTCTGTGAACCCTGAGGGAAGAGGAAGAGAATGTGAGAGACTCGGAAAGTCAGGGAAGCCATCTCTGCCCTCCAACCTTCAGCATGGTACCTAGCATGAGCAGGGCACCTCGAGGCTCAGGGGATGAAGTGTCAAAAAAAAAGGACAATGAGCATCTCACAGAGCGGCCACCCTGGAGGTGGCAGGGCCGGGCAGACTGCCGCACACAGCGCCACATGCAAGCAGCGTCCCAGGCCCGGACAAGCCCCACATTGCAGGAAGCCAGCGAACACCTCATTTTCCACCCAGAAGCCCCGACCACAAGGGTGGTATAAAACCCGAGGCAAAAACACCCCAAAGAAAACAAAAACGCCCAGAGAAGCCACATGAGAAGGCCGCTGCTGATGACAGACGTGCAGGAAAGGAAAGGGCGTGCTGCCACCCGAGGAAGTTGAGACCCCCATGCCATCACTGCCCCACAGCAGCCGCTGCAGTGCACACGCTGGCCCCACCGCCTGAGCTCCTGCTCTGGAACTCACAGTGCTGCCTGGGGATGTGGGAGGCCTGCCCTCCCCTGGAAATGCATTTACAGGCAGTATCCTCCCCCTCAGGGCTCAGGCTCTGAGAAGCTGAAGTCAAGCCCCTTTTGTGCCAGTGGCAGGTCCCCCATCCTCGGAGGAAGGTGTGAGGCCCATCAGGGCGGAGGGGAGGGAAAGCCAGGGTGGGGTGAGGTGGGGTGGGGGACAAGGCGCGCGGTACCTCTGGGGTCTTCAGAGCCCTCTGGAGGCTGCGCCTGGCCGCTCAGCTGCTCTTGGCCTGGGGAACTGAACTCACCGACACCCTCTTGGTCTTCCTGTGCTGCTCCCGCTGCAGCGGTGTCTTCAAGAGCTGGGGGTGGAGATGGGGCCTGGGCTTCTGCCCCATCTTCAGCTCCGGGCCCAAGGCTGGGGGCCAAATTTGAGTCCTGGAGCGCTGGCCTCTTGGCAGGGGTCATCTGGGTGCCCTCGGCGTCGGTCTCCCCATTCTCACTGGCCCAGCTGGCGCGCCTCTTGGTGCCCCGGGGGCTGTGAGAAGGAGGTGCCTGCCCCTCGGGGGGGCTGTCCTCACTGGAAGACCCCTCCAGGGGTCTGGCCTGGGGGTCTTCTCTCTGGATGTCGGCGTCTTCTCTGTCTTTCAGCCGCACGGAGTGCAGGAGCCAAGGCCAGGCAGAGCCCATGGCTACCAGGCGCGCAGTGTTGCCACCGACCTCCAGCACCTGATGCTGCTCCAGGAGGGCCTGGGGAGGCAGGAGACACGCGGGGTCTGTGGGGAGCTCGGGATCCTCCACGCTGGTGACGGGGGACGAGTGGAGTGGCCTCCCCTGACTGGCGGGTTGAGTGCCCTGAGCAGCCCAGGCCCACGAGGCAGGCCTGGCTCCTAGCCCCGGGGCTGCCCCTTGCTAGCCCTGTGCCCTGGAGCAGCATCTCTTTCTCTCTGGCTGCTCGTGAACCACGTCAGCCGTGTGACCTTTGGGGATCCACAACTGTACCCTCAAAGCGGATGTGAAATGCCCCAGTTTTCAAGTGTTAATGACTAATTCAACGTTTAAAAAGAACGCAGCATGCTATGCCCCAAATCAAGCCCATCCTCAGTGTGCACCTGGCCTGGGAGCTGCAATTTCCGCTTCGGTGATATCCGGCTAACCTAAAGCACAGCTCACCTGGATGCAATCTGCGAATGTCCTGGTGCGCCCACCACCTGCCTTCTCCAAGGCCGAGAACCGTCTGCGCAGCTCCTCCTTGTCAATCCCAAAACAACCCGTGGCTATAATGGCTTCCAAGATCTCCAAGGCAGCAGTCAGGTCTTCGGGACTATACCCAGACAGCTCCAGCTGGAGGACAAACTCCTCCAAGCTGCAGGTGTTTTCCTGGGGGTTTATCAGCTTGGTGAACGTATCAGGGAGGCAGGAGGTTCCCATTGTTAGCTCTTCCAGAGGAGCGGCTGTGGGGACACAGAGGAAGATCAGAGGCAGCCCGACAGAGGCCCCCCTCCCCTGACCAATGCACAGGCCACACCCAGGAAAGGCATGCTCCAGCACCAACTCACTGCTTCCCCGACAGCCACAGGGGTCACCTGCTGGGTGGACACACTGGGCCCCTGGCAGTCAGGCTCCTGATCCGTGACCCTAGGCCTCTGACTACAGCTGACTGGGACACAACAGCTGACTGGATTTCTCTTGGCCACTGTGATTCTCCTGCTCAAGATGTAAAGTGAAGGGCACAGAGGCCGAGGACTGAGGTTCGAGAACTGTAAAGTCCAGTGCTCTGACGGGGAGTCCCTGACCAGGGCTGGCCTGGTCCCATCCCTTCCTGCTGCTCATGTACCCACTGTTCCTTAGACCCTGTGAGATACTCCAGGCCCCTTCTACACACCCTACTTTTGCCTACACTAGCCAGGGCTGGCTACTGTTGCTTCCTATAGAATATGTCTCTGCTAAAGCCATAATTGATAGGTTATCACTACATTTTTGCCCAGTCCAAACTCCAAAGTATAGAATTCTAACTGTGGTTATGAAATGTACAGTGAACACCATCAACTTCAACAGCGCACCTCACTTCACTGTGCTTCACGGATATTGTGTTCTTGGGTTTTTTACATACTGAAGGCTTGCGGCAAGTCTGCATCAAGAGAGTCTACGGGCACCACTTTCACAACACCGTGTGCTCGATTTGTGTCTGTCACGCTTGGGAATTCTCAGAATATTTCAACTTTTTCATGATTATCATATCTGTGATGGTGACCTGTGATCAGTGATCTTTGCCCTTACTATTGTAATTGTTTTGGGGCACCACAAACCATGCCCACATAAGACAGCAAACTTAATTAATAAGTATCATGTGTGTTCTGGCAACTCCAGGGACCAGCCATTCCCCATTTTCTTCCCTCTCCTGGGGCTCCCTATTCCTGAAACACAACAATATTGAAGTCAGGCCAGTCAATAACCTTACAGTGACCCCTCTGCATTCAAGTGAAAGGAAGAGTTGGACATCTCTCACTTTACATCAAAAGCTAGAAAATATCAGGCTCTGTGAAGAAAGCATGGTGACAGCCAATATAGATGAAAACTGGGCCTCTTGTGCCAAAGTTAGTCAAAGTTGTGAAGGCAAAGGAAAAGTTCTTGAAGGAAATTAAAAGTGCTACTCCAGGGAACACACAAACAATAATAAAGCAAAAACAGCCTTGTTGCTGACATGGAGAAAGTTTCAGCAGTCTGGATAGATCAAACCAGCCACAACCTTCCCTTAAGCCAAAGCCTAATCCAGAGAAAGGCCCTAACTCTCTTCAATTCTATGAAGGCTGAGAAAGGTGAGGAAGATGCAGAAGAAAACTTGGAAGCTAGCAGAGGTTGGTTTATGAAGTTTAAGGAAAGAAGCCGTCTCCGTAACATAAAAGTAAAAGGTGAAGCACCAAGTGCTGATGGAGAAGCTGCAGCAAGTTCTCTAGAAGCTCTAGCTGAGATCAGTAATGAAGGTGGATACACTAAACAGATTTTCAATGTGCACAAAACAGCTTTATGTTGGAAGATGCCATCTAGGACTTTCATGGCTACAAAGGAAAAGGCAAGGCCTGGTTTCAAGGCTTCAAACGACAGGCCACTCTCGATAGGAAGTAATGCAGCTGGTGACTTTAAGTTGAAGCCAGTGGTCATTTCCCATCCCCAAATTCTTAGGGCCCTTAAGAATTACGCTAAATCTATTCTGCCTGTGCTCTATAAACAGAACAGCAAAGCTGGATGACAGCACATCTGTTTACAATGTGGCTTACTGAATATTTTAAGCCCACTGTAGAGACCTACTGCTCAGACTAAAAAGATTCCTTTCAATGGTATGCTGATTCATGATGCCCCTGGTCACCCATGAGCTCTGATGGAGATGTTCAAGGAGATGAATGTTGTTTTCATGCCTGCTAACACAACATCCATTCTGTACCCCATGGATCAAGGAGTCACTTCACTTTCAAGTCTTATTATTTAAGAAATACATTTGATGGCCGGACACAGTGGCTCACGCCTGTAATCCCAGCACTTTGGGAGGCTACGGTGGGTGGATCACCTGAGGGCAGGAGTTCAAGACCAGCCTGCCCAACATGGTAAAACACCATCTCTACTAAAAATACAAAAATTAGCCGGGTGTGTTGGTGGGCACCTGTAATTCCAGCTACTCGGGAGGCTGAGCTAGGAGAATCACTTGAACCTGGGAGGTGGAGGTTGCAGTGAACTGAGATCATGCCGCCGCACTCCAGTCCGGGCGACAAGAGTGAAACTCTGTCTCAAAGAAAAAAAAGAAAGAAATACATTTCGTAAAGCTATAGCTATTATAGTGATTCCTCTGATGGATCTGGACAAAGGAAACTGAAAACCTTCTGGAAAGGAGCCACCATTCTAGATGCCATTAAGAACATCTGTGATTCATGGGAGGTGGTCAAAATACCAGCATCAACAGGAGTTTGGAAGAAATTTATTCCCACTCTCATGGATGACTTTGAGGGGTTCAAGTCTTCAGCGGAGAAAGTAACTGCAGATGCCTTGGAAATAACAAGAGAACTAGAGGTAGAGTCTGAAGATGGGATGGAACTGCTGCAATCTCAGGATCAAACTTGAACAGATGGGGACTTGCTTCTTATAGATGAGCAAAGAAGGTGGTTTCTTGAGTTTCTTGACATAGAATCTACTCCTGGTAAAGACGCTGAGAACATCATTGAAATGGCAACAAAGGATTTAGAATATTACATAAACTAGGTCTGGCATGGTAGCTCATGCCTGTTGTCCCAGCACTTTGGGAGGCCATGGCGGGAGAATCCCTTGAGGCCTGAGACCAGCCTGGGCAACAGAGGAAGGCCCCGTCTCTACAAAAAATTAAAAAATTAGCTGGCTGTGGTGGCACATGCCTATAGTCCAAGCTACTTAGGAGACTGAGACAGGAGGATGACCTGAGCCCAAGAGCTAGAGATGACAGTGAGCTATCATCGTGCCACTGCACTCCAGCCTGAGCAACTGAGCAAGACCCTAAAAAATAGGCTTGGTGTGGTGGTTCATGCCTGTAATCCCATCACTTTGGGAGGCGGAGGTGGGAAAATCACTTAAGGCCAGGAGTTTGAAACCAGCCTGGGCAACATAGCGAGTCCCCGTCTCAATCATTTCAAATAAATAAATAAAAATAAAAAGTAAAGTTTCAAAGGTCATCAACAGAACTAAAATAGTGTCAAAATTGGAAGTAAAGGAGGCAGGAGATCATGAATGTGAGCGGAATACTTATCTTTCCTAGCAAGGGGTCAAAAGATAATACCTAAAAGTTTCCTAAGAGCACACACTTTAGAGTTGCAGAGCTAAGCACCAGGAGACTAGAGCCCGGGCAGTGACAGGGCCGCCCGTGGAGAGTGGGCGGGGTGGGGAAGCGGAAGTGCTCTGCTCTTCCTTGTGAGCCCACCTGAGTGACTGCTGGTGCCTGCAGCACAGCTGTGACTAAAAGAGGCGGTGCGGGGAGCTTTCCCACAGAGGTGTGGGCACAGCACAGGCACCTGGGGAAGGCATCCCTTGAGTTGGCTGCAAGGATGGGGTGTGTTTTTCTGTGTGTTCTGTGGCTGCACGCCTGGCCTGGGGAGCCTGAAGGTCTAGGTCCCAGGCCAGGCCTCAGGGTCTTCCTGGATGATGGCGAGGCCAGGCCCTCCCACAGCACCAGCAGGAGCACTCACCAGCGGGCCTGAGCCGGGCGGGCACAGGGGTGCAGCGGAGCTGGAACTTCATCTGGCAGGAGTTGACCACAATGCTGTCGTTGGGGTTGAGGTTGCGGGTGCTGACGATGCCGGGGGAGTAGTAGCCCCTCATCAGCAGGTAGTTGGTGTGGGAGGCTTGCGCAGGTTTCACCTCCATGCTCCGGCGCTTGCCCCCTACACCTTCGTCCAAGTCATCCTCTTCATCCTCGTCATCCTCCAGGCTGCCGTCCTTCCCCAAGCTAGAAGGGAATTGTGACCTGGATACCTGAGCATAGGCCAGCCAGTTGCTACTGCAGCCTCTCCCCTCCCTCAAGAGGCCTCTGTGGCTGGGCTTCAGCAGTGGCCCCAGCAACTGGCTATGCTTCATTACCAAGGCTGGTGTGGATGGCTGCCCCAGATCCATCCCCTTTCCCACCTTCCCGTGCACCGCGCTCACCCCTTGTCACATAGCTGTATCTCTGTGGGGACTGTTCCTTTTGCCCGTCTCTCAGCCCAGAAAACACCCATTTCCCCAGGAAGCCCCAGTTCTGTTGCGAGGCCCTCAGGAACAGTCCTCCCTTCTCTTCCCTGCCCCTCCCCTGCCCCGCTGTGCTGCGTCCTTCTCTTTGGCTGATTCCCATAACACCTGGGAGGCACCAGCAGAGGACACCTTAGACACCGGCCTATAATCCCCAGTCACTCATCTGCAACTCCCATCCCACAAGCTCCCAGAAGGCACTGCTGACCCCTGCCCGTCTGTATCTGGCCAATGCCTAGCACGTGGCCAGACCTGATGCTGCGGATGCCGGACTCTTACCTTTTGATGACCTCATTCTCCACCATTGAGCTGTCTACCACGATGATCTGCTCCGGGATCCTGACATCCACAGAAATGAGGCCCAGAGAGAAGAGGGTCAGGACGGCCACACAATTTCCTCCAGGGCCGTCCAGTGAAAAGGCCACCATGTCGTTTGTGGGCTCGTTATTATCCTGGTCTTTGAAAGAGAAACGATCAGGCTGGTCCAACTTGCCGGCAGCCCGCATTCTGTCCAAAAACTGGAATGACTCCGTGCAGATGGTGCTTGGAAATCGCCACGTAAAAATCCTACAGACAAAAAGAAAGGAAGGGCCTGACTGAGGGCCAGCTGTGGGAAGCCTTCATTTGGATGGACTATGAGCACGTCAAACCATTATGGTGAGAACTAAGCAAAACGCCCCACTTCTTCCCTAAAGCTCTCTGTCCCATCCCAGATGAAGGTGCTGCATTCCCACCTAGCGGTGTTTGTGTCTCTCTTCCCCGCTTGCCTGAGTACCTTCCGGGCAGAGTCCTGTCTCCTCATCTAATTCAATGTGGCCTCACCTGGCGCTCCAGGAGGGCGCTGGCAGGCTCACCTTACAGGGGCTCACTGTACACAGCTGCTGAACTAGGGATGGTGAACACGCTTTCTGTAATAATAGTCTCCGCACAAAGCCAGCCCTGGTCTTACACATGTGCCCAAGCTGTCTCCACGCAGTGCCTGGTGAGTCACTTCCCCGGCTCTGTCCAGAGAGCAACATTCCATGACCCTGCTACCAGGGTCAGAGGGAGGGACCAAAAAGGCCTTCCTTGTCTGTGACCACTGCCCTCGGTTCAGATGGGGACATGCGGTCAGAGCAGTGTCTCCGTGACAAATGGCCTTGTTGGATTTGGGCACGTATCTTCTGCTGCCACACCTACTTCCCAGAGGCCTGAGGGTCATTCGGGGTCAGGGTCTGGGGAGGAGGAAGTGTCTGCCGTCGTGGGGAAGGGATGGGATCAAAGAACCAAAAGAAGATTCATGGTGCTGTCTCTGAGCATCTGACTGCAGCCCCGTGCAGACCTGAGTGCGGGGAAGGAGAATGGTGTGAAGGGGAAGCCGTCAAGACGGCAGCTTAGGAATGTTCTCAGGGACTCTCTGCGTGTGGTCAGGAGGCTGGTGGTGCAACGCCCTCTGCGGCATGAAGCCACACTGCAAGAGCGCTTCAGGAGGGAGCCCCAGGAGGATGCCTGTCTGAATGCACCTCCGCACCCCAATCCTGCACTGGCTGTTGGTGCTGCGAATGGGCCCAGGAGGCTTCCCAGGTCTCAGGGCTACGCGGAAGAGGGACTGAGGCTATGCTGGAACAGGAGGGTGGACTTCCAGCCAGGCCAATTATTAAATGCAAACTGATTTCACTCCATCTGACGAGAGAAACGGAAACAAACCACCTGCAAAATGGTAACGCCGCCAACACAAAGAAGCTGCCAGCGCTCACCTGATCCCCATACCACGAAGGAGGTAAGGGGCTGCAGGAAACCCAAGCCGGCATCTTGCACATGAGGCTGCGAAGGTCCCTGGCTCCTACACGCTTTCATGGCCACAGTGCTTCCTTTGCTCCTCTTTACAGACAGGGCGTGGCTCCACCTCGGAGTACCCAAGGCTCCTGACAGGTACTCACCTGTAGTAGGTCTGGGATAGCTGGTAGGACATTGGCACGAAGGGGAGGGCCCGGTTCTTCTTGGGGCCCAGCGTGTGGTTGACCCGGCGCCGGTTGACCAAGCTCCTCTTCTGGCACTCCATGAAGGCCTTCACAAGAACGTGGTCCTTGTACTCCCGATAGAGGCGGAAAGTCTGCAACACAGGGCGGCGAGGGTGAGTAGGGTTCTCCAGCCGGCCACGGAGAGGGCTGGGGTATGTGGAGGCAGAGGCTGCGGCTGATGCTTTATAGAGGAAGTGACCGATCGTGGGAGGCCCAGGCTGGCGTATGTGTGTGTCAGTGAGTGTGTGTGTGAGTGTGTGTATCAGGGGGAGGGGTGCTGAGGAAGTCAGCAATCCCAATTCTCGGACCACCACGTCACACTTCCAGAGACCACAAAGGACAGGGAACTGACGAGACAGGGGGGCTATTCACTCCCAAGCCGATTTCTTTTGGATGCAGACAGAGGGAATCAACACAGAATCATCTCGTCTACCACTCTGTCCCTTGGCCTCCCACCCAGCCAAAAGCACGTCAGGTGGGCTCTACCTTCCAATGCATCGGGTTCGTGCCACCTGCACTGGCCCATCTAGTCTATGCCACTGTTCTTTCTCACCATGGTCCCCAGCTGACTGGTCTCCCTCCTTCCCCATGTCACTTTCCCCAATCCCTGACCATTCTCCACAGCAGCCAGAGTAATCCTTCCATGCCTAAATCAGACCACACATTCCTGCCCTGCCTCAAAACCCCCAAGGACTTCCCTCTGCAGATGTGACCACAACCAGTCCTTCACGACAAGGAGCCTGATAAGTGGGACCCTGCCCGCCCAGCCACCACTCTGGCCTCACGTCCCCCAACACCACCCCTCGCTCACTGCCCTCCAGCCTCCTGGACCTTCTTACATTTCTTGAAAAAGCTGAGGCATCCTGCCTTGGGGCCTTTGCCCTGCCGCTCCCCTAAATCTTTGCCTGGCTGATTCCTCAACATTCAGGGCTCAGCCCAAATATTTCCCCTCAAATAACAAATCCCTCTCCATTCTCCTCCTCTGAGGTCAATTGCCTTATATTATCCTGTTTTATTTTCTCCATAGCAGCCACCTGAAACAATCTCATTTGCTTACTCATTGTTTGGAAGTCCCAGGAGAACACAGATTCAACTCCTTTTTTTTTGAGCCAGGGTCTCACTCTGTTGCCCAGGCTGGAGTACAGTGACACCAACATAGCTCACTGCAGCCTCGACCTCCTGGCTCAAGCGGTCCTCCTGCTTCAGCCTCCTGGGTAGCCGGGACTACAGGCACTATGCCTGGTTAATTTTTGTATTTTTTGTAGAGATGGGTTTTTCACCATGTTGCCCAGGCTGGTCTCAAACTCCTGGCCTCATCCTGCCTCAGCCTCCCAAAGTGCTGGGATTACAGGCGTAAGCCACCATGCCTGGCCTAGATTCAACTCTTGCTGTTGCCACCCCAGTGCCTAGGCGGAAGGAAGTACCTCTGCTGGACATGCCATGGTGACTTCATGGCTCAGCCTGCTAAGTCTCATGGACCTGGGCCCCGCCTAGTGAACAAGCAGCTCAAAGGACTGTGCAGTCAGCAGAGTCTCTGTTACTCCAAGCTTCTGCAAAGGGCAAGCAACCAGCAGTTCCTGAGTATCTAGCATTTGCCATCCTCTGAGAGAGCTCCTATAGGACTGTCTCCTCAAAAGCACTGGCCAAGAAAAATCCCTGTCATGGTCTAAGGATTTTAGGTGCTGCCCCCAGGACCTTCAGTGACAGAGGAGGCTGAGGCACATGGACTTTAAGTGATCCTCTGAGGTCACACTGTCAGGCAGGGGTGGGTCAGAGGAGAGAAGAGCAACCTCACCACTGCACCTTCCTTCCAGTGGAGGGACACAAGGGGACCGGGGACCGGTGCGGTGGTCAGCTGGGGCTCTGGGGCAGCACCCAGGTGTTCCCTGGAGCGTATCTGAATGAAGCCTGTGCAACTTGCTTCCTCTAGACAGCACCTGTGCGCCAGTCCTGGGCATGCAGACCATCAGACCTTATGGGGGAACACTCTCCATGTGGTGGGCGGGAGAAGCTGGGAGTGGCCATTACACCATCATCCTTCCCTAGAGCACTGGAGGGAAGCTGCATCTCACTCCTTGTGACAAGCCTTCTGTGACTTTGCTCTTCTCTTCCATTTGAATATAACTAGCGAATGGGTGTATTCCCACATAACAGGATAGGAGCGCTCAGGCCATGTGTGGTGAGTTGGGGGGTATCGTCCACCCACTCACATTTCCAAGAGGCTGGGCTGTCACAGGCACAGTGAGCCCACCTGCAGCCTTCCACTGGCTTCCCGGAACCTTGAGGGGAGCCTCGCGGGGTCCCCTATGGGGCTCTGACATTGCTGTTGGCCTTCCAGTCCTCACTCAAGAGTCACTAAAGAAGTGTCCTGTTTCCTGCTCGGGGAGGGAGGCTACGCAGGCCGGTGGTCTTTCTAAGGTGACTTTCCATGCCCCTGGGGGTTAAGGCAGAGTGACTAGGCCTTCGGTACCACACATCAGAGCCCAGGTGCCACCTGGAGATGGAACTGGAACTGGAGGAGGAAAAAGCCGTGGGAATAATACTGGGGATGGGCCTGGCTAGAAGGCAGGGGGCCCAGCTTTTGCCGTTGGGGCTGGGCTTTCTTGTTTGGAGGTGGGGTACAGTGGGAAGGATCCCCAAAGTCCCCTCCAGCTCTGAGCCACTAATCAGCAGGATAGCTGGAAGGCCCACCCCACAGCCAGAAGTCGGAAATTTGGACTCCTGTGTGCAATGTTGGAAAAAACATTTTTTGAAAAAAAAATTTTGTTTTTTCCTTTTAAACAAGCGTGAGACCAATAAAATACGGTCTGTGGACTGTTTATTTGGAACTTCACCCAATACTATTTATTCTTTTCTCTGCAAGTTCAGGCTCAGACAGGGCTTTGCTTTCATCTACAAAATGCTGGGGTGGCAGAGGGCGCACGGCACAGATACTAGCCTTCCACTCCAAATGTGTACACTTGACCGTATGTGTAAAACAGGCAGGAGGAAATAAAACACAGGGTTCAAGGGATGCACAGCAAGTGTATGAGGACATTTCTCGGGCCTCCCTGATTGATGGTCCCATGTGTCCCTGCAGGAGGCACAGAGAACCTCCAGGTGGTGATTAAAACAGGAGAAATCAAATGCACACTCTGTCTTGGGTGTGCTGAGGTCTGGCCATGGCCGTTAAAGACTAGGGCCAGGGTGCTGCTCTGAAGCAGGGCATTCAAGCCCAGCGTGGCATTTTCCTGAACCAGTTCCATTTCCCCCAGTCCTCCCTGCCCCGCTGTGGCCAAAGTAACAAGCACGTGCAGCGCCCCGCCAGGGTCAACACTGCTGTTTCTGCAAGGGTGGCCCATGGGCCCCTTCGGGATTGGGGAGGGGTGGCACACTCTTATCAGGGCCCCACTCCACTGCTCTTGACTGGAGTCTCTGAGAATAGGGCTTGGGCTTAACATGCTATAAGATCTCTCTGTGGACTGTGAGGCGCCCTAATGATCGGGTCCTCACCCATCTGAATTCATCGGCGGGATTAGGAAAGTCCCTTTGTTTTCTTATTCTTTTTTCCCCTCGTATTCCAAATCAGGTGACTTGTTAATGTAAGCCAGGAGCAGATTTTTAGGGTTAGTGATTAAATACAAAATGAACGGGTCCTCCTTAGAATTCACTTTTGATGACTTGGGGGAGAACGAGGCCCTGGGCAGCACTGGCAGGGGACCCTCAGCACCTCTCTGTTGGGGTCTTGGGTGATGACTGAGATATGTGGTCTTGGGTGTGTGATTTAACTTCTCTGAACCTCAAGTGCCCACATTTGTATAAGAGTAGTAAGACCACTGACTTCCCAGGCTCCACCGGGGGTTCGATGTGATTTCCCTTCCTCACTCTCATGTTCTTTCAGCCGCAGTAGAGCGGCCGCGTGGACCTGTGTCCTCGGGAGACAGATGACTCACTGCCCACGGAAAGGCAGCTTTCCCATCCAGTGACCTCCCACAACCAGAATATCTTGGCATTCCAAAGTGATGATTTGAAAAGCTATGCCGTATAGCTCAATTACTTTCTCAGGTCCTTTGCCATGCCTCATTTCCTCTCCTGCTTCATTTTCTGTCTTAAACATTAGACTTAAAAACCTCAGCTCTGGGAGGGATTGTGGAGGTCACTAGATCCCATCCCCATGCTTTAAAGACTAAAGAGAGAGATGAGGAAAGCTGGCCAAGGGGTGCAAAGCTTCAGTTCTATGAGATGCTAAGCCCTGGAGGCTCACAGCTTGGTAATGACAGGTGACAATCTGGTGCTGTACACTTGAAATGCACCAGGAGGAGAGATCGCCAAGTGTGCTCACCATAATGAGAAAAGGTACTATGTGGGGTGATGGATGTGCTAATTGGCTTGACTGTGACGATTATTCTGCAATGTATACGTACATCAAATCCTCCAGTTGTATAACATAAACATACACAATAAACACAAAGAAATAAAAATAAAACAACGATAAAAAAATAAAGTTGAAAGACATGTGGGCTGGCATTTTGGGGGAATCAGCCCAAGAGCCCACAGCGGAGAAGGGCAGGGGCCAGCACCTCACGAGCCTGGCCTCGGAAGGGCCCACATCCCCGCTGTGCTGCCGGGCAGCCGACACCCACCTGGAATGACTGGTAGGACTTCATCTGACTGTCTGAGAGGGCCAGCGTGCTCTGGATCAGGTTCTGAAGCACCAGAAAGTGGATGTCATCCACGCTGAAAGAGAGGGGGCAGCAGGGCACCATGAGACCACAGGCACTGCTCAGCTCAGGCAGATGCAATTCTTAGGGAAAAAAACTTGAATCTCACAAAAGGGACACAAATGCCAAAACTATTCACAAAAGAAAACACAATATATGATGGTTTCTAGGCTTTACTAACAGGTCCATTTCTGCAGGAGAAAAGTTTCTTTTAGTAGATAGGGGGTGACCTACCTGGAACGGGTTTACATGACCACTAATAAATGTAGTTAGTACTTCTCGTTTCTTTCCCTCTAATTCTAAACGAGTTTTTCTCCGAAGAAAAAAGGTTTCTCACTGAAATACAGAGCTAAAATCAAAGTGACTATTGATTATCCAAGATGGAAAAACAAAACCTGGGCTTTTGGAACTGAGTTTTGCTTGGAAAGCTCATGGGTTCAGAGTTTAAATCCTTTCCTCAACCTACCTTAAGGCTTGGCCAGTGATATTCAAGGCTAGGGGGTCAGGAACTTTTCCTCTAAAGGGCCAGTTAATACATGCTTTAGCCTTGGTGGGCTCTATGGAATCTGTTCCAACTATAGCTGACCCTTCTGCAATGCGGTCTGAACTGTGCAGATCCACTTATACATAGATTTTCTTTCACCTCTGCCACCCTAGAAACAGCAAGACCAACCCCTCCTCTTCCTCTGTCCCTTCAGACTACTCAAAATGAAGACAACAAGGATGAAGACCTTTAAGATGATCTACTTCCACTTAGTGAATAGTAAATAGATTTTCTCTTCCTTTTTTTTTTTTGAGACAGAGTTTTGCTCATGTCGCCCAGGCTTGAGTGCAATGGTGTGATCTCAGCTCACTGCAACCTCCGTTTCCCAGGATCAAGCGATTCTCCTGCCTCAGCCTCCCCAGCAGCTGGGATTACAGGCACCTGCCACGCCCAGCTAATTTTTGTATTTTTAAGTAGAGACGGGGTTTCACCATGTTGGCCAGGCTGGCCTTGAACTCTTGACCTCAGGTGATCCGCCGGCAGCGCCCTCCCAAAGTGCTGGGATTACAGGCGTGAGGCACTGTGCCTGGCCCCTTATTTTTGTTAACAGTTTCTTTTCTCTACCTTATTTTATTGTAAGAGCACAGTATATAACATATGTAAGATACAAAATATAAATTAATCAACTCTTTGTTATTGATAAGGTTTCTGGTCAACAGTAGGCTATCAGTGGTTAGGTTTTGAGGAGTCAAAAGTTACATGTGGGGCCAGGCATAGTGGCTTACACCTGTATATTAATCAACTGTTATTGATAAGGTTTCTGATCAACAGTAGGCTATCAGTGGTTAGGTTTAGGGAGTCAAAAGTTATACTTGGGTCAGGAGTGGTGGCTTACGCCTGTAATCCCAGCACTTTGAGAGACCAAGGTGGGCAGATCACTTGAGGCCAGGAGTTCCAGACCAGCCTGGCCAACACGGCAAAACCCCGTCTCTACTAAAAAATACAAAAATTAGCTGGGTGTGGTGGCAGGTGCCTGTAATCTCAGCTATTCGGGAGGCTGAAGAATGAGAATCACCTGAACCAAGGAGGCAGAGGCTGCAGTGAGCTGAGATCAATCCACTGCACTTCAGCCTGGGCGAAAGAGCAAGACTCCATCTCAAAAGAAAAAAAAAAGGAAAGAAAAAAAAAAGTTCTATGTGGATTTTTGACTGTGCAGGGGGTCGGCGTCCCCTTACCCACAAATTGTTCAAAGGTCAACTGTACTTACCTCTGAGGTTCTTGCACAAAAGCAGCATAGACAACATACAGAATGGGCATGGCTGTATGCCAGTAAAATTTTGTTCACACAAACAGGTAGTGGGCTGGATTTGGCCCTAGATTACCCCAGTGCAATAGGTTGTCAGCCATCAAGTTATTAAGCAGCTGAGGAAAAGCTACTCTATATATCAGTACTTACCTGTTAAGTTCATCCTCTTTCCTGGTTTGATCTTTTTCATCCCCAATTGCCAAAACTCGGTACCTGCAAAAGAAACATAACAGCATGTCAGTGAAACAAAACAGCTCCTCACTAAGCAAGCGGATGCTGGCTCAAGATGGCCATTTATTGGCTAAAGTGTTGGGAGTGGGAGAAATGTTAAACTCACCAAATGTCGAGTGCTGTGCATGTAAATTAAAATGAGAATATACCCTGTCCTGCCTGTTATAAAAAGGAGGGCTGAGAAAATGTGCAATGTTCACTCACCGACAATTATGTGGCAACACGGAAAAATGTGAACTGGCAAAGATCCACTGTTAATTGTAAGAGGAACAGCACCTAAAACTGTGGGTGTGTTACAATCCAAAAAAAAAAAAAAAGCACAAGAAGAAAATGTCCCACCCAGAAGTAATCTAAAAAAATTATTCTCATAGAAGAAGGAAAAAGGTGGTTCCCAGAGGCTGGGAAGTGGAAGGGAAGGAATGAAGAAAGGAAAGATGTTGAGCAAAGGGTATAAAGTTACAGTTAGACCAGAGGAAAAAGTTTTCATGATTTAAAACTGCATGGTGACCACAGTTAATAACACATTACATATTTTGAAATTACTAAAATAATAGATTTTTAAGGTTTGTATTGCCAACAAAAGAAGTTGGTGAGGCGACAGATATGTTGGTTAACTTGACTTCATCCTTCCTCAATGAACACATATATTAAAACATCACACTGTACCCCATAAATATATAAAATTATTATTCATCAATTAAAACAAAGAAATATGAAAATCCCCAAAGAGTAGCCATATTAGGTGTTGGAATTACAAACCATTTCCCCATTTTTTTTTTGAGTTTCATGTAATATTATTTTACTGTATGTATACCAAGCAAGTAAATTTAAGAATAAGTCATAGAACTGCCTTTTTATAAAATATGACAAATTGGCCATTTGTAGGACATTTCTTCGGTTTCTAACAAACTAACAGAAAAATTAATCTTGACTGCAATAGTAAATTCCTCTTATAATTTAGTGCCAAGAAAAAGAAACTTTTCAGAAAACGTGAAAACCACCTCTGCTTCCTGGGTTCAAGTGATTCTCCTGCTTCAGCCTCCCAAGTAGCTGGGATTACAGGCACGTGCCACCACGCCCAGCTAATTTTTGTATTTTTAGAAGAGACAGGGTTTCACCATGTTGGCCAGGCTGGTCTCGAATTGCTGACCTCAGGTGATCCACCCGCCTCGGCCTCCCAAACTGCTGGGATGATGGGTGTTAAGCCCCCACACCTGGCTTGGAACCATTTTCTATTCTGCCTTGCCTGCCAGAATGCTCAGGATCACAATCAGTATTAAACTGTTACACTTGCAACTTTTTCTTCTCTCTAAATGGTTCATGGGCTCTCCTTTAAAAATCTCTGTCTTCTTTTATGATTAAAAATTGTGGCCGGGTGCGGTGGCTCATGCCTGTAATCCCAGCACTTTGGGAGGCTGAGACGGGCAGATCACGAGGTCAGGAGATCCAGACCATCCTGGCTAACACGGTGAAACCCCGTCTCTACTAAAAATACAAAAAAATTAGCCAGGCCTGGTGGCGGGCGCCTGTAGTCCCAGCTACTGGGCAGGCTGAGGCAGGAGAATGACGTGAACCTGGGAAGCGGAGCTTGCAGTGAGCCGAGAGTGTGCCACTGCACTCCAGCCCGGGGGGCCGGGGTGAGACTCCATCTCAAAAAAAAAAAAAAAAAAAAAAAGTTGCCCCATAACTTTACTGAGAATATGTGGAGATATAAATTACAAATCAGTAAACAGGCCATTGGATTGACTTGAAACCATGCCATTTTGGAATTCTGGGGAACAGTCTACTGCAAACCAGAAACAAAACCCAGAATGTGGGCAAAGGATATCAACTCTGAAAACGAGTACAAACTGCTCTTTAGGCATGGCAATACAGTGGGTGAGACATACATTATCTGTTGAGTGAATGAAGGAATGAGGTCTTCAACTGAAATGTTGAGAGCAAGGGTGCTGTACAGTTCACAGGCAGAACTGATGGATGCCATCATTTTACAGGGAGAAATTCAGAAAAACAGTGGCTCGAGGGACTTTTTGGGTGAGGATGGTGGAGAAAAGGGATCTACATTTGGAGGATGCTGAGGTAACAGGCCTAGTTCACAGAACTTAAGATTTAAAAATTGTACAGGGTTCTGTGCTCATACCCAAGATTCTTCTTCCAAATGCCGAGTGGTTACAGACCCTCCTATGTTCAAATCCTGGCCCTGGTACTTACAAGCACTGTGACCTTGGGCACGTTACTTACATAGGAATTTCCTCAAAGGTAAAGTAAGCAAACCTAGCAAAAAGTACACCAACCAAACAAGGAAGCCTGAAGGACCAATGGGAGAATGAACATAAATGCCCGGCAGGGTGCTAGGTCCCATTCTGTGTTCAAGTCACCCATGAGAGGAGAGACAGGAGGGCCACTGCAAGGCCAAATGCAGCCAGGCAGGTGCTGTGCGCTTCCCGGACCTGCTGATAAGGGAGACAGGGCTGGCCTTTTCTTCTTGCCCTGCGAGGGCCACATGGAACCATCCCAGAAACGGCTTACCTGGCGAACAGCTCCTGGAGTGTGTCTGGGATTTCAAGGTTAGAATTCCTTAGGGCTGAACTGAACTTTTCTTTAAGCTTCTCCACAAATTCTTTAAACTCGTTGGCACAAACCTTTCAACATGAGAGCATGAGAGGTTAAGCCCTTACTCTTCCTAAAGGGAGGTTTTGCTAAGATGCACCAAGGAATATCTTGTAACAAACTCCTGCACCAGCTAAGTCCGAGAACCACTGACCAGGTGCCTCCCCTGGTCACCTGTCATCTGTCACCTGTCATCTGAGAAGCTCGGTCTGTAGAGGAGGCAAAAGACCCTCACCACTACGCTCAGGAAACTGGGGTACCTGGTGCCAACTAACCCACCGACAGCCTCACCCTGCATCGCTGGCACTCTCCCAAGCCCCAGGTGAGATGACTCAAACGTGCCCCACACAGTGCTCCCTCACAGCCTCCCTCCTCCCAGGCCTGGTGTTCCCTGGTTCACCCATGTAGTCAGCCTCCTTCCTCTGCCCCAGCCTCACACTCCACGGGTGGCCCCCAAATCAATTTCCTCCTCTATATGCGCACTGCATCATCTCAGTCCAGACCCAGATCTGAGGAGCAAGCTGGTTGCGTCACCCAGTGTGCAATGCGACATGGTATGCTCCCGCTCCTCCCTGGCCTGGTGGCTATGTAGGACGCAGCCCCTGCTGCATCTGGCTGCTGTGCCTGCCAGCCCCACGGCTCCCTCTCCCCTCACTGTTGCTGCCCCAGCTGCCGTGGTTTCCAGTCTCGCCCAGTGCTGACACCTTTACTAAGCCCACTGGCAGACACTGTGGGTGTCTGTGGGTCACCTATTCCATTTTTCCCCACACTTTCTGATTAGCCAGTCTCAATTTGCTGTGGGGAGGGAGGATGCCCAGTCTCCTAGGATACACCAGGACAGTTTAAGCCACTCATGGCAGCCTGAGTCCCCTGTGCTATGTCCCACTGTTTCCCAGCCACGTGGCCCAGGTCTGCCAGGGGCTCCTGGGAAAGGCTGTCCCCTGATACAAGGGCCATGTGGGTCTATTGCAGCCCCTCTCCCCACTGCTTCCTGCTCTGGAATTCTGTTGTGAGGACTTGAGCTCTCATTGTCAACATTTGCAACCAGGGGGTGACTGGCATAGGATGGAAAGCTGACCACTGCTCCTGGAGGGGAGTGTGGCGGCAGGAACCTGGGAGCCTGATGACATCTCTGCTCCCCTGCACCAGACCAGGACTGCCTACCCTCAACTGCTTGGCATTTGGGAAAAAGGAAGCTGTATACTCTCATTAGGTTAGGTTTTTCTGTCACTTCCATCCAAAAGCATTGCTGAGCCTCCTCCCTGACCTCTGTGGGCCTGTGCCTTCCTCTTCCGGGAGCTGACTACACTGTCCTGCAATGGCCATGTACTTCTCTGTCTGTCCCACTCGCCTGTGGCCTCCTTGGCGGAAAAGGTAGCCTCTCCTTGTCCACTGGCCTCACTTGGCACAAGTCCTGCCACACACACTGTAGTGTCCAGGGTTAGCACAGAAATGAAAGATGAGCAGCCTCTGAGGCGAAGGGCAGGAGTCTGGGTCAGCAGACAGCTTCCCTCCTTGTCAGCCACCGCCTTGGCCCCTCTGGACAGAAAACTCGGAAAGAAAACCCACACCCAGTCTGCGAGCTTTCTAGGAAGCCTGTAATTTCTGAAGAAATGTTCTATTTTCTTAACAAAACAGGCCCAAGGCACAGCAGCCCTTCAAAGTGGCCTGTCAGATTCTAATCATCTTTAAAAACAGGTGTTTGAAGCCAGATCAAGTGAAGGCCAACACCAGAGAGCTGACTCGGTGATTTCTCAAGTGAGCAGGAAACAAAGTCCACGTTCCTAAGGCTGGCAGGGGCACTGTGGGATGAGAGGAGCTGACTGAAGTCTAGCTGCCCCAATCTCCCAAGCATACCAAGCCCTACACTCACACAGGACCTACCTTTGGGTCATCATAGTCACCTCTTCGATTCATGAAATCTCCAACAAGTGCTTTATCCTGGTACACCTCGGCCAGGCACACTCTGCAGGAAGAGGAGACAAAGCTGAAGTCTGGGAATTGCAATGATGCCCATGTTCAGAACCTTCAGAGAGCTCCATTCTCATGTTTCTGGCCTTGGCCGACCTTGAAGCATGAGTTACTTATATGCCTGTTGCACAACTGCAGCTTTTACGAATGAAGGATTTGGGGTCAGCCAAGCCTGACCTCAGTCAGGTCTGTTCACACTTTACACCTTGGCTTCTCTGAACTTCCGTCCTTCATAGGTAACCGAGAACACTGAGTCCCAAACTGTCTCTCACAGGGGTTTGTCCAGGACCATATGGGCTGACCTATGTGAAAGTGCATCACACATTTAAAAACATCAAACAGGCTTTGGGGTTTATTATTCTTAAGCTCTCTAATCTACTGCAAAGCAGGTGTGTCCACTCCACTAACCTTCACATCTCCATGATATAAGGAGAGCCTGACTTGCCCAAAAGAAAATGAAGGGGAAGGCGACCAGCATTTGCTGGGCTCCCGTCCACCAGGCACTGCTGCCTTCATAAAGAGCTTGCCAGGTACAGACTCATTCCGCTTTACAGCCTGGTAAGGCAAGGGGACTCCCTGAGGTCACACACACAAGGGCAGGGCAGGAAGACAGTTCTCAGCTCTGCTAAGAACATGGCAGAGGGCATCCTGTCCAATGATCCCAGGTCCTGCCTAGCTTGCTGCTGGAGGGAGCCACCAATCAGAGCTCTCAGGAACTGCTCTGAGGGCCAAAAACAGCAGGAAAAGCCAGCCTCTGCCTCTGCCTCCACCACCAGCTAGGCACGTGGTACTTAGCGAGTCAGCCTATCTAGTCTCCGCTTCTTCATCCAAAAAAAGGATACCACCACCTACTTCTCATGGCCGCTATAAGGTCTAAGCAATACCTTGCATGGGAAAGCACCCAGAATCATGCTTGGCCCTCACCCTCAAAAAACCAAGGTCCATCTCCCCAGCAGACTCCAACACTTGGCCAGCCCATCAGACACCTCAGTGTGCTCCAGCCACACTTCCCACCAGACTCTTAAGCAAACGGGATAACGTAACCGTGTCCCGGAGTGACGGGGCTTCAATGAGGCTTACTTATAGTTGAGATAGGCCTGTGGGTTTTTGACTATGTAGCGAGCTCTTCGTCCAACGGAATGAGATGTTTTATCCAAAGACTCTTCAAACGTGGCATGCAAAATGTCCCGTACCACCTGCCAGGTGACAAATGGGCCCTTCACCTGGATCAAACACAGAGCCAAGACAAAAAGTCAGTATCCTCAGAGACGACATCATGGGGAATTACCATAAAAAAGTGGACAAAATGTGTTTTGTGCAGCCTCCTTCCTCAGAGAATCCCCACAACTGTCACCTCACAATATTTACTGGGCCCACCATGTGCCAGACACTGAGGGAGATTCTGGGCAGACAAGTATAGGACGAGGCCTCAGTGACCAGCGGGAAAGAGTGTATTTTAGCAAGCGCCATGTGTGACAAAGGTGCCCAACGGGGCGGGGGGGAACTGCCTGAAAGGGCGCTGTATTAGAGGGAATCATGGGGATGCAAAGTGTGTTTAGTTAGAGGTCTTAGTGTCCTAATTATGCATCATGTGTGCTCAGAAACGTTCTGTATGTTGTGCTTGTATGTTATGTTAGTAGAAGCAGAATGTACAAAATTAGCAGACCCAGGAGAACATCTTGGTCAATAACACAGGAAGGCAAGGCCGACATGAGAAAGCCGCTTGACGAGTTATTTTCTTACATCCCCAAGGATGAGGTGACCCAAAAAGTCTGTAAGTTCTGGTAAGCGGCGAGAGTCCATCAACACTGACCTATGCAGGACCCTCCTGCCTCCTCCAGCTGCACCAGAGCTGGAGCAGATGGAGGGACGCCCCACTTACCCATCAGCTCTGCAATGACGAAGCCATTGCAGATGCAGGGAACAGAAATTAGGGATGGCAACATGTCACCTTTCAGGTTCTTCCTTGGAAAAGAGGTTGGGATGGAATTCAGGAGAGGACTGAGGGATGAGAGAACAGGGGACAAGCGGTCAAGACAAGGGATCTAATAGTTGGCAGGCAAGGAGCATCTGGGCACAAAGCCCCAGCTGGGTTTCTCCTGCCTGGCCTGGCTGAGACCCGGAGGCACACCCGGGCTCCTCCAAAGCTGCCTTGTGGCACTACTGCCTGGAAGGGGCCCTGGACTGGACTGGCAGAGCTTTTTCCTGGAAGGCAAATAAGAGGTCTCGCTGCCTTGTGGACCAGCCACGCCGGTGAGCCAAGAGGTACCAGAGGTGACAGAAACAGCATGAGAAGTATCCGGCCAAGAACAGAGAATGAGCAGGGTAATTACGCCCAATTGGCAGATCATTCCGGACATGATGGGCAGTTACAGGAAGGTAAATTGGAGCTTTTCAGGCAATGAAGGTGGGAGGAAGGAGCAGGCCAGGGTTAGACTACTGGTGAGGAGAGAGAAAGAACAGCTCTGAACTAGTTTGCCTGCAGCTAGGCAAACATTTATATGTATGCAGCTGAAAGCTAAAAAGAAATGTAGAAAAACAGAATGGTATTAATTTGTAGGATTAGCTGGTCATGGCAGGGTGCGCCTGTAGTCCCAGGACTATGAGAGGCTGAGGTGGGATCACTTGAGGCCAGGTTGAGGATGCAGTGAGCTGTGATCGTGCCACTGCACTCCAGACTGGGTGAAAGAGCAAGGCTCCATCTTTCTAAAAAAGAAAATGTGTAGGATTCTGGGCAATGCTTTTCCCAGTGGCGAAGCAGAGCAGCTGAGAGGAGTGGTCTCTGGCTGGGAGTCCCCGGAAGGCTCAGACAGGAAGGAGCTCCGAGTGAGGGGCAGGCCCACCGCTGGGCTGGGCTGGTTGGTACCTTGGTGTTGAGGACATTGCTGGCAATGCGGCACAGCACAAGCAGCCCATCCTCCTGCATAGACCAGGTGACACGAAGCCGCGTCATCCGCTGCAGGGCACTCTGGTCGGCTTCATCATGGTAGCGCAGCCTTTTGCTTTTTTCTCCTGGGAACTCTCCTAAAAACACCAGAGGGAGAAGGCAGGAGACCTCTAACACCTGGTTTGGAGCTGTCACTCTGCAGAGGGGCAGGTTCCCTACCCAGCCAGTGAGATGTGACTAATGGTATTGGTTAGCAGATACTCATTGTATCTAAAGTCACATAAACTAACTGCAAAAGACCCAGCCCCTTCTGATAGATTTTATTTTTTTTTAAATCCCTTTCATCATTTATCTTGATCAAATTTCACAGCAACAGGTTGGAAGGCTCAATGCAGCCTCTAGTTGGTTATCTGCCAATCTCCAATCTCCCCCACTGTGACAGAGTCCTTTGAAGGCATCTTGTACAGAAGCCTACAGTGCGTGCTCGGGGCGTACCCACCGAGTGAGCAGGACCAGGGACTGTGCAGTCACCAGGCCCCCACGCTCCCTTGCTCTGTGACCACACGGGCGTTGTGTAGACTTGAGTGCATCTGGGGACAATAAGGCCTCTGCTCCAGGGCCATGGAGAGGGTGGAAGGAGACTGCATATAAAACATCCAGCACACAGTGGTGGCTACTAAATAACTAACATCAGCAGTGAGATCGGTGTAGTTAATAACTAAACAGCACCACCACCACCAAAACAGCAGTCTAGCATCAGGGAATATTCATTGTGTGCCTAGCACTGGTTTATGCTTTTTCAACATATTATCTTATAATTAGAATACTACTTTATAGCAACCTTATGAAATGGATACAATTGTTATCACTGTTTTTTGTTGAGGAACACAGAGACATACAGTGACTTGCTGAAGTCACACAGCTGAGTCAGCAACAGAGGGAGGATCTGAACCTTGAGAGCGTAGCCACAGGGCTGCCAAGGTCTCCTGCCCAGGGGAGGTACTGATAGCACCTTCACAGGACAGACACCATATGCCACTGCCAATCTCAAAAGACTGTTTAGCGAGTGTCTTCCAAATTAAGGCAGAAGAAAAGTGGGGAAAGGAAATTTGGACTCGAAGTGACACCACCACATTTTGCATTGTGATGAATTCAGGTTTTTAAGCCAAATTGGTCTTACACATATCTACGACAGGCGAAACTGAGGGGGCCATTTCAACTGATGGAATGCTATTTGTTATGAACGCCAGCCAAATAAACCACTAAAAACAGGTTCCTGTTTAAACATTCTGTCTTTAACTGAAATAGCTACCAGCCGTCAGTGGCTGCTGTTAAAACTTGTGGACCACTTAGGCAATATGAAAGTGGTCTAAAAACTAGACACTGGTCTCCTTTCCACTCCCTCTGCTATAAATACTGGCCGGATGAAGAACTCAAAATGGCAGTCTAAAAGGCACCGCACAAGGGGTGCATCAAATCAGAAGGTGCTGCAGGCTTACACGACTCCCAGCTTTCCTCTAATTTAAAAATGCAACATGGGACCAGCATGGCGGCTCACTTGAGGTCAGGAGTTCCAGACCAGCCTGGACAATATGGCAAAACCCCGTCTCTACTAAAAATATAAAATTAACCGGGTGTGGTGGCGCACGCCTGTAATCCCAGCTACTTGAGAGGCTGAGGCAGGAGAATTGCTTGAGCCCAGGAGGCGGAGGTTGCAGTCAGCCAAGATCACACCACTGCACTCCAGCCTGGGCAACAGAGTGAGACTCTGACGCAAAAAAATAAAAATTAAAAAATTAAAATGCAACATGCCTTTGAACTTTGGCCTGATTAGCATAAACACAGATATTAAAAGGTAAACTCCCCCAAAATTAGGATCTTGGCTAGTTGTGATGAGGCTGTTGCTGACATTTTTTTCAGCTGAGATGAAACTAGGCATTTGAACTGAATGAGTTCCTAAAGTCAGAAGCTCTAAAAGATACAAAGGCGGAGAAAGCAGGGGAAGCATACGGGATATTCGAGTCTCTCTCATCTGCCAAATGGATGTGGAAATAAAGCAACCATCATAGAGAGTCAGCGCCACACATCGAGGGAAGGCGGAAACCCGTGCTGAAGGGCAGAGCTCAGGCCTGGCTGGAGTGAGGCTGTCGCACATCTCCAAGCCAAAACAAAGACAAGGCCCAGTAAATGAAAATGATCACCACATAACCTTTCTTCTTTCTCTTGATCTTCTTCCCAGGGTCCTTCTTCAGCCGCTTCCGCTTCTGGCTTTTCCCACCCCTCACTCTCCGGTTTCGGTCCAGCGAGGGCTCTCGGTCCACCTCAAACTGCTCTTCCCAGCCAGCACAGAGCTCGGAGCCTACTCTTGCTTCCCCCCAAATATTCAACCTGCTGTTGCCTAGACATAATCACAGGAGACAACAGTTTCAGGACGAGTGCTGCAAAGGCCAGGAAGACCAAACCGAACATAGGGTAGTCGTTTAGGCCCTGAACTGGTACCATATTAACTTCTGGGGTGAACTCCCAGCACACGTACCTCTGGCACTGAGGGGCATTGGGCGCTTGGACAGAAATGTCTGGAGCCTCACTGTGAGTCCATTCTCTGCGGCAGTGTTCTCCTGTGAGACAAGCACAGCACTGGGATGAAGCATGAGCTTCCACAAATCCCCAGCCGCCCAGAGTAACAAATGCACCGAGGTCTCTTAGGAAGGTAAGGGCCGCTGTGCACTGACAGCCAGGGGCTGGAGTCTCCTGCCACCCGCTTTACCATTGCTCATGCACTCCCTCCTGGAGGACCTGTGTCACCCAGACCTTCTGATCCTTCTTTAAAAAGGAATACCTGTCCACGTCACAGCGTAAGTTAGCATCCACTGGGAATAAAACAGGCCAGGCACACATTTAAGGGGCCTGACGCACCTTCAATACAAACGGAAGCCAGTATTTGTGTCTCTGGTCAGGCAGGGAGGGACAGGAGGGTGAGTAGCGAGGACCCCTGAGATTGTAGTCCGGTGTGACGCACACCCACCTTTTTGGCCTGGTTGATGATGTAGCTGGTCCAGATCCAGTTGCGCTTGAGGTGT
Organism: Homo sapiens; assembly: GCF_000001405.40. Lineage (NCBI taxonomy): Eukaryota > Metazoa > Chordata > Mammalia > Primates > Hominidae > Homo > Homo sapiens. The sequence goes on from NC_000016.10 coordinate 27,489,098, forward strand.
CCGTAGAAGCTGGAATCGAGCCCTGCGGCACCCAGCCCATCTCCAGGGATCAAGCCTTCATCCACCACCTCACGGCTTCCACTAAAAGACAGGAAATCAACAGAAAAGAGCCCTTCTTGGTCATCACCGAAAAAGAGAGCCCATGGCATGGGTTGAGGGACATTTATTTATAACCAACTTTCACCTTTCCAGAAAAACACCCCACAGGTAGCAATGAAGAACTTGGGGGCCCTAAGTGTTGACTGGTTTTCACTTTTGCAAGATAAGTCAAAAATCCAGATTTTTATATAAAATTCCCAAAATAAATTTTGACAACCGATTACATTTTTAAAAACAAGATGTGGGCTAAATAAAGTATGTCTGGAGCCAGCCATCTGCAGCCTCTGCACCGGAGACACAGGCCGTCTGGCCTGACATCCTAAGCCAGACAAGGGCGGGCAGGCATCTGAAATGAGCACCACCGCAGCCCAGTCCTGGCCGGCCGCGCTTGGGACGGACACGCACGTGGTGTACTCCAGCATGGCGCACTTGCGCTCCAGGTTGTGCTTGTCCATGGCGCTCTCCTGCTCCTTCTGCAGGCTGCCCTCCTCGTCGCTGCCCTGGTCTGTGCTGCTGTTCTTCCTGACGCGCGGGCAGCGCACCACGCCTGGAAAACCAAACATCAGGGTGACCAATCACGCCTTCCTGCTGCAGCTCTGGTGGCTACTACCTCTGGCTGGGTGGGGAAGAAGAGTGGATTCCCTGCCTGTGAAAAGGCTCCCCGGCCACTGCGGGGGTCTGAGATTGGTAAGACCTCTTCGTACAAAATATCCATACAAGAAAGTCAGAGGGAACAGAGGAAGAGAGTTGGAGTGCTGGTGGGTGACCTAAGGAAAGGGTCTATGCCAGGCTGAATTCACTGAAGACAGAAGGCAGGCAAGGCAGTCGAGAGAGCCCGGCAGGCTCAGGGAGTCCAGCGCAGGGGAAACCCAGGCCTTCCTGCCTCCTGGAAAGCCCCGGGAGATGCTGGGGCCAAGGTGGCAGAAACGACTGCCCTTGCTGGTGGTGGCAGGGATACGGAGGGGCCTGTACAGACAGATTGCTGAGATGCACTGCACGCAGCAGGCCTGGGCCCCACCTGGCTCCAGGAGCAGCCAGATGTCTCCTAAGTGCTCAAGAGGTTTGCTAATGGAGTTGAGAAATGATATCCAGTTATTCTGTAATACAGAAAATTGCATTTCTTGCAAAGAAATATAAAATACCACTAAAAGCACTGCTTGATAGGTGAGGGAAGGTTTGCAGACTCTCAAAGACTCTCTCCTAGCATGCTTGGAGACCTCGGCTTGATGGCATGGCCGGTGGGGCCCGGGGCAGTGGGAGCTCAGGGCCTCACCCACAGCAGCTGGAACTTTACTTGAGACGCCTTGCCCAACTTCACCTTGGCCCATATGGTGGTGGCAGTGGAGTTCTCAGCTTAGAAATAAACTGAGATTCAGGGAGGTTACAAGTAGCTTGCCCAAGGTCACCCGTTTGAATGGACCCTTGAAACTAACAATATTTAAGGCAAAGCTTCTCTCATATAAATAACAGCAGCACCACAAGTCTGCTTGTGAAAAATGCAGACTCTCCAGGTAGGGCCCAGTAATCAGCATTTAATATGCTGCTCAGGTGATTCTTACGCAGGCTAATGTTCATGCAGCACCTGCTCTAAAAGATGATTGCATCTCATTATATGACGCTTTTCCCCTCATCCTGGGGGTAGAACCTCTTCAAATGTTTATTGAATGAAGGGACAATCAATGCCTGATTACTGGGGCTCAATAAGCCTTTGCCATTTCTGCTCATGAACACCTAAAGGGATGGAAATTCACCAATTGTCAGGCCTGAAAAACTCTGGTGCAAATTCATGCTGGTTCACAAATTTTTATCTAGATATAAAATGCAGGGGAATTAGGGCATTATTAAAATCTAAATTGGCAAAAGCCTAGCTCACTGCTGAATGCCAGAGGATTCTATGAAACACACTGTTCTAAAATACGTCTGGACCCATGAAAGTTTCTAAATACAAGTGCTATTACTCTTGGCATTAAATAATTCTGCCAAGCAAAATGTGTGACTCCCACTTTGCAAAAATCAAAGTGTGATACTGGATCTTTCAGCTTCAAGAAGGGAGGAGCGGAATGGAACTCCTCTTGGAGGTGCAAGCTGAACGTGGCTTCCTTTCTCTCCTGGTAGAGGTGGCAGGAAAAGGCCAGGTGGAGAAAGGCCTGGAGGAAAAGCACTGCAGGGGAGGCTCTCTTGCCTTCCGTAGACCCTCCATGCATTTGATCCACATTTACAGGATGCCGACTGTGCACCCGACACTTTGCGACACATCATGGGGATGGAAGCCAACTATTCTAGGCACAAGGAACTCCCAAGATGAAATGGAATGATGCTAATAAAGGTGTGGACACGCTTTCTCTGAGAGGTGACACCTGAAGTAGGAGTGGGCATCTGAGAAGCCAGTGTGGGAGGGAGGGTCCTTCTAGGGAGAGAGAGGGGTGTGGGCAGAGGCTCCCCACAAAGCCCAACTCAGCCAAGTCACCAGCACATCTGATCAGTTCCCTCCAAAACACCTCTAGGCCTGTCCTGTCCTCCTCACTGTCACCAGTGGACGGCCACTCTCCTCCTACCCACATGGCCTCCTCTCTTTCTCCAACATACCACTCAAGGCTTCAGCCTGTGTCACTGCCCCTGCCTGGGATGCCCTCCCCAGCTCTGGCCCTGGCTGGCTCTGCCTCATCCTATAGAATTCAGCTCCAATGTCTCCTCCTCAGCAAGGCTGTTCCCGAGCCCTGGAATAAACACCACCCCAACCAACACCTAGGCCCTCACTGCACTCCTGTGAGCTGTGTCTCCTCTTCACACTAGATTTTGAGTCTCACGAAGGCAGGGCGGGCTGTGTTCTCATTGTGGCACTGTCAGGCACAGGAAGTGACACACAGCCGGTGTGTTTAATAAATACCTACTCAATGAACAAATGAAGACAAAGTGCAGCTACTTGGGCTCAACTGAGTGGGGGAACCGGAAGCACCCCACCCATTCAAGGCCCGCCACTTTCCTTTCCAAGGGAGCCCCAGGGGTGCTCTGGGCCTCTGGGGAGCACTCGGAACATACCACTGGTTGAGGCAACTCCTAGGCTTTTCTAGCCCTAAATCCCAGTTAGCACACAGAAAGGAGCAAAAGCAGCCAGGTTCAGCCGAGACAGCCGACACCCACCTAGTGGGGTGTTGAGGCAGACGCACTGCAGGTCAAACCAGTAGTTTTCCACATCCTGCATTGAGTTCAGGACATAGAGGCGCCTCTCGAAGGGCCGGCTGCTGCGGGCCAGGTTGTAATGTGGGTCGCAGATGGTAGTGTCAACAATGACTGCATTCTTCTTCAAGAAGATAAAGACCTAAGGGGAGACACCAGACAGGGAGAACCCACATTGGGTCTGGCTGCTTGGAGACCGTTTAACAATCAGAATTTCCTTCGTTTGGGCTTGAGGGACATTACCTGATCTTTATCCTGAAACTTTTCCGTGGGACCAAACTGTAGCAGCCCCATGTAGCACAGCCTCTGAAGGTTCTCCACCACCGAAAAAATGTAACGCCTAGAAAACAGAGGGGGCGGGAGGTTCTCATCACACCACACTCGCAGCCGGCCGCAGGGGTCTGCATGTGGGGTGAGGGGTGCGACTTCCTTCTTCTCTTTTCCACCTGGTGGTCACTGGAGGACCAGCCTCAAGCCCACACTGCACTAAGGCCCAGAACTACCCAACCTAACACCCAACCAGGGCCACAGAGATCAACCCGACACTAGGGATTTGATTTGGAAAGTAAAAGTAATGAAAGGGAAAAAAAATTCCGATACTTGCAGACACTAGCAGCAGATTTTACTTTAAAAGAACCTTCAAATCAAGTAATAAAATATACCAGCCCATACTTCATTAATATTAATAACTTAATAAAAATCTTGAGTTTTTGCAAGCTGGAAGTTAGAAACCTTTTCCTCTTCCTGGTGAATGATGGCTTAGAGCCCTGACTTAAGGGTTTGTTTGGACCTGCGACTACTCTGGGTCAGGTTCAATGGCCTCACCTCTTGTACAGAAGCTGCTGCCGAATGGGCCTGGGGAGAAAGCGGATCAGCGTGTGCTTCTTCAGCGGGTCGTTCAGAAATTCCTCCAGGTTGTCCACCTGAAGAGGTGATGTGCAGGTTCAGCTCGCCCTGAGGGCCAGGGCGACCTGCAAGAATCTTGAAAAAGTGCTCGCCACTATTTTCTGACCATAGTCTCCCTGAACCTGCCCACTGGGCTCTCCTTCCTGCCCCACCAAGTGCCCCTGCATCTCTGCCTTTGGCCTCGCTGCCCCTCCCCTCCAGCCCATCTACCACACTGCAGAGGGCAATAAACAGGTGCCCTCATACCCTGCTGGTAGGCATAGAAATTGCTAAACCTTTCCCGGGGGCAACATAAGAATATATACATTTATATTTTAAACAAGAAAAGATGAGATAGAGAACACGCGTTCCTTTTGAAGCCAGTGATTCTGCTCCTATCCTTACCCAAAGGAAAAAATGCTGGAGCCGCCAATCTATGTCTACCCAAAAGGTATTCATCAACATGTCATAATAAATACCTACTCAACAGTAGTAAGAAAGTGGAATTTAAATGTCCAAAAATAGAAAATATTATGGTTAAATAAATTAGACACATAAGAATACTATGACTCTACTTAATATCAAGTCTAAAAAGTTAATGATGCAAAAAATACAAAACATTCTTTAGTCAAAAGCACAGACAATAAAAGAGTGAATATAGTTTCAATTCAGCTTTTTTTTTTAAAGGGAGATCACACACATACCCGTGTACATACAAGTATGGCATAGCAATAAAAGACTACAAAAACCTTACCAAGAAGATAATTACTTAGTAGTAATTATCTCTATGAGTGATACAGTTATGGGTAATTTCTATTTTATCTTTCTCTATTTACCAAATTTCTAAAAACAACATGTTTTGGTCGGGTGCAATGGCTCACGCCTGTAATCCCAGCACTTTGGGAGGCCAAGACGGGCGGATCACAAGGTCAGAAGATTGAGACCATCCTGGCTAACATGGCAAAACCCCGTCTCTATTAAAAATATAAAAAATTAGCCTGGCGTGGTGGTGGGTGCCTGTAGTCCCAGCTACTTGGGAGGCTGAGGAAGGAGAATGGCGTGAAACTGGGAGGCAGAGGTTGCAGTGAGCAGAGATCGCGCCACTGCACTCCAGCCTAGACGACAGAGCAAGACTCTGTCTCATAAAAAAAAAACAAAAAAAAAAAACAAAAAAAACCACGTTTTATTGTTGTAATATAATTGTCTTTCTGTCTACCTACCTACCAATAGATCCATTTAGAAGAGCGAGTCTTTAAAGTATTTACCCGCCAACCACCCACCCATCCACCCAATCATCTTTCTAATCTAATCTAGTCTAATCTATCTCGAACAAATCCTTAAAATATTTTCCCTTGAATGAGCATCTGCCTATCCATCTATCCACCAATCCATTCATCTGGGCAACACCGGGTCTTCAAGTATCCTCCCTTGCCCAGGTGAGTGTAGGCCCTCCAGCCCAGAGCTGAGGGGCAATTCCTGTGATAATGGCTCCTGTCACCAATACCTTGTAGCTGACTTGCACAATCTGGATGAAGATGGAGAGGGGAAGGCAGAGGAGGATGTCGCTGACGAGAGCCCAGCCAAAGCCGAAGTCCCTGTGGACTGGGATTGGGGGGATGTAGCGCATCCACGAGGCATCGTCGACATACACTAGGAAAAAAACGCACGGTTACCCCCGGCAGCCAGGATACCAGTCACCATGGTGACACATGGTAACGTCATCTCCCAGGAGGTCTTGGTGTCTTTACCCCTAATTTGAGGAAAACTCTACTTGTCAGGCAGGAAGGAAGATGAGGAAGAAAGCCTGCAGGTTCAGGAAGTGTGGATTATGTTTCCATTTGGATCAGAGGCTGCAGCCAGTTTATATAAGGAAAAGGAACTATCATGTTTCTCCCTGGATCCTACTACTGGGCCTGCCCGCCCCAGGTGCAGGAGTGGCAGGGGCCTCTCACCTGTCTCCGTGGCAAGCTCCACTTCAGCCTCCCAGGTGACACCATCTTGGCTGCCTTTAGATGGGGCTTCAGAGCAGGCCTCCCAGGCACTTCCAGAGGAGGACGGCCGGACGCCTGCCCTGCCTGACTCCTGCTTTATCGTTCTCCGTTCACTGATGAAGCTTGGCTTCTCCACGGTGTTGCTGGCAGGGTGCCCGTAGATGAGGTACCACAGAAACATGTGGACCACCCGCAGGCGAGGCATTTTGGGCAGAAATCCTAGAGAACGCCCCAGTCCGGGAACTAAAGCAAGAGAGGGAGAGGGCGGTGCTTGAAAAATCCCATACTGAATTCAGTTTTAATTCATTAAAAAATGATTGAGTGCCACTATGTGCCAGGGGCCAGAAAGATGGCAAATATTCTTACTGTCTTAGAGCTTACTTTCTAATGGGCAAGAACGGATAATAAAATATAATATCTAAAATAGCCCATCAGACGAAAACAGCTGGTGCAGAAAATAAAGCACAGATGGGAGGAGGGCTGCAATTCTACAAAAGGAGAGGCCTCACTGGGGAGCCTTAGAGTGAACTCCAGTCGGTGAAGGAGCTGCTGGCAGTGCAGAACCCTTGGGGCTTGCCTACAGGGCAAATGCAAGGGGCCTGAGGTGGGGGTGTGCCCCGCACATTCCTGGAAGGGGAAGTGGAGCAAGGAAGCAGAGTGCAGCACCTGCGGCAGGAGGGCAATCGAGCAGGGAACCAACAAGGAGGGTGGGAAGGCTTGGATGCCCCTCCACATCTCATGTTGGCATGTGATCCTCGGTGCTGGTGGTGGGGCCAGGTGGGAGGCGTCTGGGTATGGGTGATCCCTCATGACTTGGTGCCATCCTCATGAGATCTGGTTGTTTAAAAGTGTGTGGCACCTCCCCCAACTCTCTCTCTTGCTCCTGCTTTTGCCAGGTGATGTGCCTGCCCCCCTTCACCTTCTGTCATGGCTGGAAGCTTCCTGAGGCCTCAGTAGAACCCAAGCAAATGCTGGCACCATGCTTCCTATACAGCCTGTAGAACTGTCAGCCAATTAAGCCTCTTTTCTTTACAAATGACCCAGCCTCAGGTATGCCTTTATAATAAGAACGACCTAACAGAGGGCCTAAGAAGCTACTGGATAAGGATTTCTGGCTTGATGAGAACTGTGCCAAATATTCCATAATCTCAGTTTTTGTTGTTTATTGTTGTTGTTGTTTTGAAACAGAGTCTCGCTCTGTTGCCCAGGCTGGAGTACAGTGGCATGATCTCAGCTCACTGCAACCTCCACCTCCCTGGTTCAAGCAATTCTCCTGCCTCAGCCTCCCAAGTGGCTGGGACTGTAGGCACCACACCCAGCTAATTTTTGTATTTTTAGTAGAGGCAGGGTTTCACCACACTGGCCAGAATGGTCTCGATCTCCTGACCTCATGATATGCTCCACTTGGCCTCCCAAAGTGTTGGGATTACAGGCGTTAGCCACCATACCCAGCCATCTCAGTTCTTTTAAAGGGGCTTATTTCTTTGTTGATACAAATGCGCTGTTGCTTGATTTTCCCCAGTGAGAGATGATGGCTGTGAGAGGAGGTAGGCACAGCAAGAGGGTGCAGGACAGGCAGTCAGAAGGCCCACCCGAGGAACACCCGCGCTGCCCCTGGTCCATTCGAGTGCAAATGCTGTCTAGTTGCATGCACTCATGCTGCTGTTCCTCTTTCACCTGTGCCTTCTAACAGGGAAACCTTGAGAGTAAAGGCCACACCGTGGGGCTGCAGCCCTAGGAAAGGGAAGTCACACACACAACCTCTTCCACTTGGAATCCCTGGGTCTAGTGTGTCCTGGACCTGACGCTGCCTGACAGACAGCCGGGCCCCGGTGAGTCAAGTTTGCCCTCCTTCCTGAACCAGCACATGTGCTATGGCCCGGAGAGGAGCTGAGCATCCTGATTATAATGCCATGGCCACCTGCCTTGTTCAGCACAAGTTTAGAAATGAGGGATGAGGGAACCCATCAGTGCTCCAACTCTGAGGAAATTATAGGAGCACTCAGACTCATCAATGACTGTGCTGCCAGGGGATTTGTCGAGTTGGGACAGGAAGAAATTTTCTGTAGTTTGTAGAATGTTCCAGCTCAAGGACATTCAGCAGAAGAAATTAATCTTTCCTCATATTGGGATCTAGCAGGATTTCATCTGAGTCTCTCCAAAGCCTTGTAGGGTATGGCAGGCAGAATTGTTCCCATTTTTGCAGATAGACAAACAGATGCTGGAAGAAGTTATGCGGCCAGAGTAACAGGATCCAGCCCACAGCTCAGACGCGATTCTTCTGACTGCGGCTCGGAGCTCAAATGGAGAGGACCAAGTGCCTCAAACATTGTCATACAAACAACAAATCAAATGTAACTAAACACAGACAAGAAGCTGCAGCTTACCTACAATGGGGTGATAATTTCTAAGCGGGGTTATGCCCATTTTATTATCACTTTTTTTCATCCGTCCACTTTCTGATCTAGAGGAAGCACTCAGCTGAGAGTCCCCTGATCCACTTGGGCCCTCTTTTCCTTGACTGTCTTCTTCTGCCTCCCCTTGGGGCACTGGAGGCTGGGAAGTTTTAACCCTGCAGTTCAAATAAACATGCAATAATGTACTGAGAAAATCAAGGGCTAAGAGAAAGGACAGAGTCTGTCTGCATGAATCAGATACAGCCTCTTGGCCTGGGGGTTTCAAATTCTGCTCCTTGTAGGGGCCAGGGAGATGATGCAAACAAAATGTCAGGTCACTGAAACTTTTGGGGGTGGTGGGGATTGTGGGGCCCTGAAGAGGGCACCCCCACTTATGGGTGCTGCCTTGTGAGAAAGGGAACCCAACGTGCTAGATCTTCAGACATGTGCATCAACGCTAGAAGTCAGTAATTATATGAGAAATTAACCAGCAACTGATTCAAAGTATGTGTGGCCAATACTTGGCAGATCCCACAAACTATCATGTGCAAGCCAGATCAGCCCTCTGCCTGCCTGTGAGAGTTTCTAGTTGAGACACAGCTGAGAACTTTCTCCCTCCCCTGAGTTTTCTCTCAGCTCATTACATGGTTTATGAACAAAATTAGAAAAGATCTGAGAAAGGCAACCAGAATCACTGTGAGCCATTATGAGACTGAGTGAGTGTCAGACATCAGAGGCCTATGATGGGGAGTGCTCTGTCCACACTCTATCAGACAGAATAAAGACCATTAGGACTTTTTTTTTCCCCCTAAAGAATCCTGAAATTGGTCCTTATTGAGACTAGGAGATCATGAACCATGAACTCCAAACCAACAAATTCACTGATCCATGCAGGTATAAAGAAAGGGCTCTTCTGGATTGCTGTAGGCTGACACACAGACCTGGCAGCCTTGCTATGGGTTCTTCCCGGGCACCTCCACTTGCCTGTTGGCTGTGCTTGAATTGGAGATCCGGAAGCGGACCTGCTCGATGGCACTTCTCACTAGAGGGTCGTTCTGGTCCATGGACGGGTGCACCACCAGATCCACCTGGAGAGAGAGGTTGGAGCATCCCACAGGGTGAGGGAAGAGCTGAGGAAGACTTGGCTCCACAGTCGATTCCTAGTGGAACCTCAGTCATACCTGTTTTCATTAACATTTCCAAAACACGATTAGGAGATCGAAACAAAATTTGTTGCTCAACAGTTTGCTGGTACAGCTACTGGCGGCAAAATTCCTCAAGTGACCAAGCGATCAGGCTCTGCCATGGGTGCCGGGGCTGCTCGGTCCCACTGAGAAATCTGGCCTGGACACAGAGCTGTCTCCCTGCAAGTCCCTTACTGGGCCGTCACAGCCCACTGGTCTCTGTTGCTACCTGGAGGGCTGCTCCGTGCCCCCTTCCCACTATCTGAGAATTTCCCAGTTGCTTGTGAGTCCTGAGGGCTTCCATCTGGAAAAGGTAAGCAGCTTTCATTAATCTACCCTTGCTGAGAGTGGCGTCATGGGACTCCTGCCAGGCACACGTCCAAACAAACCGGCAGAGGATTTAGAGCTGCTTTTGTTGTTTTACCTTTTCCGAGCTACTGAAGCTCAACAGTTAAGGTGGTTATCATTTCATGAGAGATACACAGGATGAAAAACAGACTGTGTGGAAGGGAAGTAACTTGAATGCCCAGCAGGGAGAGGTGGAGTGGGGCAGGGTGTGTGTGAGCACACCAGCCATGTTGTGGCAGGTGAGGACGGCCAGGCCCCCAGGGAGCCAGGCTTCTTGCCTGTCTCTGCTGAGGCCGGGGACAGCAAGGTCAGGCTGTCTGAGCATCCACTCTGGCCAGCAGCTTCATGCTGAACATGGGCTCAGAAAGATCTGGAAACAGGGGGCAGGAAGCAACGCCTAGACAAGGGCTCCCGAATGCCACACTTGGCTCATTTTCTCCGAATCCTCATTTGTGAAATAAGGACCACCCTGCCCCCACCCCCAACCACCAGCTTTGTGGTTTTGTGAAGCTCAAATGAGACGCAGTAAGGCAACATTTCAGAGAATTCAAAGGCAAGGGAGAAATATACAGCATTCACATTGCCCCACTTTCCGGGCAAGACACAGGAGCAAAGGCAAAAGACTGACACAGACGCACCAGCTCCAGCTCACATGGCCCCAGCAGATCAAAGGCTGCCAGCAGCACATGCTCTGGGTGCCAGAGAAAGTCCTGCCTGGAAACCTACGCTGGTACTAGAGTCACATGCACACGACGGAAGCCCCTTCCAGCCGGAAAAACCAGCTACTGTAGTGGGACCTTGTGGCAAGAGGCCTGGGCACTTTCATTTTTGAGGTTATGTGGCCCCCCATGCTTACCCGCTGCCCCCATCCCTCGCCCACTCCCTCCAGCAATGCCTGGAGACACAGCAGATGCCTATACCTTCCTGTCTCTCCCTAACCCTAGACTGGAGGGTGGGGGGTTCCTGTCTTCAGTGACTGCACTCTTTGAAGATCAACAGAAATAGAAGGCACTGCTACTACTGGGCTGCAGTTTTTCTTGGCCTTCTCTGAGGGAGGTCAGCACAGGAACACACTGCCACTGCTCAGGGAACAAGTGGCAGGCTGGTGGGGGAGTGGGGAGCAGGGGGCCAGGGGACATTATTGTTTTATTTTAAAAATACTTATAGCAGACATAAAAACTGATGAGAGCTGTCAATGTGGAAAGGATAGACACTGTTGTTTCTTAAGTTTTTTGTACTGCTCTGCAGTTTTCAAATTTCTCAAAAAATAAAAGCAGAAGAGCAAAAATGACCTTGCTAGCTTATTAAGAAAACAAAATATCAATGCAGAGCTTTCTTAAGGCAGAGATTTAAAATGCAGTCAGAAGAAAAGGTCAGGAAATTACGAGTGACTGTCCCCACACAACCATTCCCTTTGGCCCTGGTGCCTGGCTGTACCATCACAAATTACCCTGACCGTGAAAAACGTGTGCCTTAGAATGTCCGTGAAGCTGCTGAGCTGCAGCTGCTATGGGAATGCATCCCCCCGCAAACTTTAAATTTTACAGAAATAGATATGTCGAGGCAGAAGAGATGTACTGCTCCCATCGGATAACCCGGCAGCGCATCCTCACTGACTCAATGCCATTGCTTCCTCTGGGATGTTGCCTCAGCTCTCCGAGGAAAGCATTCTTGCTGCTTAGTCTAAATTTCCCACCTAAATGTTATTTCATTTGTCCCTCAATGACTGAACTTCAATATGTCTCTGCCTGCCTTCTGCTTCTTCAAGGCTGACCACAGGGCTGGATGCCTGCACAGCTGCTGCTTGGAGTTGACATGCTTTACAATCCTAGCAAGTTTTTGCTCTTTTCTGTTTCCAGCTAACCCATATTCCCCAAATCAGGAGGCATAATGGGAAATTCCAAGTCACTGGTAATAAAGCAACTACCAGGATACAGCAATGACAAGAGAAGCTAGACAAAAACTTCCAACAGCACGAGGCTGGCTCTGGGCATCGGGGGAGGCCCTGGTTACCTTCTTCTTGATGCCATCTTGAATGACAGTGGTCCGATACAATCGCAAGAGACCTTCCTCAGACAGGTTCCGCACCAAGCGGACAATGGACTTCTTGCAGCACTTGGTGGACACGCCTTCCTGCTTCTCCTGATCCATGATCATCTTCTGAATCCTGGGCATCACAAAATAAGCAGATAACACTCCCAATCTCAACATGGAAGGCCTTCCTCAACCCAGGCAACACAGACATGCCTCACGGTACCCAATAGAAACAAGGAAGGATCAAACGGGGTTTCCCCACCCTGGAAAGACTGATTTCTTGAGACGTTAATGATTGTTTCCCTCTGTGGCAAATGTATCAGGTAAGGACAAGCCACCAAAGACAGCAGCTCCACAGCTGAGCCTTTCACCGGCAACTCAAGAGACTACGATTTGAGATCATGATGGCAGGGAAACTGGGCACCATGATAGAAACCTGTCTTCACCAAGTCGAATGCTAATCTAACACCCAGATAAGGGCTGCTCTGGTTTATCACTAGCCCCTAAGATCTGAAGTGCATTTTGTCTTCTCTCTGGATACATCTTCCTCTAGGTCTTACTGAGTCACTATGGTGATCTTTCCAGATCACTGATCATAGAATGCAGGGCCAGTGGGCGTGGTGGCTCATGCCTATAATACCAGCACTTTGGGAAGCCGAGACAGGCAGATCACTTGAGGTCAGGAGTTCGAGACCAGCCTGGCCAACATGGTGAAACCCCGTCTCTACTAAAAATACAAAAATTAGCCAGGTGGGTGCCTGTAATCCCAGCTACTCAGGAGGCTGAGGCAGAAGAATTGTTTGAACCCAGGAGGCAGACGTTGCAGTGAGCCGAGATTGCATCATGCACTCTAGCCTGGGTGTCAGAGTGAGACTCCATCTCAAAAAAAAAAAAAGAAAAGAAAATAGAATACAGGGCCAAAAGGGACATTAGGAGCACCTAGCTCAACCTCTCATGGCTCAGAGGCGAACAAGGTGACAGTGTGTGCAGATGGTCCCTACCCCCTCCCATTCAGTCCTCGTTAGACACGGAGTATGAGGAAGAAGCCATGTCCCTGATGGAGGGTAAGGCTCCTCCTCACCGAGTGGCTCTCACATTGGGTGCCTCAGAAGCGTTGAAGATGCCACCCAGGAGGTGGTGGTGATGGGAGCTTACAAGAACCACATCAGAGTTCAGAGCCTCTACTCCATCCCAAACAGAGAAGCTCTACTTGTGTCTCTTGTTTTTTCTCCTCTAGAAGACTCTATTTGCGCAAAATGCACCACGGAGAACTAAAAGTCTGGAAGTAATGCTACTACTCGCTTAAGTGTCTCCATAGCCCTTCTGAAGCAACCATCTTCCAGGTAAGGAAAAGCTGAACGCACTTTCCCTGTGACTTCTGCTTCCTGCTCAGTCATTTTCTCTCTGTCTAGCATGCTGATGTTCCTCAGTATCTGCTCCTTTTGAGGAGGAGATACTCCTCCATCCCTTTAGATGGTAGGGAGGACCATCTAAATCCTCCCTACCGCAAAGGAACGAGATGAGAATCTACACAGTGGGACAGAGATTTGAATGCCCCTCAGTGGTGTCCATGGCTTGTGATGACCAACTGGTAGGAGGATTACTGTTAGTGCCAGCAGACAGACAGACAGACAGACAGCTCCTTACGTGAATAAACTCTCGATTAAGCGAAGATTGGTGACAGCTTCTATGATCAGATTCCTGCGTTTCAGCAGTCGGTAAGTTTCGTGTGGTTTGTCTTGGCCTGAGCTGTGCCTCCCAGTCTTCAGGGAACTGCTACTCTCCTAGAACAGAGACCGAAAGCACAAGATGCAATGGGCTCGGCAAGGCTTGGGGGCCACGCACCACACCTGTGGGTGCACTGGCCCTCTTCAAGAAACTTCTACTCCCATCTTTCAAGAAGGGAAGCCAAGAAGCCTGTTCTCCTACACAGAATCCCACTACTCTACCATCTCAATGCTTTGAAAATCAAAGACATTGGCCAGCAGAGGACCCCGGACCACTTTATGAGGATCAGCTGGTTTCAGGACAGAAATCAGAGGCATCTACTCCAGCAACTCCTGAAAAGGTGGAAGGCGTTCCCTCAATTCCCCCTTGGTTCTCCCATACAGGAATGGAAGAAACTGATGTACAGACAATTACATGCCAAGTATTGTTGGGCTTTTTTCTTCAAAAACTCTTAACACTTTTATCATCATAGTTCCCATTTTACAGAAGAAGAAACCAGGGCTCTGTGTGGCTAACTCTCCAGTGTCTCATGGGGAGTGAACGTGCCAGGATGGGGCCTCTGACTCCAGACGGAAGAAACCAGGGAAGTCTCTGGGCAAAAAGTGACATGAGGTAGAGCGGGGCTCTTGAGTTCAGAACAGGTTTCCTCGAGGAAAATTAGGATGAGTGGATCTGTGCTTCCTCTTCTATCCCCGCTAAATTGTCTGCTTCTCTTGTAATGTCTTTCTCTCTTAATGAGCTTAAAATGAACCTGTTTCACCCAACACTGGATCAAAATGTGAAAGCCCAAATGTGAACCCTATATGGAAAAGAAATCCTAACTCTAATACACATCTTGTGAATCACTGGACCCAAGTCAATGCCTTATGGTAGCCCCAGGGCATGTTCTGCTTGCCACCTCCCAGCTGGGAGTAGCACTTTCAGGAAATGAGAAAGTGCCCAAGGAGGTCACTCGGTGATGGTGTCTGAACGGCCAGGCCCCAGCCCACTTCCCTGCCCACTGTGGGAGCTCCGGGCAAGACACAGTTCTTTGCTGAAGGGGGAAAGAATCAAAGATTCAAGAAGAGTCCCAAGAGGGGCAGAAAGTCTTTCGTTCACCTTCGTGCTTCAGGGTGAAAAGTTTGGGGGAAAACCACGTGAGTGAATCTAGCCAGTTTCCATGGGGCTGCTGGACAGCAAAGGCAACATGCTCTGCCAAGAGCCTCCCTGCAAACAGTTGGTGCCATTCTTCTCAGCAAGGATGCGGGGAGGACCATGGTGCTGCCATTACTCTGGGAATGGACTTCCATCAGAGAGAGGAAGAGCTGAACTGGAAACAAGTCAGGGACTTTAAGACCTGGTGGGAATGCACAGAGGTGCAAAGGGGATGGCAGAGGGAGGAAGGCAGGCGGGACTCCAGGGGAGCTGCTGGGCTCCACTGCTGGAAGGCCCGGCCTCTCTGGTTAGAAACAATGCCAATCCTGACTCCATAGAGAGTTGTGGCATCCAATAAATAGAAAAGGCCTGAAAGAGTCTAGAAAAAAATCAACGCCACGCCCCATCACCTCTGCCATAGGAACACTTCCAAAGCACAAAAAGGGAGAAGCGGCGTAGGGTAGGGACTGCACAGGCAAGTTACTCCATCCTAGGGGCCTCGCTTTCTTCTCACAGACCAAAGCTCACATTGACCTTACAGGGCTGAATGAAACAGCAGTGGCCAGGCGCAGTGGCTCACGCCTGGAATCCCAGCACTTTGGGAGGCTAAGGCGGGAGGATCACTTGAGCCCAGGAGTTTGAGACCAGCCTGGGCAACATGATGAAACCATCTCTACAAAAAAATACAAAAATTAGCCAGGCGCAGTGGCATATGCTTGCAGAAGAGGAAACCTGCAGTCCCAGCTACTCAGGAGGCTGAAGCAGGAGGATCACTTGAGCTCAGGAGGCAGAGGCTGCAGTGAGCCGAGCTCGTACCACTGCACTCCATCCTGGGCACCACAGCAAGACTCTTTCTCAAAAAAATTAATTAATTAAAAAAATACATAAAGAAACAGCAGCAACACCATCAAAAGCCACCCGAGACCATGCATCTACTCCGTGCTAGGTGCCTCGTTCTCTACTCAGTGTTTCCAAAATACAGGGGGTGGCACTGGCAGTGTCTGGGGTACTGTTATGTCACAAGTGTTGACATGGTATTAGGTGAACCGAATCACATAATGGGAAAGACATTCCTTATCAACTGTCTTTTAATCCTTCCAATTATATTGACGAAAGTACTGGTTTGACTTCACTGTGTCTTTAACTCCTTGATATATAACAGTAACTGGCTGGAATGTACTAATACAGTTTTGACTTTATTGTATCTATTCTATGATTACTTTCTTTTTTATGACAAATGATATTGGCCATTTATCTAAAGCAGAGTTTCTCCACCTTGCCAGTGCTGACATTTGGGCCAGGAAATTCTCTGCTGTGAAGCACTGTCCTGTGTATTGTAGGATGTTTAACAGCATTCTAACCTCTCCCTATTGGATGCCAGTAGCAGCCCCTCCCTAAGTGTGGCACTGAGAACTGTCTCCAGATATTGCGAAATGTCTCCTATGGGTAAATGCCAATCCTGACTCCATAGAGAGTTGTGGCATCCAATGAACAGAAAAGGGGTAAAACTGGGTAAGAACCATTGATCTAAATTAGGCATACAGGTTTCCCTCTAAAATAAATCTAACTGAAAAGAATAAGCTGTTGGAAATGAATAAGCCACTGGGTGGATAACCATGCAGACAATCTCTGCGTAGGGCCCAGGCTGCGTGAAAGTGGTGTGTAGATAAGCACAGAGCTACTGCCTGGGAAGCACAGGCAGGCCTCGGCACGCAGCACTCTCGCTGTGGATGATTCCACTGTGATCATGTGATTCCTAAACACAGAAACGATGAGGCCACAGACTCCTTCTTGGAGACAGCTCCCTCCCTCTGCATGCACTGACCTTTGGGTTTTCCATCCGGACCTCCTCGATCACAGCTATGTCACCACTGTTGCTGTCCGCACAGTGGGAGACAAAGGACACGTTGGGTTCTGAGACGCTGCTGGTATCTAAGAGGCTGTCCCTGCTGGCAAGGCTCTGGCAGGCTCTCTCTTCAGCAGCTCCTGGGAAGGAGGGCGGCTGCTTTTTCAATGGGTGTAGGTTTACAACTTTCCACCCACCTGTGGTGGAGGGAAGAGATAGAACAAATCAAGGGGGAGGCCAGGAGGGCATTCATGTTTGGCAATCAGACCAGACCCACACAGGCCAAAGGATTCTGCTGAGAGTCAGTTGAAAGGTGAGGGAAGTGGACCAGCAGCAGCTTGGGCCCCTCCTTCTGGCCTCTCATCGGCAGCAGGGTTTCTCCACTTGGCCAGTGCTGATGTCTGGGCTGGGTAATTCTCTGCTGTCAGGGGCTGTCCTGTGTATTGCAGGATGTTAAACAGCATCCTGGCCTCTACCTACAAAATGCCAGTAAGAGTCCCTCCCTAAGCTGGACATTTAACGATGTCCCCAGGGGGCTCAGAGCTGGGTACCAGATTTGCAAATGTGTCATCAGCACCACTCTCTATGCATTTAAAAAAAGTTTTCTATAACTAAACTAAAAACTTGGAGGAGTCTTAGACTGTTGGAAGGGAAGGGGCAGAGGAAGCTTATGAAATTCCATCCTTTAATAGTAAAAACAAGCAAACAAAACACGTGCCACGAAGAAATGATTTGCAAGCAGCCAGGAGATACCACAGGACCCTCTCCTCCAAACCCATGATGATGTGGTACAAGTGACAGTGTCAGGCCTCTCATTAGGATGGCACCAAGGGCAACCGCAGGTGTTTGCTGAACTGAAGGGGTGTTTCTTGCAGGTGCCCAGCAGTGCAGTGCACGCAGCCCCTGCCCACCCCACGTGCTCCCTACCCTTGGTTGGGGTGGAGTGATGAGGCTGGGTCTTGGGCCGGAGGTTTGCAGAGGCTCTTGTGTCTTTCTGGGACCCTCTGCCTCTCCGCTTGCTGCTGCTCCTCTCCTCCTCACTGTCCGACTCAGAGAGGAAGGTGTCCTCGCCTTCAGGCAGAAGCGACTCCTCCTGCATAGACGCCAGGCTCACGGTGGTCAAGAGCTCGCTGCGGGCCTTCTCTCTTTGGTACTGCCGGCTTAGGTCGCTCTCCTCTGCAAACACGCAGGAAATGTACTTGGTGGTTCGCTGCCGACCTTCGTCTTCCATGAATCCCTAGAGGGAATAAGATGTGTTTATCCCACTGCAAAGAGGGCGTCATACCCACAGGGGTTCAGGTGGTCTGTGGCATCTATTTCCTTATTGGCTTTCTTCTGTTTCTCCTGTCTTACTGCCTGGGCCCTGGGTTGGGCACCACTGATGCTCCCTCCAGGCTCTTCCTCTCTGTAATCCCCCAGGTCTTCCTTCCACAGAGATCCTTCTCTGAAGTACAACCCTGAATGTGTGTCTGCTCTATGAGGCTATGAGCTTCTCAGGGACAGGGCTCTGACTTAACCTTCCATATAGCCCCAGTGGCTGGGACAGGACGTGGCCCACACAAAATGGACAGTACGCAGCAAGCATTTGTGATGCAGACTGAAAAGTTAGACTGTGGAACGCAAGCTCCACTTAGCCACTGCCATGAGGATTTGTCGACTGGGCATCAGTGATCCACACCCATTTTAACGTCTAGAACAGGGCAAGGGGCTCTTCCCAGGGCCTTTGATAGGAAAAGAGTAACATCTAGGTACTATCACATGCCAGGGATGGGGCTAAGTGTGCTGCAGTCACTCACCCAACTATAATACTGCCTTCCAGCCAGATGACCAGATCGTGAGCAAGATGAGAGTGGCATGTCAGGGGCTGAGACCACAGGTCTGAATTACAAAAGAGTGCCAGACAGGCATAGCTGGCCAACTCGATGTCCCCAGGTGCCAGGCAAGTAACATGCATAAGAAGGAGGGCCAAGTGGGGATGGTGGAACCCTGGAGAGCACTGCTTTGTCTGAAGCACGTGGACAGAGAGTGGCCAGCCCCAGCTGACTGTCCCCATGTGGGAGTAGGCTCCCGGGGTGGCCACATCACCTTCTGACTACTTTTTCTTTTTGAGATGGAGTTTCACTCTTGTTGCCCAGGTTGGAGCGCAGTGGCGCCATCTCGGCTCACTGCAACCTCTGCCTCCTGGGTTCAAGCAATTCTCCTGCCTCAGCCTCCTGAGTAGCTAGGATTACAGGCATGCAACACCACGCCTGGCTAATTTTTTGTACTTTTAGTAGAGATAGGGTTTCACCATGTTGGCCAGGCTGGTCTTGAACTTCTGATGTCAGGTGATCCCCCTACCTCAGCCTCCCAAAGTGTTGGGATTACAGGTGTGGGCCACCATGCCTGGCACTTTTCAAAGCTGACAAGTCATTCAATTCTTAAAAAGTGAAGACAAACAGAAACTACAGTGAAGGCGAGACATAACATGGCTATGGACTGCACTCAGCCCTGGGGAGGCCATTTGCCTCCTTGACACAGATGTCAGGCCATCGAGTCTTCTGACTGAGATGCTCGTTCTCAAATACACTGCAAGCACCTCCAAAGACAACGAGTGTTGGGGGAAGGCTCATGATGTTACCTTGACAACTTTGAATCTTTGAAGAAGTCGGCACAGCATTCTTGCTTCTAGTTTTCCCACATTCATAGCCACTCGGATTTCAGCTTGGGAAATTCCTTTCGTGCCTCTGCGCTCAACTGTGAGAAACAATACACGTGAACCCAAACCGCTGCAAAGGAGCTGTTCTGCACAAGTCAGTTTCCAGCCCACTTTTTCAGCAGACATTTTGATGCTGTGAAATTAACAGACAGAACAAAACATACGCCATTTCTCTCCCTTATCCTCCCAAGCGTGCTTCCCTCCCAAGCCTCTGAGTAATATACTATACTAGGCTAGTAATACTAACAGCTAATGTTTGAATGCTTACTATCTCATGGCCCCACGTTAAAACACTAAATGTCAGGTGATCAACAGCTGAAATACTAAAATGCAAGAACCCAATAGGTTTTACCCAACGGCAGGAAATTAGCCCTTTCGCATGAATGAACTGTTTCAGATCAATGAAATTGACCTCTTTAAGAAGCATCAAAATAATTTTTAATTCAGAACTTTTCTTAATGTGTATTCTTCATTTCCCAGTATTTCTTGATAGACACAGAGGCATTGTGGACACTGACTACTGCACTGTCCCATAAGAGTCGTGCAAGCGAGGACTTTGAAAGGAAATGGTATTCCTCAGCCCTGGAGTAAATGACTCGCAGACCACTGGCCCCCGCTGTTGCTGTGTGTAGCTTGTCTACTCCTGGGCTGTCACAAGCTGGTGTATGTCAGGATTGTGAGTATATCTGCCGCTCAGAGGCCCTTTAAATGCATCCTACTAAGCTGGAACTAAGAACTCCAGGAAGGAGTCGGCTTAGGAACTGGGAGGTGGGCAGGGAGTCCCAGCAGTAAAGCACATGAGCCGCAAGGCAGACTTGGTTGCAAAGCTCTTTGACTTTTCAGAAGTATCTTCCTCTTGGCCGGGTGCAGTGCCTCACTCCTGTAATCCCAGCACTTTGGGAGGCTGAGGCGGGCGGATCACGAGGTCAGGAGATCGAGACCATCCTGGCTAACACAGTGAAACCCCATCTCTACTAAAAATACAAAAAAATTAGCCGGGTGTGGTGGCGGGCGCCTGTAGTCCCAGCTACTCAGGAGGCTGAGGCAGGAGAATGGCGTGAACTTGGGAGGCGGAGCTTGCAGTGAGCCGAGATCACGCCACTGCACTCCAGCCTGGGCGACAGAGTGAGACTCCGTCTCAAAAAAAAAAAAAAAAAAAAAAGAAGTATCTTCCTCTTTATTTCCTGATGCATCCAAAGGCTTGAGGCTGCCTAGTAAAATCAGTCTGAATAAAGGAGGTTTTGCTATGTTGTACACGCATAAAAATAAGCAGCAGAATGAAGAAAGATGACTAGGATGTGTTCCTATACTGATCTAGCAACACGCTAAAAAGTAGGGATGAAAGGGCTAACCAGGTGTGGTGGCTCACACCTGTAATCCCAGCACTTTGGGAGGCCGAGGTGGGTGGATCACCTGAGGTTAGGAGTTCGAGACCCACCTGACCAGCATGATGAAACCTTGTCTCTACTAAAGAAATAGAAAATTAGTCCGGACGCTGTGGCTCACGCCTGTAATCCCAGCACTTTAGGAGGCCGAGGCAGGTGGATCACGAGGTCAAGAGATCGAGACCATCCTGGCTAACACGGTGAAACCCCGTCTCTACTAAAAATACAAAAAAATTAGTGGGGCATGGTGATGGGCGCCTGTAGTCCCAAGTACTCGGGAGGCTGAGGCAGGAGAATGGCGTGAACCCAGGAGGCGGAGCTTGCAGTGAGCCAAGATCGCACCACTGCACTCGAGCATGGGCGACACAGCGAGACTCCATCTCAAAAAAAAAAAGAAATACAAAATTAGCCGGGCACAGTGGTACATGCCTGTGATCCCAGCTACTTGGGAGGCTGAGGCAGGAGAATCACTTGAACTTGGGAGGCGGAGGCTGCAGTGAACTGAGATACCACTGCACTCCAGCCTGGGCGACACAGTCAAACTCCGTCTCAAAAAAGAAAAAAGAAAGGGTTAAGGGCAGCATTTCCCCAGCTGTGTTGTGTGGAACCCATTCTGAGGGACGTCAAGGGAGCTACCAAACAGCCCTCCAGAAAGGTTGGGCCGACCCAACAGCTCAATCAGATCCCTTGCAGCCACTTCACCTTCTGCTCTGTCCTCCTCCCTGCAGGAACCTGAGGCCACACCGCCTGTGACACTAGGCCACTGATGTCCCACACAGAAGTTAGGGGACCTGGGGGAAGGGTTAGGAATGGGAGAGAATGTTTTCTTTGCCCATTCATCATAAATTCCGGGCCTGTGGTAACTCCAGACCAATCTTAGAAAACAACAGGTAGCTCTTGAACCTTTGAATAATAATAGTAATAGCTTTCTTCTTCTCAGTGCTTTCTATGCACCAGGCCCTATAGCAGCTCTTTTAATTTGATGTCATTTATCCTCATAATGTGCTAGTGTGGATACTTTCACCACGTGATGGTTAACCTTAGGTGTCAATGGGACTGGATTAAGGGATACCCAGATCACTGGTCAGGTTTTATCTCTGGGTGTGTCTGTGATGGTGTTTCTGAAGGAGATTGGTGTGTAGCTCAGTGGACTAAGTGGGACAGATCTGCCCTCCATGCAGGCAGGCACCATCCAATCAGCCAGGGGCCCAGACAGAACAAGAAGCCAGAGGAAGGCGAACTTGCCCTCTCTCTCTTCTGGAGCTGCAGCCCCCTCTTCTGCTGCTCTTGGCCATCAGAACTCCAGGCTCTCCAGCCTTAGGTAACTGGGACCTGCCCCCACGGCTTCCCTAGTTCTGACGCTTCCCTGGGCCTCCAGCTCGCAGACGAGCTAGTGCGACTTCTCAGCATTCATAATTGCATGAGCCAATTACCTTAATAAGCTCCCTCTTATATATCTATGTTTATTTTTCCTACTGATTCTGTGTCTCTGGAGAACTCTAAGATGCCTGCTTTACAGATGAGGAAATGGGACTCAGAGACCTCATTAAAATCATATGGCTAAGTGGCAGAGCAAGGATTCAAACTCCAATCTGACCTTGAAGCCTAAACCCTTCTGGGGAACCAAGGCACTTCCCATTGTATTACATTCTCTATAGCAGAGCTCTCTCTCGACATGTGGGCAAAGCGCTTCTTGACTCAAATTCTCGGGATCCATATCCAAGCTGGCATGGGAACAAGACTTACTGAGGTCGTAGGTCTGTGTGAGCATATCCCGCTCGAACACAATGTCCACTGGAGGCACTGTCTTGGAGATGACCTCCTCGTCCTCGTCATCATCATGGTCATTCCGTTTAAATTCCTTCAGCAGCTTGAGGCACCGAACCATGACGTCGGTCCCTGGCAACACAAGCACGGGTTTGCCAGCAATGAGTGAAAGCAGTGCTGCGTGGGGGAGGTGAGGGGTTCTGAAATATCACAGCACATGTCAGCAGAGACAGAGATCCCCACAAAGGTCACACATATCACCGTGTCTGGACTTTTAAAAATGGCTCATCTTGGGCCACAAGACCTGAAAATGTATTCCATAAAGCTGCTTTTTGTTTTTAGAAGAATGAGTGAAGAAAGCAATGCAAATGGAAGGAATAACGAGGTGCTATTAGTCCTGTTAAATCAATAGTCAGTCACCTTCTCCTGCTGGAGACCAGCTCCATGACAACAGGAGACGCGCCTGTCTCTTCCTGTTCCCTTCCCAGCACCCAGGACACGGCCCACACTCAGGAGGCACGCGAGCAGTATTTGCCAAAAGGATGAAAAGCATCTTTTTCCTTTTAAGCTAATACTCACTGCCAATAAGGTGTGGCAGCAGTGTAAACGAGCTGTATAACCCTTCTAGAGCATTTCAAGGGGATTTTATAATGATTCCAAGTGTAAATATTTATTCCAAGAAAACAACTCAAAAAGAGGCAAAGCCTATCAGTACTAATAGATCTACTACAGCACTCTTTATAGCATCAGAGCGATCTTATGCATACTACAAAAAAACCAGCAATGGGGGTGGAGGGGTGGCATACCTACCAGCCATCTCACTTTCTGTGGACTAGTGTGTGCATTCAAATCATCACACTGTGTGATGCATCTATATTGCAACCTACAAAAGTAAAACATGCGAAAAAAATAACAAACTTGTGCCTACGGCTATAACGAGAGAAAGATATACGTATATGTAGGTAAGAACTAGAAAAGGTACAAGGAAAAATGGGGACTTCTTGATACTTGACATGAGCTACTCATTTGGTTCCAACAACCCTCGGATGAAGATGCTAGGGAACCAGAGGGGTTGAATAACTTGTCCAAGCTCCTGACAGCTTGTAAGTGACGGGAAAAATGACTCAGTCACGGTCATAGGTCTCCAACATGAACACCAAGATATCCTGTGATACGCGACAACCTGGAGCGGGACAACCACCCTGTAAAGATGTTCACGTCTTCATCCCCAAAACATGTGAACATGTTGCCTTCCATGGCCAAAGGGACTTGGCAGAAGTGATTAAATTAAGGCATTGTGGATTTTTGAGGGTCACTGTTGCCAGGGTGAAGTTAAGAATTTTGAGGTAAGATTATCCTCGATTATCTGGGTGGGCTCAATGTAGTATCACAGAGTCCTTAGGCTGGGCATGGTGGCTCACATCTGTAATCTCAGCACTTTGGGAGGCCAAAGCGGGGAGGATCACTTGAGCCCAGGAGTTTGACACCAGCCTTGGCAGCACAGCAAGACCCAACTCTACAAAAAATGTTTAAAATCGGCCAGGTGTGGTAACATGTGCCTGTAGTCCCAGCTACTCAGGAGGCTGAAGTGAGAGGATTGCTTGAGCCTGGGAGGTCGAGGTTGCAGTGAGCCAAGCTCGCACCACTGCACTCCAGCCTAGGTGACAGAGTGAGACCCTGTCTCAAAATAAAACACTGAACAACAACAACAAAAAGTCGTTAAAAGAGAGGCAGTAGGATCAGCGTGAGAGACTGGAAGATGCTACACTGTTAGATCTGAAGACAGAGGAAGGGACCACAACCCAGGGAATGCAGGTGCCTCCTAGAAACCAAAAAAGGCCAGGGAATGAATTCTCTTCTAAAGCCTCCGGAAGGAACACTGCCCCGCAAACATCTTGATTTTACCCCAGCGAAAGCCATTTCAGATAGCAATAAATCTGTGTGGTTTGAAGTCACTAGGTTGGTGGTAATTTGTTACAGTAGTCATAAGAATAACAGGGACAGCTTCTCCACCAGCTTTCATCAGCACATCGATGCACAGAATCCTGGGTGCTACGGCAAGGAGTGGGCACTGACGCTGGCCCTGGAGCCCAGCCCTCTAGTACAGAACCCTGCCCGTGAAGTGTGAAATGCCATCCCCAACAGCACAGAAGACTGAGGTCCGAGGAAAGTCAGGCCCAACCACCTCCACTCAAGCAGGAGGTTCTTTTGGGGGCAGAGCATGTGGCTTGCAGTTGAAGTTCACAAATAAGCATCTCAGGGCCTGGAACTCAGGAGATGCCTGGAACTCAACAGACCTCTGGAGACACTCTAACGGGGGCCAGCCTAGGGCAAGAGGCCAGCAGAAGTGGTCCCCAGGCACCAACCTTGTGTTGACCCCTCCACTCCTCACAGCATCAGAAAGTCCCCCAGGGCATGGCTTTTCATTAGAGGCAATCTAAGGCCCCGGCGCAAGCCTGAAGACTCTGCTTCTGCTGGCTCCCCGCCGGGGCTCCTGCCGTCCCTCTTGGCTCTGCCCTGTGCTCCAGGCCCCTGCCCTGCCCTCTCCTGCAATCCCTCTCTTTCAGAATGGGAGGCTTAAGCAATCAGGAGGGGAAGTATGGGGACAAGGAGACTTTCGGGACTGTGGACATGAGCAAGAACTATCTGAAGGCTCGGGCACTGGGACAGGGTCACAGTGCCAGGCTCCCTTTCTACAAGCAGCACCTCTAGCAGCTGGTGGTCAACACACCCAGCACACAGGAAGACCAGACCACCATGCCATTCCCCCCTAGACTGTCCTCTAGACAAGCCCCTCCCAACCCCCATCCTACCATGCTGCTCACATGAGCAACCTATGGCTCCTAATAACACTACGACCATTTATCCATTACTATATCCTGGATGCTGTCCTAGGCTCCCCGTGTACCCTATGAACTGACCCTCACCATGGCCTGAGGAGGTAAGGGTGATCATTCCAGTCCCACATGAGAACACTAAGGAGCCAAGGAATTCACACAAACAAATGCCCCTTTGCTAGTGAGAAGGTGGCATTTACCAGGCAGTCTGGCTCTGGAGCCCAGGCTCTAAACCTTTGGTTTAGACGCCCCTGATTCAAAACGTCCCTGTGACTGAGAATAGAAGAGCGGCGCGGCGCCAGGGACGCTGGCTTCTGCCTGAGCAGCAGCACGACACAGCACTTGGGGGAGTCAGACCTGAGGCGCCCTCAGCCAGTGGCCCAGCGCTATTTCTTCTCCTTTTAAGCTTCCTTAAGAGGCTAATTGGCTAGGAAAAGATACACAGGACAGCTCTCAAAATAAACACGGGTGGAAGGCAAGAAACGGTACTAGTAAACTCATGACTCAGTGGGCAAAAAAGAGAAAAAGCCTCATAGTCTTCAAAGCTTCTGATCTTGGCTGGGAGCAGTGGCTCATGCCTGTAATCCCAGCACTTTGGGAGGCCGAGGTGGGCAGATCATTTGAGGTCAGGAGTTTGAGACCAGCCTGGGCAACAGAGCAAGACTTCATTTCCATAACAAATACAAAAAATTAGCTATAGGCGTTGGAGGTGTGCATCTGTAGTCCCAGCTACTCGGAAGGCTGAAGCAGGAGGATTGCTTGAGCCCAGGAGTTTGAGGTTGCAGTGAGCTATGATCACACCACTGCACTCCAGCCTGGGCAAGAGTGAGACTCTGTTTCAAACAAAACAAAACACAACAAAAAAAAAAAACAAAAAAAACCCTTCTTCTCCCCACCAAGTTGGTTCACCGTCCTCACCTCTCTACTAGTGGAGCAACTGACATCCATTCCATCACAGCCTCCAACAAATGGCACAACTACCTCCTGAATAAACGTTTGGAGGGAAGGTAGGGATGAACTTGGGCTCCAGAGCCAGGCAGAGAAGTGTTTCCATCTCAAGTTCCATAGCTCCCCATGTCTGTGACTTTGGGGAAATTACCAAGTATGACTCTTTGTTTTCCGATCTGCAAAATGGGATGACAGTGTTCTCTGTCTCACGGGGTTAATGTTAGCATGGCTGAGACAGCATCTGTACAGAGGCTGGCATGGAGCAATCCCTCAACATGACCACCCAGCACTTGCTGGGAGCCAGGCACCATGCCAAGGGCGGTACATGAATTAACCCATAAAATCCCACAACCCCAAGGCAGGCAGGCCCCTGTAAGCTCCATTTCACAGATGCGGAAGCTAAGGCACTTGCTCAAAGTGATGGCGCTATGTAGTGGCAGAGCTAGGATGTCAGTGAGCCCAGGCTGCCAGCCTGCAGTGGATGCACTTGGCCAGTAGGGGAGTTATTCTGAACAGTACCACCAGCACCTAGCACAGGGGAGAGGCATTACAAACATCAGTGGCATTCAAGGTGGCGGGCCCCCCCTTATTGTGAGATAAGCCCCAAAGCTGCCCTCTGGTCACGATGGCTTGACTCCTAGAGACTCGTGCGAAGGCGCCCCCCTGCTCTGGTTCTCAGCATGAGGCTCAGTTGTTGGCCATGGAGGCTGAGGGCGATGCCAGAGGACTATGAGCTGTTCTGTGCAACAGAACAATAGGCATCATCAGCCCCAGGACCCACAAGGCACCCATGACCCAGAGTGGGTGCTGTGGGTGGGCCACAGCTGAAACTGGGCCCAGCGTGAGGCGGCTGTGCTTCCAGGCCTGGAGTGACTCTCCGGATATTTTGGCCATGGGATCTGCGGCTCTGCCTGCCCCACAGGGCATAGCTGATTTATCTGCTGTGAATCCCAACTGCTCTGACTCTCTTCTGTATCCGCCCGGCAAATAAGCCCTGTTTTATTTACCCAAGCTGTGTCTGGCTCTGCTCTTTCACAACATGCCAATCACAGACACATTTTCCTTTCCCCATGCCATCACATATATACATATATATTTTTCTTTTGAGACAAAGTCTCGCTTTGTCGTCCAGCCTGGAGTGTAGCAGCACAATCACTGCAGCCTCGAACTCCAGGGCTCACACGGTCCTCCCACCTCACCTCCGAGTAGCTGGGACTACAGACATACACCACCATGCTCGGATCTTTTTTTTATTTGTTGTAGAGACGGGATCTTGCTATGTCACCTAGGCTGGTCTAGAACTTCTGGCCTCAAGTGACATTCTTACCCTGGCCTCCCAAAGTAGAGGGTTATAGTCATGGGTCACCGAGCTAAGCCTGGTGCACATCTTTCCTTTGGAAAACCTTGTGCTGGAGAGGCAGCCCAGCACTGTGGTAGGGAAGCCAGACTCTCTGCCACAGAGCTGGCTGTGAGCCCTGCTGCTGTGTCGGGTGGGCCTGGACAAGGTGGCTGACCTCCCTCAGCCTCAAGTGTCTTGCCTGAAAACTAGGGCTGGTGACAGTGTTTAGCCTTGTGGGGAGAACGGTAAGAGATTAGGCAGGTAAACGACGGAACAGTGTAGTGTGTGCCTTGTGATTCCAAGGGACCATCTGGAAGGAGTTCCACCAGCCCTGTGTGCCTTTCCCACAGTTCTAGAGTTTTACCAGGCTCAGAATTTCAGTTTTTATTATTAAAATCCCTCTGGCTCCTATTTGCCTTTTTGAAGGTGCCTGTTCCAGACTACAAGTCAGCTAAAGCCAAAAGCCACAGGGGCAGAGCAAGACCCGAATAAGCGCACGTCATCCAGGGTGAGCGAGGCCTACTGCCCCATTTAAGCTGCCACCTCAGTGACCAGCAATTCCCCTGGGAGGAACTGGGGACTTGGCTAATGGCAACCCCTGGTCCCTGGACACAGGGCTTTCTTCCCAGGAACAAAAGGCAGGTGAGATACAACCAGCACCCGCTCACAGGCACGAGGAGTTTCAGGCATTTTAAAGACATGGCATGCTAATATTAGCAGTCCAACACAAAGGAATCACATAGATCTTTTGTGTCCAGGATCCAAGATGGACTTCATTCAGACATTCTGAAGACCCAGAAGAGAAAAAGAGAAGGAGTGACTCCTTAAGGAGCACCTAGTATGAGCCAGCCATTGTGTTCGGTGTTTTCGGAAGTGATTTTACTTACTCATCACGTGGCTTCTGCAAGTTATTATTGCCATTTTAAGAAAAAGAAAACTGACACTCAGAGTGGTCATGTGATCTAACCGATGCCTTCCACACTAGGCCACCTGGCTAGGCTAGAATTTCAAATTTCCATCAGAAGCACGATTCATAGTAAAGGAAAAACCAGAGTAGCTGTGAGGCGGAACCAAGAGTCTGTGTTTCTCCCATTCCCAGTGAAAAATCCATCTGGCTTCCTGGCAAAATGGCGCTCTCAACTGTGATCAACCCAGGAAAGAAAAGCAAGTTGGGAACAAACGAACCCCACGGCAGCTTTCCTCTTTAAGGGTCACAAGCAATGGGAAAGTCCTACTGGTAAGCCAGGCAGACGTCATGTAAATTCAGTGTTACCTCCCCACCACCCCCGCCCAAGACACACACACACACACACACATGCCTGGCCAGAGGCTGAAAGCACAGAATTCAGGGAACACTGAATGACGGAGGTGGGGTTGCTGCAGCACACACCCCAGGGCAATGGTGGTACAGGTTATATTATGGGCTCTGGAGTCAGTCTGTCTGGTGTTAGCTTGCCTCCAGCAGCCTTTGCTGGTTGTATAACTTGGCTATGTAATATGGCCTCTAGGCCTGTTTCCTCAGCTATAAAATAGGGACAATAATAGTATCTTCCTCATAGAGTCCTTAGGACAGCGCCTGGCATGGAGGTAGTGCTCTGTAGATGTTTGCTACTGCTTTTACAACTCTGATCGTTACTACAACCTTGGAAACACACAGCTTTGGAGGATCAAGTGTCATACCCAGTCACCTGGGCTGAAAATATCAGAGAGTGCTTGGGGCCTTTAATTCGATTTGATTCCACAACCATTTCTTCTGTGCTGGGCCCAGAACATGTACAGATGAAAGAGACAGGCTTCCTGCCCCTACAAAAGGTTGTGTGTGTGAGAGAGGCCGTCGGGCAGCATAGGAAGGACAATGTGCTCAGGCTTCACATGCCTGGGTTTGAATTCTGGCTCAGCCATGGGGAAGCTCCTTACCTCTCTGAGCCTCAAGTTCTTCATGGGTAAAATGAGGGTAATTCTAACAGCATGCCTAGAATAAGCTGGTAGTAAGGACTAAATTAATGAATGCATTCAAGGGCCCTAGCGTAACACTTGAGGCAAATTAGGCACTCAACGCATGCTCTCTGGTTGGCTGACTACTAGCAGACTAGCAGGGCCAGCCAGCCATGCTGGGAAATGTGCTATAACACCCTCAGGACCCCGCTTTAAGCACGCACAGAGTTTGGAAATGAGAAAGAGACAGGATGGGGCTAGGCAGGGGACAGCAGAGAGAGGAGGTGGCATTTGGGTGGGACAGTAAAGGATACTAAGAATTGTCTGATAAGGCAGAAGAAGACAGGTGTTCCAGGCAAAAGGAAGGGTATGAGCAAAGGCACTGAGGTGGAAAAGAAGGGGCCTACTGGGGAAGGGGAGGGGAGAGGGCAGGAATGAAGGTGAGGATACGGAGAAAGGTAGCTGTGGAAGGTTTCTATGCCAACCATAGCATATTTTCTTGTTTATTTTGTAGGCATGATGTTTGGGACTGAGTGGAAGCTATTTCTGCAGTGGACATGGAAGCTGGCTTGGAGGGAGGGAGGCCTGGAAGGGAGTCCAGATCTGCAGACCCTCAGGCCCCAGGGAGCTGTCCTAGGCTGGTTTTACCTTTAGCCAGTGTCCCAGCCAGGCTCAGGCCCCAAGCACTCACCTACCCAACTTCCACTTCCTCCTGAGTTCAGCCCAGTCTCACATGGGAGGCAGCAGAGTAAGTAACCGATCCTCTATTCAAATCCCTGCACCAGCACTGCCCAGCTCTGTGACCTTGGGCAAGGGACTTGTGCCTCTGTTTTCTCATCAGTGAAATAAAGAAAAAGAAAGAGGGCAAGAGAAAAGAGAAAAGCAAACAAAAGAAAAAAGAGAGAGAGACAGAAGGAAAGAA
Organism: Homo sapiens; assembly: GCF_000001405.40. Taxonomy (NCBI): domain Eukaryota; kingdom Metazoa; phylum Chordata; class Mammalia; order Primates; family Hominidae; genus Homo; species Homo sapiens. Next base: position 27,519,751 of record NC_000016.10, read on the forward strand.
AGGAAAGAGAGAGAAAGAAAGAAAATACTACTGACAGGATTGCATGCTTAGAAGGACTAGAATGAAAGAAACAAGGCTGGACATAGAGGCTCACGCCCATAATCCCAGCACTTTGGGAGGACAAGACAGGAGGATCACTTGAGCCCAAGAGTTCGCGACTGGCATGGACAACAAGCAAGATCCCGTCTCTACAAAAAAAACAATTTTTTAAAAAAATTAGCTGGTGTGGTGGCACACCCCTGTAGTCCCACTACTTGGGAGGGTAAGGTGGGAGGATTGCTCAGCCTGCGAGGCTAAGGCTGCAGTGAGCCATGATCACAGCACTGCACTCTGGCCTGGGTGAGACAGAGTGAGACCTTGTGTTTGGTTTGGTTTTGTTTTGTTGACATGGAGTCTCACTCTGTCACCCAGACTGGAGTGCAGTGGCGTGATCGGCTCACTGCAACCTCCACCTCCTGGGTTCAAGCGATTCTTCTGCCTCAGCTTCCTGAGTAGCTGGGATTACAGGCGTGCGCTAACACACCCGGCTAATTTTTGTATTTTTAGTAGAGATGGGGTTTCACCATGTTGGCCAAGCTGGTCTCCAACTCCTGACCTCAAATGATCCACCTGCCTCGACCTCCCAAAGTGCTGGGATTACAGGCATGAGCCACCATGCCCAGCCAGCCTTGCCTGGAATGTCATCTTGATGTTTTTTCTACTTCCCCCCACTCCAAGACTGACCACAAAATGGGATAACAATATGGCATCTCACCCAGTTCTTTCCTCTTTTTAGTGCCTCTAGACAAGCCCACAGGGTCTTAGGTTTTTCTCACTAATTGTACAAGGAAACAAGGGTACTGACAATAGTACATGTGGGGGTTTACAAGGGTTTAGAAAATTATATAAACGCTCTTGGTATACAGCTTCAGAGTCAATCACCTCCTTAAACCCTTGGGCTGAGTTAGTAGCTGACTTGAGGTCCCCAATGCTTTTTTTGTTGTTGTTGAGATGGAGTTTTGCTCTGTCGCCCAGGCTGGAGAACAGAGGTGTGATCTCAGCTCACTGCAACCTCCGCCTCCCAGTTCAAGCGATTCTCCTGCCTCAGCCTCCCAAGTAGCTGGGATTACAGGCACCTGCCACCATGCCCAACTAATTTTTGTATTTTTAGCAGAGATGGGGTTTCACCATGTTGGCCAGGCTGATCTTGAACTCCTGACCTCAAGTGATCCACCCACCTGGGCCTGCCAAAGTGTTGGGATTAGAGGCCTAAGCCACAGCGCCCAGCCTCCCCAATGCTCTTAAAGCGCGATCAATAGATGGGAAGGGCTGGTGTCAACTGTGCAGTGCTAACAGCAGCAGCGAACCTCTCTTGAGGGCTCTGAGCCAGGAGCTATTTAAGGAGGCCACATCCGTCACTGAGAAACATCCAGTCCCTGCACTGGCCCCATGGATACCTCCGCTGCCAGGCCCTCACCCTGTACGGTCATTTCCTGTGCTCACAAGTTCTGGCACTTGCCTTCGACTCTTCCTAGCGCAGGGAGCATTCCCTTCTCAGCCTGTAAAGGCATCAGCTAGCTACACCTTAGAGAGGTCTTGCGAGAAAATCTTAGGGCCTCTCCCTCAGCGTGTGGCCAGTCACCCACCCTGTTCCAGCCTGCTTCTCTTCCCCAGTCCTCACGCTCCTCCTACCTGTCCCCAGTGTGCTCTTCTGAGAAACACAACACATTTCCCCGCTGAGGGAGGCCAAAGGCTCCTGCTGTCTGCAGGACTGAGTGGCTGGTCCTTCCTGGGGGAGATCAGCGGGGAAGAGGCCAGTTCCTGGCAAAGGGCGCTCCCCAGGTGTCTGGGTCCCCTCGAGAGAGCTGCCTAGGACTCAGCAGAAGTTACTCAGCCCACAAATTCACACCTTTGGGGCTCTTACCCCTGTTTTAAGTTCTGGCTTTCAACAGAGCTTCTGCCATATTAACATGTCTTTCTTTTATTTCTCTTATTCATTTTTTAAGCTAGTATTCTTTAATCACTTTTTAACTATTTTAACCATTTTCCCTCCAGCATAATCAATTTTCTAGGCTTTTAAAATTTCTGAAAATCTTTTTCTGCTTTTTTTCTGTTCATGTTCACCTTTTATCCTTTTTGTTTTTCTAATCTTGATTCTTTTTAATTCCAGTTTTTTGGTTTCAAAGCTCCTTTAAACCTTTGTATTTATTTGTTGCATTTTAATCATTCTTCATATGGTTCATTTCTTTTCTCTTAGCTTGTATACATCAATCCTACTTTAACTTTTCAACTGTTCCTGTTGGCCATTTTAACTATCATAATTTAATTTGCTATACCTTGCTAGGTTTCTTGGATATTATTTACTTTTTAAAATTTTAATAGCTTTATTGAGATATAATTTGCATATCACATGATTCATCAATTTATCTGTACAAGTCAATGGTTTCTTACTACATTCACAGGCCTCTGCATCCATCACCAATCAATTCTAGAACATTCTCATCACCTCAAACCCTTTCTCACTCCTGTCTCCCTGCACCCCTCCCCTAAGCACTCACTAATCTACTTCCAGATTCCCCCATTATGGACTTTCCTATAAATGGAACCATACAGTCATGGCCTTTCATGACTGACCACGCCTTCCCCATCAAATGGTCTTGGCACCTTTGCCGAGAATCATTTGACCATAGATGTGTGATTTATTTCTGGACTCTCAGTTCTATTCGGTTATCTGTCTACCCTTGTGCCAGTATCACACTGTCTCCATTACTACTGCTTTGCAGTAAGTTTAAAAAGCAGGAAGTGTGAGTTCTCCTACTTTGTTCTTCTTTTTCGGGATTGTTTTAGCTCTCTGGGTCCCTTTGCATTCCCTGTGAATTTTAGCATCAGCCTGTTAATTTCTGTGGAGGAGTCAGTCAGGATTCTCACACGGACTGTGTGGAATCAGTAGATTCGTCTGGGGAGTATCACCTTCTTAATACTGTGAAGTCTTTGGATCCAGGAACCTGGGATGTTTTCCATTTACATAAATCTTAACTTTCAGCAACATTTTGTAGTTTTCACAGCGTATATGTTTTGTACTTCTTTTGTTAAATATATTTCTAAGTTATTGTGAACAAAATTGTTTTCTTAATTTCATTTTCAGATTGTGCACGGTGGGTCTACAGAAACACAATGGACTTCTGTATACCGATCTTCTGTCCTGAAATCTTACTGAACTTTTTTTTTTAGAGTCACAGGGGCAACAGCTCTGAGGAGAGTCGATCTCATTCACAGCTACTTCACCCCACAGCCCTTTCAATGCTGAACTTGTGACAACCTGAAAAACCTAGCCAGTTGACCACCTCAGTCATTAGCCCCAGGGAGCACAATTTCTGTGAGTTGTTTCCAACTGTGATCATTTTCCGACAGACTGCTGAGTTAACTTCTACTTCTCTCCCTTTCTCTTCTCAGCACAATTTAATAAACACAGGATGACTGGTAAACACTTGAAGAAAATAATCCAAATTTGCAAAACAGATCAGTTCAGGGGGGCTGTTTACATTACCAAAGTTTTTTTGCTTTTTGCAAAACAGATCACTGAAGCCTTCTGTGCAGTGAAATATGCATTTGAAATAAGCCTAAATCCAAATTCGTTAAGGAGTTTTAAAAATAATTCATATACTAGATCCAGGTATATCTGTAAATTTAAATGAAATAATACATCATCTTTATTTATTATTTGAGCTTTGTCTCCTCCATAATGCCTTAGAGGGAAGGTTTTATGTTAATTTTGCAAACTGGAAAGACAAAGCTCAAGGCAAAAAAACCCTGAAAACTGCCTTCATCCCTTGCCTCCTGCGCACGGAAAGTAACTGAAGCGGCACTTAATTAAATTAAATTAAATTTGCTCAGCATCTGCTTAGCACCTACTCTGTTCCAAGCAGACACTGTACAGCCTTTAAAAAGGACATAAAGCATGTAAAGCGTGTGGTCACCACCCTGAAGGAAGTCATGAGCTAGCTAGAAAGAACTTACACAGATGAGTAACTGGGCTACGGCGTGCCATGGAAGTGAGGGAAGGACTCACCATGAGCCCAGGTTTCCAGCCGCAGCAGCAGAGAGGTGGGCAACAGTATGGGCAAAGACATCATCCCTCCAGCAATCAGAATGGCTCCTTGTGCATGCATGTGACAATCTAAACATCCTGACCGTCATCATCTTGGTGCCTGCTGCCTTAATCCAGCACAAGGAGCCAAAACCACCACTGTCTGTGCTGTAAGTCATGCTAATCTTTCTTCTGGAAAGTCCTCTTGTCCCAGCTCCAGGCCTCAAGATGATGGAAACCACTCACTGGGCAATGGGTCCTACGCATGAACTTACTTTCAAGGGTCAGGCAAATGACATACCAGCATGAAGCAGGCCGCAGGCTATACAGTGGGAAGCGGGTGTCTGTGGTGAAAGGGGAAGGTGAGCCCCTCCGAAATGGGGCAGCTCCCTCTGCCTAGCCAACTGCTAATAAAGGAATAAAGTTCAATGTTTCCTAATTGTATTTTTATAGGGAAGGTGACAGTCAAGACTTTTTAGGTGAAACTTTCTGATTTTTAAATGCCGGCAACAAATTCAATACAAACAAACACTGTGAGCCAAATAAAACACACGGCTAGATTGGGCCTGTGTGTTATCAGCCTGTGGCCCTGCTCTATGTCTACTGTCACCTGTAAGTCTCACAATACCCTGGAAAGTGGGTACTATTACCCCCTAGATAATTCAGATGAGGAAACTGAGGTATACAGAGGTCAAATCACTTGCTGAAGGTCACCTTACCAGACAGTGATGGAACAAGAATTCTAACCCAGGGCTGTCTTACTCCCAAGTCCATTCAGGTGTGAGGTGTTAGTTTCAAGTTAGTTTGGTTAGTTTAAATTTCCAGGGACCTTAGGCTAGGGAGAAGCCTTTCTCTACAGTTGCCTGTCTAGCAAAAAAGGTTCTTTAAGGAACTAAGGTTCCTCCTTAGTTTCTCTTTACTTTAAATATAAATTACTTCTGTCTTTTCCTTAACACCTTTCTTCCAACAGGACAGAAAATAAAAATGATTAACAGCTCCACAGGCCATGAGTATTTAGGTATTCAGGCCATTAGACTTCAAAATCAAATACTGAGGGCTGAGTGCAGTGGCTCACGCCTGTAATCCCAGCACTTTGGGAGGCTGAGGCGGGCAGATCACCTGAGGTCAGGGGTTCAAGACCAGCCTGGCCAACATGGTAAAACCCCATCTCTACTAAAAATACAAAAATTAGCTGGGTGTGGTGGCGCACGCCTGTAATCTCTACTTGGGAGGCTGAGGCAGGAGAATCACTTGAACCCGGGAGGCAGAGGCTGCAGTGAGCCAAGATCATGCAACTGCACTCCAGCCTGGGCAATAGAGAGAAACTCTGTGTCAAAAAAAGAAAAGAAAGAAAAGAAAAGAAAGAAATAAAAGAAAAGAAAAGAAAAGATCAAATACTGAGGAATCACCTAACAGTTAAGTCCCCAGGACACCTCTCAGTTCCGTGAGCCTTTTTTCTTCCTTGCCACAGGACCCAACAATCTTTTCTATTTTCCTCTCTACTTAAAGGCTGATGCTACCACACTTTTCCTCAAGGAGTTCCAGTCATTCAACCAATCACACATTTACTCAGCACTGAGAATGTGTTAAACACTAGGAACTCAAAGATGAGGTTTTGCTCTAGGAAGGTTTCCTAACCTCCCAGCTGTTCCTTCTTTGTTTATATACCTGTGGTATTGTAATTATCTGTGTGATACCATCTCCTCCACAAGACTTTTCTCAGACACAGGGAAGCCAGACAGGTGGCCAGTGCTTCCATTAACTAAGCTAGGAAATAAAGGAAGAGACAAGCTTCCCTAGATGGGCAGTTCACAGTCTCTTGACAAATACGCCTGCCTACCTTCTGCAGGGCACTGAGCCCCGCCCTGGGGGTGCTGTGGGTCTGTCCTCATTCAGCACACACTCTCCTGAGGAGTGTGAATGAAGTCGGTCTCCACAGGCAACTTGCTATGCCCACAAAGTCAAGCACACAGGCTATAAGCAATCTTTTCTTGTACACCTTTTGGGTTTCCTTGGAATTAATAACTGCACTTTTTGCCATTTGCTTGGTTTTCTATGAGCATGTCACTAACTCTAAGGATTCTTTATTTTTCAGTTTCTTCTGCTCCCTACTTTATTTCAGTATCCTATGTTTGTTTCTTATGAGTTTTCCTGAAATATTCAGGGAGGCATTAAAATGCTGCCCAAAGCCCTGTGTTTTGGAAGTGGAGAGGAGGAAGGGAGAAGTTACCATCAGGTGGGCTTCCATGAACAGGGAGCTTGCAGGGGCTATTTTGTTGGGAAAACCCCCAAATTTCAGTATCTGGAGGATTTTTCTCATGGACTGGTCAGTTTCTTCAGAAAAAGAAGTCTCCAGCCTCTGGCCTAGGAAACCGTAAGTCTGGCTGTCAGTGTTGGAAGAGCCAAATGGTTCTAGGAGCCCACGTTCCCCTTTGGGAAGCTACTGGAGGATGCACATCAAACGACAGACTAAAACAAGAGACGGCCAAGCTGGGAGCAGCAGCTGGGAAACTCTCACCTAGCAAGACTGTCACAGAGCCCTCATTTTTGGCACAGTGCCCAGTCTCCAGCTTGGTCTCCTATCTCTGAGCCTAGAAACCCTCCAGCATGCTCTGTAGAGACAATGCCAGACTTCTGTCTCTGCGGGGAAGGGCCTCTTACAGGATTGCAACTTCTCACACAGACCATTAACCAATTCTCTTGTTTCTAGCCCTATCCATACTTACGCTTTCAAAGGCACCCAGTATCCCCAAGTTTTAGTTGATTTCAAGTTCTGAGGTGTCAGTTTTTGGCTATCGCCCTTCACAGGCACTTAGCTTTCCCAGTCTGGTCAGTCAGTCGCCATTTGCCCATCTACCTTTGAGCACCCAAATGTCATCACCAGCTCTCCCTTTTGTCATTTCCTGTCCTGTATTCTTTGTAGTTGAGGGTTTACTCCTCTTATATCCCTTTTCATCACTATGGTGAAGTTTGGGTGGAGTGCATATAAATGCATATATTCCAACTATCACCTTTTACTGAGAACTCTGACCTGCAGCTTTTAAAATGATTCTGGTTAATCAGGAGGAGTAAAAAGGATGGGACAAAAATCAAGAATAGATAAAAATAACTGGACTTGGTGGCTCACGCCTATAATCCCAGCACTTTGGGAGGCCAAGGCAGGAGATCACTTGAGCCCAGGAGTTCAAGACCAGCCTGGGCATGATAGCAAGACTTCGTCTCTACTGAAAATAAAAAGAAATTAGCCCAGCATGGTAGGGTTTGCCTGTAGCCTCAGCTACTCATGAGGCTGAGGCAAGAGGATTAGCTTGAGCCTGGGAGATCAAGGCTGTGGTGAGCCATGGTTGTGCCACTGCACTCCAGCCTGGGAAATAGAGCGAGACCCTGTCTAGGAAAAAAATATAACAGAGGCTGGAATGCAATGGCGTGATCTCAGCTCACTGCAACCTCTGCCTCCCAGGTTCAAGCGATTCTCCTGCCTCAGCCTCCTGAGTAGCTGGGATTACAGGCGTGTGCCACCACACCTGGCTAATTTTTTGCACTTTTAGTAGAAATGGGGTTTCACCATGTTAGCCAGGCTGGTCTCCAACTCCAGACCTCAAGTGATCTGCCCACCTGAGCCTCCCAAAGTGCAGGGATTACAGGCGTGAGCCACCGTGCCCAGACTAAGGAAGGTTTTTAAAGTTTCATAGTATGCTCCTTAAGTTAACTTTCTTAGAAGGCTCAGATCCTACCTCTGCTGAGTACTGATTGTTTAACCTTCTGTAAGTTACTCAGCATCTCTTCACTTTAATTTTCTTACATATAAAATGGTGACAATGCCACCAACCTTACAGGGCTAGATAACGAGATCATGCAATACAGAGTAGGCACTTCACAAAGGCAGGCTAAAGAATGATAAGTGGCTGGCAGTGGTAGCCCACGCCTGTAATCCCAGCACTTTGCAGGGCTGAGGCGGGTGGATCACTTGAGTCCAGGAGTTTGAGACCAGACTGGGCAACATAGCGAGACTTTCTCGCTACAAAAAAATACAAAAATTAGTCGGGTGTGGTGAGGCTGAGGCGGGAGGATCGTTTGAGCCCAGGAAGTGGAGATTTCAGTGAGCTGAGATGATGCCACTGCACACCAGCCTGGGCAACAGAGAAAGACCCTGTCTCAAAAAAAAAAAAAAAAGAGGCTGAGTGTGGTGGCTCACGCTTATAATCCCAGGACTTTGGGAGGCCAAGGTGAGTGGATCACCTGAGGTCAGGAGTTCAAGACCAGCCTGGCCAGCATGGCGAAACGCTGTCTCTACTAAAAATACAAAAAATTAGCCAGGCATGGTGGCGGGCACCTGCAGTTTCAGCTACTCAGGAGGTTGAGGCAGGAGAATTGCTTGAACCCGAAAGGCAGAGGTTGTAGTGAGCAGAGATCGCACCACTGCACTATGGGCGACAAAAGCGAGACTGCCTCAAAAAAGCAAAGAAAAAAAAGAAAAAGAAGGAGACTAGAGTGGCTTAATATAAGGAGGAAAAGATGAACTTGTTTATTTGGGCACCTGATAAAACTATGATTTTGGAGGACACCACAGAGATGTTTGCTGGAAGTTTGTTCAGCAAACATTTTCTAGGCACTTTTTATATGGACAGTCCTGAGCCAGGCACTGAGGCGCAGAGTTAAATAAATATGTGAAATCATTATGCCACAAGGCAGAATGTGATCAGAGAGAGAGAGGCTGAAGCTTAGAAGACAGAAGTGAGAGCCAGCCAGCCAAGGGAACAGAAGCTGAGACTCTGCATTACCTTTCTTTGTCTTACAAGGTCCACATTCAGGGTGGATCTCTTGCAAGCGAAGAGACACCACCTTGGCTAGCCCGGCGTTCAGCATATACTGGTACAGACGCTTAAACGTCCTTTCGCACAGCCCCTGCCAAAACACAATTTAAAGGCTACTATTAGACACAGCAAGATGTCTGAAATGACTAGAAAGTCATATAAATGAACACAAGTTCAGGACCTGAATTAATTGATTATCTTGAGGTACTAATGAGGAAAGCCTGCCAAGCTACCTTGTCAAGGGACCAAAACAAGGTCCAGAGCAGGATATAAACGATTCTACCTTTTGATTAGAGGGGGAAAGAGATTCGCTTCGCCAGATCCTGGAAGGGTGTGCAGGGGTGAGAATGAGGCAGGCAGGAGTGGAGGAGTGGAGACTGAAGACTTCATCTGATACCTTTTCATGTTGTTTTGATTTTTTAACCATGTAAGTGTATTACTAATACAAACACACACACACAGATACACACCCCTGTCCCCCATGGGCAGGAGAGAAAAAAAAGGGGAAAAAATAGGTTAAAAAATTTTACAGGCTGGGTGCAGTGGCTGACACCTGTAATCCCAGCACTTTGGGAGGCCGAGGCGGGCAGGTCACTTAAGGCCAGGAGTTTGGACCAGCCTGGCCAACATGGCGAAACCCCGTCACTACTAAAAATACAAACATTAGCTGGGTGCGGTGGCATATGCCTGTAATCCTAGCTACTCAGGAGGTTGAGGGTGAGAACTGCTTGAACTGGGAGGCAGAGGTTGTAATGGGCCGAGATTGCACCACTGCACTCCAGCCTGGGTGACAGAGTGAGACTCTGTTTCAAAAAAAAAAAAAAAAATTGTGAAAATTTAAATGTGGTCTCTGAAGTTACAACAGAATGATAATGGGTATTTCCATCTCATCACTCCTATTTTTGCAAGGCTGAAAACCAAAATGATCCTAGGAACATCTCCCCTGCAGGGGTGACCAACAGCAGCCTCCAGTGCAGGCGGTGCTTTTAAAATTGATACAATGTTTTTCTTCAAGAAAGTAATTTACTTGCCAAAATTGAAAAGTGAGTGATTTCACATTAAAAAAGACCTAGATTCTGGCTTCTCTTCAAAGGCTAGGACTGCAGCTCCTCACAGCAACAGTGAACAGAAGCCTTGATCAGCTGCTCTTCAGCAGGGCCCACCCGGTTCCAGGGGGCCACAGCCTTTGCGCTCCCCAATCAGACCCTCCAACAATGAAACTGAACGTCAGTTGCCATTTATCACCATTTTTGTGCTGGTTTTCTCTAATGGTAGTTAAGAGGAAAGTTAATTTCTTAAACCTATCCTGTATCAAAAATTTATTTTATACATGGCCCATTTTGCTTGTGGGTATCACCCTCCTGGGCACTGCTGCCATGTGATTTTGCAGCCCCTGGCAGGTTACCATGGCTCCCAGCAAGGGAGCGAATGGCAGGAGGCACTCGTGACTGAGAGCTGTTCACTGAATCTTACAGCTTTCCTCTTACATTCTGGGGGGAGAGACAGGGAGCAAATGTCTGTGGGCTGCCGCCGCCACATATGTGTGGTTACCTCCCAGGCTAACCAGCACTCCAGCCCTTGGGTGGCAGAACATATGGCTATCAAAACAATACAGATGACTCACATATGGCTCATTCAAAGCCACTGGCTTGTACATGGCATTTATCGTTAATCTAGCCGTGCCCCCAGCATCATAAAAAGACCCCATGGAAACTCATCCATCAGATCCCAGCCCTTGACATATGGCACTAAGCCCTGGACCATCCTAAGAGGGGAAGGATGATGTAGTCTTGCCTTCTGAGGGGCTGCCATCAACGACGTGCACAATCTGGCCAGCAGAAAGAGAAAGAGGCAGTGAGTCTTCGTACCAAATCCCCCCAAAAGGCAGCATCCATATTCATGGCCTCAGCTTCATCTATAGGCTAATTTATTCACTGAATCCTGCTCAGCTCTCTGTGACCCCAATTTCCAGCTGTTGACTAGACATCACCAGGGGATAGTCATGGAAGATCTTCATACCCAATATGTCTGAAACTGAGATTTGTCCTGTGCCTCCTCCTCACCCAAATCTGCTCCTCTTTCTGACCTATTTATTCAACTCCCATTCAGCAAATATTTACTGAGCCTCTACAGGGGGCCAGGCACTGTCTTCATCGTGGGGGCCCGCAGTGAGCAAGCAGACATGATCCCTGCGTCAGAAGCCTGCCTTTGCGCTGCCTCAGTGAGCAGCAGCCACTCCAGCGAAACTCACTGGCTTCATCTCGAGATCCTCCTTCTTCAGTCACCTCTACATCCCAGTGCAGGCACTCACCACGTCCTGTTAGTTTCACCTCCAAAATGTTTCTCAAACAATTCCAGCCCTCATGACCACAACCTCGCCACCTTCTTCCCATCCCCTTCCCTCCACCAGCTCATATGCCTAGACTGCAACCTCCACCTCCCAGGCTCAAGCGATTCTCTGGTCTCAGTCTCCCGAGTAGCTGGACTGGTGCATACCACCACCCCTGGCTAATAACTTCTTCATTTCTACACGGCCAGCAGCAGTGCATAAGGCTAAAGTTTCAAGGCTAAAGTCCCCACTCCTCAGCCAGCACTCCAGTCCTTTCTGATTGGGCCCCTACCTTCCTATCCAGCCACACAATGTGCCAGCTGCCCTCTGGATTACTGCCCACTTCTAAGCATGTTGCATGGCCTTCCACAACTCATGCCTTTGCACCAGCTCTTCTCCTTTCCCTCAAATGCCACTTCCCCTCTGTCTATGTGGGGAAAAGCCCAGCTCAACTGTGCTTTTGGCACAGCTCTTTGAGGCTTTCCCCAGTTCTCTAAAGAAAGCACCCCTTTCCCTCTACTGGCTCAGCTACATCCTTCCAGGTATGTGTTCACACGCCTGCCCTTCTGATTAGACAGCTCCACGACAGTGTGAGACCTGTCATCCTGGCTAACTTTCACCATCTTATTGTGGAACACAGTTCTAACTCAACATACACACTCCCTGAAGTATCTGTTCAATGAATAAGTGAAAGGCTGTCCAGTAACAGTCAAGGCTTGCTGCTAACACAGTCCACAGGGCTGACCTGAAACCAGACTAGCCCTGTCTCCCTGCCCCCGAGTGACTTGGTAGGAGAGAGGGTTTCAATCTCCAGAGTCTGCATGGGCTGGACAAGTAACATTAATCCACACGGTGGCCAGGTATTTGTTTATTAAGCCGGTAGGAAATTCCTTCGTTTCTGCCAGGGTTTCCTGAGAGGCCTTCTCCATCTATCTTTGATTTTCTACTCTGATAAACTGAGACACAGAGAAGCAAAACACTTCTCCCCTACTACAAACAGCAGTGCTCATGGAGTGACAAATGGCCCTGCCTCCCTGCCTCATGTCGGAGAGGTGACAGGAAGCAGGTGGACTGCGGGGGACCCAGCTAGTGCACAACTAGTTCCAGCTAACTGATGTCAGGAGAGACGGCAGGCCCAGGCTTCTCATTTCTGGAGACAGACTGGAAACCTAGATTTTTATGGAAAGTCTCAATTTCTTAAAAAATGCTAGGTCAAATTTATTTTTAACAGACCAAGTCTGGGCCACAAGCCTCCAGACTGTAACCACTGCTTTAAAGAGGCTTAGGCAGGCAGTGAATCTAGCAATGTGGAAGACACCTCCTCCCCCTGTGAACAATGAAATCAGAGAACTCCATCGATGCAACGTGGGGAAAGAACAAGGACTGTCCTGGTGCCTGCGGTCAGACAGAAGACCACTCATTAGGGGACTAACTACTAGTCACCAAAGAGCTTGACTTCAAATGTTCAGTTTTAAGTTCTGGTTTCACCTACAGGGCCATGTTGTTTTCCTCCCATCTCTAACGTTGGCTCTTTCCTGACTTGCACTGAAACCTTCCAGTCAGATTGGAAGCAGCTCCCCTCCGCCTTTCTCCCTCTCGCGCTCCCTTCGCCACAGCCTCTGCTCTGGGGCCCAAAGACGAAGCAGGTCAACAGCTGCCTTCCTCCCTGCGTCCTCTCCCCTCCCCCTCAGGACAGCCGCTCTGCTATTTCAGTACAAAACCACTGGGAACAAGATCATAAGCTTGATTACAGAAGTAAACCTAAATGCCGCATTTTCCTATTCCGTCTGAACTTTGATAATAGGTCCTAGAACGAACTCCAGGGGAGAAATGGAAGTCAGGCAAAGGCAAGAATTTAAATGAAGGACAAAGCACTCTTATTCTAAAAAAACAGCTGGGCACAGTGGCTCACCCCTGTAATCCCAGCACTTTGGGAAGCTGAGACAGAAGGATACTTGAGGTCAGGGGTTCAAGACCAGCTTGGCCAACATGGTGAAATCTGTCTCTAACAAAGATATGAAAATTAGCAGGGCGTGGTGGCGGGCACCTGTAATCCCAGCTACTCGGGAGGCTGAGGCAGGAGAATCGCTTGAACCTGGGAGGCGAAGGCCGAAGTGAGCCACTGTCGCACCACCGCACCCCAGCCAGGGCAACAGAGCAAGACTCTGTCTCAAAAAAGAAAAGAAAAAAACAGCAAACAAAGGAAAATCTCATTTGCATCAAATCCAGAATAGGGCTTTGGGTTGCAATTCATTCCTCTATGCCTGACAAGACCTCCCGGCTATGGTACAGATCACACCCAGCCCCGCCCGTGGGAAACCCCAGGCTCACCAGCTCTTCCCTCAGCTTTCCCAGCGTCTCTATGTGGTTAGTCCGTGTGCTCAGCATGACCGAAAGCTTCTCCATGAGGATGTCGTATTTGCTCCTCCTGCAAGAAACACCGAGCAATTCGTTTTTTCAAACCTGTTGCTGAAGTCAATATTTACTGCCTGTTTCTTAAAGATGACAAAGCAAGACTTGACTTAATCATTTTACAATAAATAACAGAATCTTTTAGGTCTCAAAGATCATCCAGCCCAACTCCTACCTTCTACAGGTGGAGAGACTGTGGCTGTGAGAGGTTCTGTCACGTCCAAGGCCACCTTTCTAGAGGCAATGTATAGACTAGACTCTAGCACTAAAACTTGCATGACATGATTCTGTAAAACACCTTTCATTTTTACAATACTTTTAAGTTTAGGAAGTATCACACATATCTTCTTACAAATCACTTGGTGAGGGGCCGGGCAAAATCCCAGCACTTTGGGAGGCCGAGGCAGGCAGATCACTGGAGGTCAGGAGTTCGAGGCCAGCCTGGCCAACATGGTGAAAACCTATCTCTACTACAAATACAAAAATTAGCCAGACGTGGTGGCGGGCGCCTGTAATCCCAGCTACTTGGGAGGCTGAGGCAGGAGAATTGCTTGAATCTGGGAGGTGGAGGTTGCAGTGAGCCGAGATTGCACCACTGCATTCCAGCTTGGGTGACAGAGCGAGACTCCATCTCAAAGAAAAACAAAAAACAGATCACTTGGTGAGGAAGGATGGGGGTTATTCTACAAAGTTAACACACTTTACGAAGTTCAGGCTGGAGACACAAACCTAGGTCTTCTTCCTCTAAAACCAGTCCTCTCCTCACTCACTGGGACGCCACTCTGAAGCTCCGGTTCCTGCTCCTGACTACACTGGCGTGGCAGAGCCTACCTTCCATCTCATTTCTACCGTGAAGCGGATGTCATGATCAATGCTTCCAAGCTAACGGCCAGCAAAGGAAGCTATTTAAAAACATTGAGGGCCCTTGACTGTGTAAGTCTAGTGGGAGCTCAGGGAGGGGTGCAGGGAGAAATCTTGTGGCCAGTTCGGCTGGACAAGCACAGCTTGGCTTGACTTACAGTCCTAGCAGAAGGGAGAGCACACGTATGGGATCCAGAGACTACACCCACTTCCCCATCTGTACTGCTTCTCAATGAATGAAAGAATAAATGGAGGGACAGACAGTTAATGCATATGAGCCACTCTGCATAGAAGGCACTGTGTCACAGCCATTTAATACAAGAGGCAACGGTGGTTCAAAGAGGTCAAGTGACTGCCCAAGTGAGGGGCAAAGATGGAAATACAGATCTTGACTTAATGCAGTGTTCTCTCTCCTACCCCACAGCTGCCACCCTGTGTTCTTGGGCTGAGCACAAGCTATACACAAGTGAAGAGTTTGGTGAGACAGTTACTTAACCAATGGATAGTATGACCCAATTAAAATGTGAATTCATAAAAGATGCTTCTCTCTAATACTGTACAGTTGGCTCTTGGACAACATGGGTTTGAACTGGCCGGGTCCACTTATACACAGATTTTTTTTTTCATATTTATTGAAAAAATATATTAGAAAATATATAAAAATATATTAGAATTGTTGGAGATTTGTGACAGTTTGAGAAAACTCATAGACAAACTGTATAACATTAGAAATATTAAAAAAATTAAGAAAAAGGTATGTCATTGATGCATAAAATATAGGTGGATACTACTTTATTTTATCATTCATTACCATAAAATATACACAAATCTATTATAAAAAGTTAATCAAAACTTATGCAACCACTTACAGACCATACACGGTGCCATTTGCAGTGGAGGAAATGTAAACAAACATGAAGATGCAGGATGAAATCAAATCTGCATAAAATTAACTGTAATACACAGTGTACTACTGTTAATAACTTCGTAGCCACCTCCTGTTGCTATTGTGGCAAGCTTAAGTGTTGTGAGCATTGGCTTAAAAATGCCATATGATGGGCCGGATGTGATGGCTCACGCTTGTAATCCCAGCACTTTGGGAGGCCGAGGTGGGCGTATCACCTGAGGTCAGGAGTTCGAGACCAGCCTGACCAACATGGTGAAACCCCATCTCTACTAAAAATACAAAAAAATTAGCCAGGTGTGGTGGCACATGCTTATAGTACCAGCTACTTGGGAGGCTGAGGCAGTAGAATTGCTTGAACCTAGGAGGCAAAGGTTGCAGTGAGCCGAGATCGTGCCACTGCGCTCCAGCCTAGGCAACCAAATGAGACTGTCAAATAAAAAAAAAAAAAAAAAAGCCATGTGATGCTCATCTCATCTCTGTGTGAGTAGTTCCTCTCCAGTAAATTACTTGCTGCAGTAAAAAGTGATCTCTTCTGAGGTCGGGAGTTCAATAACAGCTTGACCAACATGGAGAAACCCTGTCTCTCCTCAAAACACAAAATTAGCTGGGCGCGGTGGTGCATCGCTTGAGCCCTGGAGGCAGAGGTTGTGGTGAGCGGAGATCGCGCCATCGCACTCCAGCCTGGGCAACAAGAGCGAAACTCCGTCTCAAAAAAAAAAAAGGTGATCTCTTGCAGTTCTCACGTATTTTTCCTCGTGTTTAGTGCAATACCATAAACCTTGACTAACACCATGGGACCCACACAAAGTGCCACTAGTGATGCTGGAAACGCTCCCAAGAAGCAGAGAAAAGTCATGACATTTCAAGAAAAAGTTAAATTGCTTGACATGTACTGTAGAGTGAGGTCTGCAGCTGCGACTGCCCGCCATTTCAATTTATCTTGTTAACAGACAATGTAAACTTATGGTATCAATAAATACAGTACAGTGTTGTAAACGTATTTTCTTAATAACATTTTCTTTTCTCTAGTTTACTTTATTGCAATAATACAAGAACAGGCTATAACACATGGAACAAAATATGTGTTAACTAACTTTATATTATTGGTAAGGCTTCTGATCAACAGTAGGCTATTAGTAGTTAAGTTTTTGGGGAGTCAAAAGTTATGTGTAGCTGGGCACGGTGGCTGACGCCTGTAATCCCAGCACTTTGGGAGGCCAAGGCGGGTGGATCACTTGAGGTCAGGAGTTCGAGACCAGCCTGGCCAACATGGCAAAACCCTACTAAACTCTACTAAAAATACGAAAATTAGCCGGGTATGGTGGCAGGTGCCTGTAGTCCCAGCTACTCGGGAGGCTGAGGCAGAAGAATGGCTTAAATCTGGGAGGCGGACATTTGACAGAGGTGCAGCAATGATGATTTTCACCCCTGGAGATCCGCAGTCAATAAAGAGTCTACGCACATGTGTCAAGCACTTTCTTTGGCCCAACCCATGTGCACTGTAAACTTTAACATTTCTATGTAATCATTCCCCCCACTTTTGGAGGATGCACCTCCCCTCCCCATTATCCCTCATTGCTGCCTACCTCCACCCCAGAGAGCTGCTGGCCAGGTACTGAGGGCTCAGGGCTTCCTCAGCTAAGGGCTGCTCTTCCCAGGCCCTGCACCAGCTTGACCTTTTCCCATTCTGGCTTCTGCCCCTCCCACAAAAAAGGGCATGAGGTTGTGCAGTGAGGGCTGAGACCTCTGCAGAGTGGTGAAACTTTTCTGTCCCTCATTCCGATGCCAGGTAATTAGGTCACCCCAATGGCAAGGATGAAGAAGTCAGAGAACCTACTCACTCCCCCAGTCTCCCTGGTCCTCAGAAGAGAATGTGCACATTTTACCAGTTTGCTGTATCACCTGGACAACAATATCCTGCTAAAATAGCAATATCACACATTGTTATCGCTTAGCAGAACCTCGCCATCTTGTCCATATAGGTTATTATGGTTGAGTGCTGCAAAACATCCAATTTGAAACTGACATAATTCAACTACAATTCTGCCACCACAAGAAATCAAATCTGACTTACTTGTATTTTTACATCTCCCCAAAATGTCACCAAAATGTTAATGGTTCCTATTGTTAGCTGTGAAGCTACAGATTTATTTTTCCTTCTTTTCTGTATAGTTTCCTAGTTTTCTAAACAAGCAGGACTTATTTTCACAAAAAAACAGATAACAAATGCCATTTTTTAAAAAAGCTATAGTCATATTCTAATTTGGCTTCTATTATTATTTTTTTAAGAGACAGGGTCTCACTCTGTCACCCAGGCTGGAGTATAGCAGTGCAGTCATGGCTCACTGCAGCCTCAAATTCCTGGGCTCAAGCGATCCTCCTACCTCAGCCTCCTGAGTAGTTGGGACTACAGGTGTGCACCACCACGCCCAGCTAATTTTTTATTTTTATAAAGATGCCATCTTGGTATATTGCCCAGGCTGGTCTGGAACTCTTGGCCTCAAGCAGTTCTCCCACCTCAGCCTCCCAAAGGGCTATGATTACAGGTATGAGCCACTGTACCCAGCTGCCCCTACAATTTTTAAAGCATACTACACATGGCTGCAACTAAAAAACCTAATGTTTTGGTCACTACAAACCATACCTGTCCACATGAAACCGGTTCAGTAGGAGGAGGATTGAGTGTTGCTGGGCTCCAGTGGGTAATCGGATCACATGGGACTGCATTGTAATCAGCCCGTTTTTGTTCAAAATTTTTCTGTGATAGTGCAGCTTCCCAGCATCAACCCTGGAGGAAAAGAGGAGCCATGTCATTTGCTTTGCTGGTAGTTTTATCAATGTATAGAGTCTCTCACTTGGACATAAACACCAGAGACACAAACCTCCTGTCCAGCCAACCTAAGAAAACAGTCACTGTGAGACCACGGCCTTGAAACAAAAAGCCATGCCTCAGGGAAGATACCACAGCAGGCCCCTGCATTTGGGATTCAGGGTGCAATGACATATAATTTAAAGCAGAGAAGCAAATCCCCCCACTTACTTGAAAGCAGTGGTGTGAAGGTCTCGCTGGAGCTCCCCTTGCCACCTGGACCGGCCTAGCCGTTCCAGGATGCAGTAGGAGAAGTCGGGCAGCTTCAGGTCGGGATCCCCCTCCTGGCCTATCAAGGCCCTGTACCGCATGGCCTGGGAGGCAACGATGATCAGTTTCTTCCCCCACCTGCAAATCGGAAACAATCGCATGAAGAAATAAGTTTAACTGATTTTAGGAAAACTGAGATAAGAAAAAGAAATGTGCAGAATCCTCATTTCCTGCTTCTGCTAGGAGTTTACAAGATCCCAAAATTAAGTTAAGCAAGTTTCAGTCTTAGAAGTGTAGTGTGCTAAAAAAGACAATAATAATAATAATAAAAGTAGTGTAGTGTGCTGAAGGAACAGAGCCAATCTTATTTCCTTGCTGATAGCCCTTCAGGGCTCGCCAAGGCGCTCAGGCCAAATCCAACTCCTCATCCCACTCCTCCTGGAAAGCTCTCCACGGCCCATCCCTCCCTGCCTTGCTTATCTCATCCTCCACAGCTCTGCCCCTCACCCACAGGAGGCTTCCTGTTCCTAAGACAAGCCTCAGGGGTGCTGCCCTTGCTGTTTCCTCGGCCTGGCTGCTTTTCATCCAGGTCTTTAGGTGACTGATTTATTCTCATCATTCAGGTCGCAGCTCAGTTGTCAACTCCTCAGGCCTTTCAGAAAATGCCAACTAGAGTTCTAGCCCCACCCCCACCATTTCCATATTCTTCATAGAACTTAGCACTCTTAGAAATGACTATATATACACACATATACACACACACACACACACACACACACACTCATCTTTTTTTTTTTTTTTTTTTTTGCCAACATCCTTGTCAGTTTCCCTCATTCAAATATAAGAGCAGGCACATTGTCAACCTGTTCACCAGGACATCCTCAGTGCGCAGAATGAATTTGGGTGATAATAGGAGCTCTGTGTATATTTGTTAAGTAAATGAACCAGCCCAGTGAGCTGGACTGATAAAACAATCTTCAGAGTCAAAAGCACTGAACGGTGCAATCAGTGGACCTGCAGTCTCATTTTGACTTCACTGTTGAAGGCCAGACCTTGCCTTCAAATCATTAGTTCCTTCCTCTAAATTGACATGTGAGAAAGAATGCACCAAAAGAGGCCAAAACCACTTCCTAGCAAAAGGCATGTGAGGACAGCCCAAGTGAGAAGACTCATTTCTGTGCTGACACCTAACAGTCTTTACTGTGCATTCCCCATCGCTGATGATGGAGACTCCACCACAATGCCTGGCCTGCTCAATCCAACTGACATCTTGAGCAAATTGACCTGCTCCATTCACCCACTCTCAGAGTCCAAGCCCTGGCCCTGCAGCTGGGAGATCCCATAAGGATGTGCTGCCGGGGAACCCATCCCTCACTCGTTCCTTGGCATCAAGTTACTCAACTGGAGAAGACTGAAGTTTGAATGTGTCCCCTGAAAGTTCACGTGTTAGAAACCTAATTTCCATCGTAACAGTATTAAGAGGAAGAATCTTTAAGAGGTGATTAGGCCATGACAGTTCTGTTCTGCCCTCTTGAATACATTAAGGCTTTTATCGTGGGAGTGGGTTAGTTATCTCAGGAGTGGGACGTCCTTTCCAGATGCTGGTGCCATGCTCTTGGACTTCCCAGCCCCTTGAACCATGAACCAAACAGACTTCTGTTCTTTATAAATTACCCAGTTTGTGGTATTCTGTTGTATCAGCAGGAAATGGCCCAAGGTAGAGGACCCCCCTTTCCCAGATGAAGGAGTCACCAAGGGTCCACATACAAAAGCTCACAGGCTACCAATTCTGTTCACCGGGAGCCAACATCCACTCTTCTCAGCCCTAGTATTTGCAGATGCCTAGTCACGAGGTCCTGCTGCAGCCACACCACTCAACTCAGTCTGACAGTTTTCCTTCCCTCTTCCCCACACCAGATGACTTTATTTCTACCACTAAGTAGGCACAAAGAAAAAAAGAGGCTGTTTTAACTTAACTCCATCTTTCTTCACATTGTTTGACACCTGAAAATAGTATTTTGCTTAAGTCACAGAAGCCCATATAGTGCGTCTTCAAAAAGAATGTTATGTTGCGAATACACGACAGAAAGTCCACTTTATATATCTGAATTTCACAAACTTAGGACCTATGCTCTTTTGTTCTCAAAACAGGCTCATTAAGTTAAATTATAAGAGGTCAGCTGGGGGAAAAAAGTTTGAAAACAGGGCACTGGTTTGCTGCTTTTAAAACGTCATTACTCTGACTAGTTTACTATCCTTCACTGACATGATCCCAATGTTTCTGTTAATTATCGCGAATTAGCTGATTCAATAACTCCGGCTAGTTTTAATTTGCTGACTATGGTCATCTTATAGGTTATCAAATGCCAATGAAGTACCATGCAAAGTACACCAGGATACCAAGACAAATAAAAATAGTTTCTACCTTCAAGGAGCTCACAGGCTACTGGAGAAAAAAATTTAAAATGAATAATTCTAATATGAGGTCATAACTTCTCTCACAGAAAGAGGCTCTAGTTGTTGAGGCCATAAAATGTCATAGATGAGGAGCCCTAATTCAAATATGTGTGTATAAACAAGAGTGTGTGCACAGGGATTAGGGAAAACCCCTCAAGGAGATGACTCTTTTTTTCTTTTTTTTTTGAGACAAAGTTTCCTGTTGCCCAGGCTGGAGTACAGTGACGCGATCTCAGCTCACTGCAACCTCTGCCTCTGGAGCTCAAGTGATTCTCCTGCCTCAGCCTCCCAAGTAGCTGGGATTACAGACACTTGCCACCATGCCAGGCTAATTTTTGTACTTTTAGTAGAGATGGGGTTTTGCCATCTTGGCCAGGCTGGTCTTGAACTCCTGGCCTCAAGTGATCCACCCCCCTCGGCCTCCCAAAATGCTGGGATTACAGGTGTGAGCCACTGCACCAGGCAAAGAGGTGACGCTTGTATTAGCAGTGAGCTGTGTGAATGAGAGAATTAAGGGGAAGGATGCAGAAGCTGCACGGTTACAGAGGCATGAAGAAGCATGCCTGCTCCTGGAGGTAAGAGGTGCAGCACGGCTACAAAGTCTGGAGTGTGGTAGCCAGCTAGGAAGCAGAAGGAAGGAAGGAAAGCTCGAGAGGCCAGCAGCGCCTACATCCCCAGTGGCCCTCTGATGCCGTGCTGGGGAGTTCAGATTCTATAACATGGGTCAGGGGTTACAACTTCAAACATGTATTTCTAGAAGCCGGCTTTGTGCCAGGCATATTATTATAGAACTGAGAGACATAGCGGTGAACAAGAAGGATAGAGTCCCTGCCTTTGAGCAACGTATAATCTAGTGAGGAAACAGTGACATAAACAAACACTTAAAACCATTTTTGGTGCCATAAAGAGTACTACGATGGTGTCTGGGCAATGGAGGACACTTCCAGAGGAGTCAGGTTGAAGTCTGAATGATGTGGCGACGTGAAGATTTGTGGACAGAATATTCTTGGCGAAGGAACAGCACGAGGATTGCCTTGAGACAAAAAGGAGCCCAGCATGTTGAGGCTGAAGTGCAGTGCAGAGTGAAGAAACTGAGGTCGGAGCACTGGGTGAGCAGAGGCACAATCACATATAGCCTGCCGGGACCCAATCAGGAGGGCAGGGAGCACACACGAACACAACACGAACACAAACTCACGGTGTGTGGAACCGGGTGGTACATGGCCAGCTGAGGGTAACTCTGGCCTATATCACCCTGTAAAAAATTGGTCTCAGTGCAGCTAGATCTTGTGACTTTTCAAGAAAAGCTAGAAATCCAGGTTTTTAAATATTAGCAATGAAATAAAATTAAAAACCAAACAGAATACCATGCTGGGCACACAAAGCTCCTCTGTGGGCAGATTTGGTCAGTTTGAAACCTCTGCCTTGTGTGGTCAGGGTACATCCCATCACACTGGGGCCTAGAAGAGTCCCACGTTTATGGCTTGTACAGCCACGTGCATGAGAGTACATCTGACCAGAATAAAGAACGAGAAAAGGCAGTACTATGGTTTGGATGAGGCTTGTCCACACCAAAACTCATGTTGAAGTTTAACTACCAGTATGCCGGGTGCAGTGGCCCATGCCTGTAATCCCAGCAGTTTGGGAGGCCAAGGTAGGCAGATCACCTGAGGTCAGGAGTTCAAGACCAGTCTGGTCAACGCAGTGAAACCCCATCTCTACTAAAAATACAAAAATTAGCCGGGCATGGTAGCAGGTCCCTGTAAACCCAGCTACTTGGGAGGCTAAGGCAGGAGAATCGCTTTAACCTGGGAGGTGGAGGTTGCAGTGAGCCAAGATTGCGCCATTGGACTCCAGCCTGGGCGACAAGAGCAAAACCCCGCCTCAAAAAGAAAAAAAAAAAAAAGTTTAATCCCCAGTGCAGCAGCATTGGGAGGTGAGGACTAGTAGAAGGTGTTTGGGTAGTGGGGGATGGATCCCTCATAAATAGATTAATGCCACCTGGAGAAGAAAATGAGTCTCCTTCTCTTGGGAATGGATTAGCTCCGGTGAGAGTGGGTTGATGTAAAGCAAGGATGTCCTCCGGGTTTTGCCCCTCTGCACATGTTCACTGTCCCTCGGACCTTCCACCATGCTATAAGGCAGCACGTAAGTCTTGCCAGAAGCCAGTGCCATGCCCTTGAGCATCCTAGCCTGCAGCACTGTGAACTAAATAAGCCTCTTTTCTTTGTAAATTACCCAGCCTCAGGTATTCTGTTCTAGCAACACACAACACACTAAGACAGGAACAGAAGGCAGGTTTGGGTTGAAGGAGAGTGATGACCACACTGGTATGCACAGCAGATTATTGGAATAACACATATGCCGCTTGGGAGAGAGGTCTGGGACTAGACAAAGAGCCTTTAGAAGCAGTCAATGTGTCTTTCTTGACCAGGCATGGTGGCTCACGCCTGTAATCCCAGCACTTTGGGAGGCCAAGGCGGGTGGATCACCTGAGGTCAGGTGTTCAAGACCGGCCTAGCCAAGATGGTGAAACCGAGTCTCTACTAAAAATACAAAAATAAGCTGGGCGTGGTGGCATGCACCTGTAATCCCAGCTACTCGGGAGGCTGAGGCAGGAGAATCGCTTGAACCTGAGAGGCGGAGGTTGCAGTAAACCGAGACTGTGCCACTGTACTCCAGCCTAGGCAACAAAGCAAGACTCTGTCTCAAAAATAAATAAATAAATAAAAAGAGATCGGGTCACGCTCTATTGTCCAGACCGGAATGTGGTGGTGCAATCATAACTCACTGAAGCCTCAAACTCCTGGGCTCAAGCAATCCCCCCATCGCAGTCTCCCAAGTAGCTGGTACTACAGAGTGTGCCACTATGCCCAGCTAGTTTTTTGTTTTTTTAATTTTTTGTAGTGATGGGGTCTTGCTATATTGCCCAGGCTAGTCTTTAACTCCCAGCCTCAAGTGATCCTCCTGCCTTGGCCTCCCAAAGTGCTTGGATTACTGCTTAGCCCACCAGCCAACATTTAAGTGGTGGAAGGAAGTAGGTGAATCCACAAATAAGCTGGTGAGGAATGGCAAGGAAAGTAGAAAAACAAAATAAGGCAGGAAGCCACTGGCACAAAAGCTTTGAGTCCTTAACAGTGTAGCAGGGTCAAGGAGATTAGGGTCCTAACAGTGTTCATGGCCCCATGGGATCTTAGAGGATAAAACTGTGAAGTGATAAAGTCAGGAATCAGGATTGCAGTGGGCAAAGGAGTGAAGGGGAGGTGAAGAGGGAGAAACAGTGAATGGGGGTGATTCATCTAAGAAGCGTGGGTGCAGAGTCAAAGAAACAGCCAGTTACAAGGGATTTGAGGTCAAGAGAAGGTTCTGCTGCGAGATGGGTGAACTGTGTTCATGTGCTGAAGGGAAAGCTTCAGTAGAAATCAAGGACAGACAGGGGGCCGTTGCTCACACTTGTAATCCCAGCAATTTAGGAGGCTGGGATAGGAGGATTGCTTGAGCCCAGAAGTTTGAGACCAGCCTGAGCAACATGGCAAGACCCCACCTCTACAAAAAATAAAACTTAGCTGGGTGTGGTGGTATGCGCCTGTGGTCCCAGCTACTCAGGTGGAAGGTGGGAAGATCACCTGAGCCCAGGAGGTCAAGGCTGCAATAAGCTGTGATCACACCACTGTACTCCAGCCTGGGCAACAGAGTGAGACTCTGTCTCAAAAAAAAGAAAAAGAAAATCAAGGAGAAAGATGAGCTAACTGAGAGGTGGAAAAGAGCAGGGGTAGAGGGAGCTGGGCTGGGGGAGGGGAGGAGGAGGAAGGGATGCATCCAGATCACAGCCTTAGACAGGGCCACCATTTCTCACCTCCTCCGAGATGAGAGTAGACAGGGAAGAAATGTGGAAAAGTCTGCAAGTCAAGAAAGAAGGTGGAAGTTAGCAGAGTTCACATTGCCCTGTAAAGTAGGAAGGAAGGCAGGAATGGAGTTAGGTGCTTGAAAAAAAATGATCATTTGGATTAGACACTCTGGGGAATTGGGATACTGACTGAGGATTCACAAGAGAATGGCTTGGCAGCACAGGGCCCAGGTAGGAAGAGAGAAAGGGCACCATTCAAGTGCTCAAGGACTGTGAGCACAAAGGAAAGAGAAAGGCAGGACCCGTGACCCCAGTGAAGAAGGCGAATGAAGGCCAAGAACTGGCGTAGTGCAGGGCTAGTGAACTCTGACAGACTCCAAGGTTGTGGGCCAGATCCAAGTGCTCTGACTACACATTCAAAGCACTCAGATTCCCAGGAATTTCTTTTTTCCTTTTTTTTTTTTTTTGTAGACAGGGTCTGACTCTGTTGCCTAGGCTGAAGTGCAGTGGCATGACCTCGGCTCACTGCAGCCTGCCTCTGCTTTCTGGGTTCAAGTGATTCTCATGCCTCAGCCACTACAGTAGCTGGGATTATGGGCATGTGCCACCACACCCGGCTAATTTTTGTATTTTTAGTAGAAACAGCGTTTTGCCATGTTGGCCAGGCTGGTCTTGAACTCCTGGCCTCAAGTGATCCACCTGCCTCGGCCTCTTAAAGTGCTGGGATTACAGGCGTGAGCCACCGTACCCGGCCAGATTCCCAGGAATTTCTGATGGTGCAAAATAGTTACCTGTCAAAGGCTTCCACCATTGTACAGCGAGGCTGCAAGGACTTGGTTCTGATGTCATTGGTAATGTTTTTCCTCTCCTTAAAGTAGCGGCATGAGCCCTGGATGCCATCCTTATTCTCTAAGATCATATGAATGGGGTAGACATCCTCCAAAGCCACCGGGTCCCTCCTAGACTCCAAAATTCCAGTTTCCAAATCAATTTCTTCATACCTAAGGAGAAAAACACAAATATCAAAGCCCAACTCAGCTTCAGATATAATGTGTGCTTGGCTGTGTTCTTTTGACAACCTCCAGCAGAGATCAGAGAGAAGTGAGATCAGTCAGTTTTCCTGCCTTATAAATGCAGATAATCTTGACAAGCAGGTTCCTGCCTTTCTATCCCACAGAACGCAGACCTTTCCAGGACTCCCCAGACTATTCCAGAAGCTGGGTGCTGGGACCTAAACCTCCTTATTGGCCAAGTCATGGGCTTTTGTTTCCCTCCAAATCTGGTACTCAGTCTCCAAACCACCAAGTTGGACGAAATGATTCAAGGCTTTCCTCCGCTTTTTTGAGATGGAGTTTTGCTCTTGTTGCCCAGGCTAGAGTCCAATGGCATGATCTTGGCTCACTGCAACCTCCACTTCCCAGGTTCAAGCAATTCTCCTGCCTGAGCCTCCCAAGGAGCTGGGATTATAGGGGTGTGCCACCACGCCCGGCTAATTTTGTATTTTTAGTAGAGATGACGGTTCACCATGTTGGTCAGGGTGGTCTCGAACTCCTGACCTCGGTGATCCACCCGCCTCAGCTTCCCAAAGTGCTGAGATTACAGGTGGGAGCCACCACAAGTGGCCAAAGCTTTCCTCCCTTTAAGATCTCATCTTTCCATCTCTCCTTAGTTATCTCTCTAATATCCTAACCCATTTTCATGGTTTGCATTACCGCCTGCATGTTAACAAGTCTCACCTTTGAATCCTCAGTCCTTTTTCTCCAAATACAGATCCAATGTCTTCACTTGTCTATTAAATGCCTCCCATTCCAAATATGATTACCTCTCCCCAGCTCCAATTAAGTCCCTTCTTTCCCCTCTTACTACCGCTTTCTTCCATGTGCCTCTTACAACACCATGGAGACATTTTTCATTTGTGCTTCTTTCATGCAGTTAGCCAAGCTTGTCAAGTTTTTTTTTTTTTGAAAAAAAAAAAAAATACATACATATATATATATATAATTTTTTTTCCCCTCACTATGTTGCCCAGATTGGTCTTGAACTACCGGGCTCAAGTAATCTGCCCACTTCAGCCTTGCAAAGTGCTAGGATTACAGGTGTGAGCCACCTTGCCTGGCTGCTTGTCGAGTTTTATTTTGAAATCTCACTCATATCCTACACTAGTCTAATTGCGGCTAAATCCTATGTACATGTTTCAGCCCTTTCCTTCCTTGCCCCCTCTGTGTTATCTGCACCATTTAACCCTCCATTCCTTTTTTTTAAGACTTGAGTTTTGATCTTGTCACCCAGGCTGGAGTGCAGTGGCGCAATCTCGGCTCACTGCAACCTCTACCTTCTGGGTTCAAGCGATTCTCCTGCCTCAGCCTCCCTAGTAGCTGGGATCACAGGCACCTGCCACCACACCCAGCTAATTTTTGTATTTTTAGTAGAGAGAGGGTTTCACGATGTTGGCCAAATGATCCACCTGCCTCGGCCTCCCAAAGTGCTGGGATTACAGGCATGATTCACCACACCCAGCCCAACCCTCCGTTCTTAAATGATCCTGTCTCCTCCCAAACTTCCAGAACACCACTCTGACCTGACTGTCCTCTACCTCTCCAGCCACACCGCCTCAGTCTTCTTTTGAAAGTCCCTCACCCTCCATCCAGCCTTGAAATGTAGGTGCACTGCAGAGCTATATCTCAAGACCTCCAACCACACTACACTCTCTCTTAGGGCTGATCTTAGCCAGCTGCTTTAATTACCAGCTGCTAGGAATGACTCACAGATGTCTAGCTCAGTCCCTCCCTCTGGCCTGCTTTCACTCCCACGAAGCCAGATGTTTACTAATTAAGACTCTTCACTTGGACAACTCAAAAGAACCTGAAGCTAAATGTGTCACATGTCTCTTCAGCAAAGTCCCCACCTCCCCCAGACTCAACCCCCACGCTGTTCTTCCGTGTTCCCAGCCTCAGAGATGAGAATCAGGGTTCGCTCAGGTGCCCAAACAGCAGCCTACTATGTCTTGACTGCCTGTGCTCTTCATCCCCACGCCCACCATGGTAAGCCAGACCATGACTAGATTACTAAAAATCTCTCAACTTCACTCTTTGCCCCTAGTCTGACCCTCTCTTCAGTGACTTCTCACTGTCCTTTTGATAAAGGATAAGCTTTTTTTTTGAGATGGATTCTCCCTCTGTCACCCAGGCTGGAGTGCAGTGGCACAATCTCGGCTCACTGCAGCCTCCACCTAGCTGGGATTTCAGGCGTCTACCACCACGCCCAGCTAATTTTTGTATTTTTAGTAGACATGGGGTTTCACCATGTTGGCTGGACTGGTCTTGAACTCCTGACCTCAAGTTATCCGCCCACCTCTGCCTCTCAAAGTGCTGGGATTACAGGCTGATAAACTCTTTAAGTAGGTTAAAAGACTTGATTCCAGTCCAATTTGGCTGGAATCTGAACTCAGACCTTCCTCAAAGTCTGGGTTCTTCCCTTGCTAGTTGACTTTTAGCATGCCACTTGACCCCTCAGGGCCTCGATTTTCTCTTCAGGAAAATGGGGAGAATATTACCCATCTCCTAAGGTTTCTGTAAAAATTAAATAACATGTTGTATTAAGGATCTTAGCACAGTCCTAGCTATTCCTCATTCCCTACCTCCAATTCCACACTTCAGCCACTTACTTCACATTTGCTGTTCTCTGTCCAACAGTCCTCTTTGCCAACTGGCTGCCTAAATCCAACCTTTAAGTTTTGTCTCGAACATTATTTTATTTTATTTTTGAGACAGAGTCTCACTCTGTCACCCAGGCTGGAGTGCAATGGCTGAATCTCAGCTCACTGAAACCTCTGTCTCCCAGGTTCAAGTGATTCTCCTGCCTCAGCCTCCTGAGTAGCTGGGATACAGGCATGCGCCACCACGCCAGGCTAATTTTTGTATTTTTAGTAGAGATAGGGTTTCACCACGTTGGTCAGGCGGGTCTTGAACTGCCGACCTTGTGACCCATCCACCTCAGCCTCCCAAAGTACTGGGATTGCAGGCATGAGCTGCTGCACCCGGCCTGTCTTGGACATTATTACCTCTTGGAACCTCCCCTGACCCTCACAATATGGCTTAAGAGCACAGACGCTGAAAATAGCCTGGGTTCAAATCAATTCTTAGTCACTTATTGCCCCCAGAACCTTAGGTTACATAATCCCTCTCTGTGACTCAGTGTCTTCCTCTGTAAAATGAGGACGATAACAGCACCTACCTCATAGGTGAGGATCAAGTGAATTTAATCTCCTGTTTAACGGAGTTTAATCAAGTGAGGATCAAGTGAGTTTAAGCTCCTAAAGCTTCTAGAATAGATTCTTAGAACAGCAATGTGGCCGGGCGCCGTGGCTCACGCCTGTAATCACAGCACTTTGGGAGGCCGAGAGGTGCGGATTGTCTGAGGTCAGGAGTTCGCGACCAGCCTGGCCAACATGATGACACCCCATACCTACTAAAAATGCAAAAATTAGCCGGGCGTGGTGGAACATGCCTGTAATCCCAGTTACTCAGGAGGCTGAGGCACGAGAATCGCTTGAACCTGGGAGGCGGACGGAGGTTGCAGTGAGCCAAGATCGCGCCACTGCACTCCAGCCTGGGCCACAGAGAGAGACTCTATCTCAAAAAAGAAAAAAAAGAACAGCACCTCACCCATGAAGTCCCTGATAAATGTCAGCTTTTAGCATTATCGCTAATTGTCCTGATACGCAGATCTCGAGTTGCCCTAGGCTATCTGCACCGAATGAATATACCATGAGGGTCTGTTGATCTCAGGAGTCTCCAGTCTGGCTCTAAAGTGTCTTTCCTGCTCTAATCCTATCCTCCAATGTAAAGGAAACATTCTTTTAAGCCTGAAGAATATCCCCAATCCTGTTCGCCATTACCCCAAAACACACACAGGGACAAAACGGGACATCACTAGATTCTCCCCCTCCCCCCGCCAACTCCATCGGACTCCAGGGCCCTGCCAGGCCTGAGGGACCCCAGATTAGCCTTACCGCCGTGCCCCAACTCAATCAACAGGCCTCCGGTACTTGCACAGCCCCACTCCATTCCCCCGCCCTGCCCCCAGCTCCATCAGCCCCCGGGCCCTGCGCCCGCCCGCCCGCCCGCCAGGCCAGGCCGCCCGCTGACCGGTCCTGGAGCTGTAGGTCGGGTCGCTCCCGAGGCTCCTCATAGAAGCTGATGCCCGGGTGCGTGGCGAGGGCCCGCCAGAGAAACTCCTGCGTGCAGGGTTCCAAAGGCAGCGGGAAGGGCGGCACTCGCGTCTCCAGCCGGCTCCACAGCGCTGGCAGACACAGGCCATCGAGCCCCTCCAGAGCGACTTCGTCCAACAACGACTCCAGCGCGTCCATTGCTACTTCAGTCGGCGGCGCCCGGGGCGCATGCGCAACGCACCGCCAAGGGCCTTGGTCCATCGCGCCTGCGCACAACGATCCGGGGCCCGGGGAGGTGGGTCAGACCCAGGGTTCGGAGGAGGAGTTCCAGCGCGCCGGCATGACGTCACTCCCCGGGGGCGGGCTCAGTAAGTGGAGCTCCACCGTCATTGGTCCGGGGCCCCGCAGTAACCAGGGGAACTGCAAACAGTGTAGAGGCCGCTTCCGGTTCGAGCTCCCGGAACCGCCGCCTCTAGGGATGGACGGTGAGTGTCTGTGGGCCCCTCCGGGAGGTCGGGCTGTTATTCTCCCATCCCTCCCGACCGCGCTTTGGGCAGAATCCTAGGCCATGAACCCCTGGACCACCACTTCCTGACCCAAGGGGGTCTCCGAAATGAGGGATAGGGAGGCTTAGTGGTCTGGAACGCGGAGGAGAGCCTGGGGGAGTGGTCAGTGCTGTGACCATTCTGCTCGGCTGTGGTCGTGAAGGAAACCGGTACTGGCCGGGAGCTCAGTGAAGGGATGTAGGGTGGGGAAGGAGAAGTAGAGGTCTGAGGAGGGTCTTGTGAATGTTGGGATGTGGAACTGTCGGATTTGGGAGTTGATATGAAAACAAGCTTGATCGTGGGAGTGCAATCGTCAGGTGCTGGGAAAGGGAATTGGTGTGGGGGGTGAAGGGAGTTTAGGAAATACTCCCTTTCTGTGCCTTGGCGTTAATAATAATAGCTCCCTTTAACAAAGTGCTTTCCAGTACCAAGAACTCTGTAAGTACTCTTGGGCAACACCTCGCTAAGCTTCATACCAGCCTTTTGAGTTCAGCGTTGTTCCATTTTACAGATGATGAAACTGAGGCTCAGAGGTGTTAAGGAACTTGCCCAAAGTCAAACAACCAGCATGTAGCAGAGTGAGTGAGAAACCCAGACACCCTGTCTCTGGAGCTGAATTATGGAGCTTGAGATTTGGACCGGTTTTGAGGGTCCCTTTATTCCAGAGGTTGTAAATGCAGATGTCTGCAGAGGAGAGTCTAGTGAGCCGGATTGAGGCTGTAACTGAAAATCAATTCCTCACCTGAAAGGAAAGCTGCTCACCAAGCACCAGCTGATTGTCCTCTTGGGGTACTTCTCAAAAACAGGGTTGGCCAGTCACTCTGAAGGCCAGAGACAGCTTGTGGGCCCCCATTTAGGGATCCCTGATTAGAGTCATGGTATTGACAATTGGAAGCAAATGGAAAATAGGCTATTCTGATATCTCACTTTGCAGATGGGAAGACTAAAGTCTAGAGAGACTGGTAGGGTCTGGGCTAGAGTCCAGATCATTTTTCTAATTACAGCACTGTCCCTCACTTCTCGGGAATTTGTTCCTGGGGAATCCACATTCTTTTTATATTCACTGAATGTAGTGTGGAGAAAATGTTTTTAATTGAACATTCTGTCATATGCTTAAAATATATCTTTTCCCTTTGTACTTTAGAGGTACTATAAAATGTGCTTTACCATTTTGCCTTCTGGAAAGGTCAATGTAATGTTGCTATAGAACATCAGTCCTCAAACCTTTTAAGCCTTGGGACCCCTGTATGCTCTTACCTCAAAGAGCTTTGTTTATTTATATTTATGATATTTACCATATCGAAGATTTAAACTGGGAAAATCTTAAGATGTCCATTAATTAGTTCCTTTAAAAATAATAAAAATTGGGCCGGGCATGGACTCGTGCCTGTAATCCTAGCACTCTGGAAGGCCAAGGCAGGTGGATCACTTGAGGTCAGGAGTTCGAGACCAGCCTGGCCAACATGGTGAAACCTTGTCTCTACTAAAACTTAGCCGGACGTGGTGACACATGTCTGTAATCCCAGCTACTTGGAAGGCTGAGGCAGGAGAATCATTTGAAGCCGAGATCTTGCCACTGCACTCCAGCCTGGGCAACAGGGCGAGACTCTGTCTCAAAAAAACCCAATAATAATAATAATAATTGGCCAGGTGCAGTGGCTCATAATAATCATAATAATAATTGGCCATGTGCAGTGCCTCACACCTGTGATCCCAGCAGTTTGGGAGGCTGAAGTGGGTGGATTGCTTGAGCTCAGGAGTTCAAGACCAGCCTGGGCAACATAGCTAGACCCTGTCTCAAAAAAACTCCAACAACAATAAACCCATTACTTCTGAACATAAATAATATTTTTAATGGAAAACAATTACATTTGCCTCCAAAAAATTAATAGGAAGAGTAGCATTATTTTATGTTTTTTCAAGTTTATTCAATAGAAATAGAAAAAACTACTCTCATTTCTGCTTCAGGATTCAAACTGTTTTTTGTTATGCTGTTTTGGCTGGTGTGTATGAAGAAAATTTGGCCTCATACAAATATATAATTGGAGCAGAGAGAAACATTTTAATTGCCTTTTCAGATAACTGTAGACACTCTCCTTTCATACTATACAAAATTTAGCAAATGCCAGTTTCTTTTTTCTTTTTTTTTTTTTTTTTGAGAAAAAGTCTCACTGTCGCCCAGGCTGGAGTGCAGTGGCACGATCTCAGCTCACTGCAACCTCTGCCTGCTGGGTTCAAGCGATTCTCCTGCCTCAACCTCCCGAGTAGCTGGGATCACAGGTGTGAACCACCATGCCCAGCTAATTTTTTTTATTTTTAGTAGACATGGGGTTTCCCCATGTTGGCCAGCTGGTCGCAAACTCCTGACCTCAGGTGATCAGCCTGCCTCCATTTCCCAAAGTGCTGGGATTACAGACGTGAGCCACCATGCCTGGCCTGCAAGTGGCAGTTTTTTTTTTTTTTTTTTTTTTTTGAGACGGGAGTTTTGCCGTCGTTGCCCAGGCTGGAGTGCAATGGCCTGATCTCGGCTCACCGCAACCTCCGCCTCCCGGGTTCAAGCGATTCTCCTGCCTCAGCCTCCCAAGTAGCTGGGATTACAGGCATGTGCCACCACGCTCAGCTAATTTTGTACTTTTAGTAGAGATGGGGTTTCTCTATGTTGGTCAGGCTGGTCTCAAACTGCCAACCTCAGGTGATCCGCCCGCCTTGGCCTCCCAAAGTGCTGGGATTACAGGCATGAAGAACCATGCCAGGCCACAAGTGGCAGTTTCTTAAATGTTAGTCACAGTGTGTCATCTGAAGCCTTATAGGTGAACTTTTATACTGTGTTACATTAAAATCCATTGGTCTATCTTGCCCTTTCATTGG
Source organism: Homo sapiens (assembly GCF_000001405.40). Classification (NCBI taxonomy): domain Eukaryota; kingdom Metazoa; phylum Chordata; class Mammalia; order Primates; family Hominidae; genus Homo; species Homo sapiens. The sequence continues at coordinate 27,553,106 of NC_000016.10, forward strand.
CTGCTTTACCCATATATGGTTTTATAACATCAGCCATTGGTCGTTTAGAAAATGTTGGTTCAGTGAGTTATGCAAATCTAAACGTTGACCTTTCAGATGCCATTATACGGTATTTAAAAAATCACATTTGTTAATATCACCACCTATTTCATTTTAAAAAGGAGTTTAAGTATTAGGAAACTATCAAACTCAAGGTAATGGAAACAAGTTTTCAACTTGTTTTCACTTGACAGCTTGAATTTTAACATTGGCAGCAAATATTGTCAGCTGTTTCCTTGAAGTGACAGACTCACTTATTTCATATTTGAGAAAATTTCTGCCAAATTCCCAAGACTGAATAACCAAAATTTGTCTATTATTTTATTTACTGCCATGTACTCACATTTAAAACAAACAAACAATTATTTTTATTTAAGAATGTCCTGATGGTTGGGTTCAGTGGCTCACGCCTATAGTCCCACCGCTTTGGGAGGCCAAGACAAGAGGATCTCTTCAGCCCAGAAATTCAAGACCAGCTTCGTCAACATAGTGAGACTCCATCTCTACTAAATAAATAAATAAAATAAATAAATAAATAAATAATAGTCAGGCATGGTAGCATGCACCTGTGGTTCTAGCTGCTAAGGAGACTGAGGTGTGGGGATCACTTGAGCCCAGGAGGTCAAGACCAGCCTGGGCAACTTAGTGAGACCCCATCTCTGTAAAAAGTAAAAAATTAGACAGGTATAGTGGCTCGTGCCTGTAGTCCCAGCCACTCAGGATCAGTTGAGCTTAGGAGGTTGAGGCTACAGTGAGCCATGACTGTGCCACTGCACTCCAGCCTGGGCAAAAAGACCTTGTCTAGAGAGAGAGAGAGCAGGGGGTGGGGTGGGGGGAGAGAGGAGAGAGAAAGGAAGGAAGGAAAGAAGGGAGGGAGAGGAGAGAGAAAGGAAGGAGGAAAGAAGGGAGGGATGGAAGAAGGGAGGGAGGAAGGAAGGAGGGAAGGTTTCTAGTACATTGTGGTAACATTGCCTTGATTCAGACTGCAAGCAGTTTTACCCACCATTGCTTTGTGTCATAAGTACAAATGTCAACACAGCCAGATGGGGTGGCTCACGCCTGTAATCCCAGCACTTTGAGAGGCCAAGGTGGGCGATCACCTGAGGTCGGGAGTTTGAGACTAGCCTGGCCAACATGGTGAAACCCTGTCTCTACTAAAAATACAAAAATTAGCTGGGCATGGTGGCACATAACTGTGGTCCCAGCTACTTGGGGGAGGCTGAGGCAAGAGAATCGCTTGAACCCAGGAGGCAGAGGTTGCAGTGAGCCAAGATCATGCCACTGTATTGCAGCCTGGGCAACAGAGTGAGACTGTCTCAAAAGAAAAAAAATTCAACACAGTGAAATACTCTTCAAATTATGATTAAAATACTTTTGTCTTTGTGGACCCCTCCTTCTCCCAGGATCTGCACCTTTGAGAAACATTGCTACAGTCCATTTTCAGGAAGGCTGCTTTGTGCCTTCTAATGAGCATCTCTGTACTTGCAGTCTTAGGACGTTATTGTAGCCTAGTAGAGGGGTATGTTCATTTTCAGATTGGCCCCCAAAAGGAAAAATTTATTCTCAGAAGTGTTTACCCTAGGGTCATATTTGACCTCCAAAGAATCCCATTTTCTGTTCTGATTTTTTAAACTTTGATTTACACTTTTTTTTTTTTTTTTTTTTTTGAGACAGAGTCTCGCCCTGTCACCCAGGCTGTAGTACAGTGGCGTGATCTTGGCTCACTGCAACCTCTGCCTCCCAGGTTCAAGCGATTCTCTTGCCTCAGCCTCCTGAGTAGCTGGGATTACAGGTGCACGCCACCACGCCTGGCTAACTTTTTTGTTTTTTGTTAGTAGAGATGGGGTTTCACCATGTTGGTCAGGCTGGTCTCGAACTCCTGACCTCAGGTTATCCACCTGCCTCAGCCTCCCAAAGTGCTGGGATTATAGCCATGAGCCACCGCACCTGGCCCTGATTTATACATAATTTTATAGGCACATACCTATTTATTGGATAAAGTGAAGCATACCTTATTGTGATTCTAACTAACTAGGTAAGCCAAGCCTGGCCTTATTAGAAAGATGTTTACTTCCTACGTTCACAAAAGCTTAAATGTCTAGCAGATGCCCTCCAAACTGGACTGTAATTTAGTTTATTCGGCATGTCTTAATCACCATAGCTTTTCACAACCCTTTCCCTGGCCTTTTGATTTTGACTTTGGGCAGGTCCTATCTGTTTCTGTGATGCAGTGTAATGTCCTTAGGTTTGGGGGCCAGATAGCCCTGGATTTGAATCTCTGCTGTACACTTTGACCTCTCTGAGCCTTGGTTTTCCTGTCAGTAAAATGGACATGATAATGAAGCCTACCTTGTTTTGTGGCTTCAATGAAACAATGCATCAAGTCTGGCATATAAAAAAATGTTCCTGGCTGGGCGCGGTGGCTCACGCCTGTAATCCCAGTACTTTGGAAGGCCGAGGCAGGCAGATCACCTGAGATCAGAAGTTCGAGACCAGCCTGACCAACATGGAGAAACCCTGTCTCTACTAAAAAAATGCAAAATTAGCTGGGTGTGATGGTGCATGCCTGTAATCCCAGCCACTTGGGGGGCTGAGGCAGGAGAATCGCTTGAATCTGGGAGGCAGAGGTTGTGGTGAGCCGAGATTGCGCCATTGCACTCCAGCCTGGGCAACAAGAGCGAAACTCCGTCTCAAAAAAAAAAAAAGTTCCTACAGCCAGGCGCGGTGGCTCATGCCTGACTTTGGGAGGCTGAGATGGGTGGATCACGAGGTCAGGAGTTCAAGACCAGCCTGGCCAAGATGGTGAAATCCTGTCTCTACTAAAAATACAAAAATTAGCCAGGTGTGGTGGCGGGTGCCTGTAATCCCAGATACTCGGGAGGCTGAGGCAGAGAATTGCTTGAACCTGGGAGGCGGAGGTTGCAGTGAGCTGAGATTGCACCACCGCACTCTAGCCTGGGCCAGTGAGTGAGACTCTGTCTCAAAAAAAAAAAAAAAGTTCCTATATAGTAGCTGTTGTTATCATTATCTGCAAATAGGCAGACTTATTCCACACAGTTGACAGAAGAGGGAAGCGTGCTGATGAAGCTCTCTAGCAGATGATAACTTTTGTAATTAGCACACTCTTTGCTTAAGAGAAAATCCAATGTTTGACATTTTTTATTCCATGAAGGTACATTGGCAGTGTGTGTTTTCTGCCTATGAAAATGTTCGCCTTTCTGTTAAAGTTGAATTTTCCCCAGTACTTTAAAAATATGAAATGGTTTAGGAAAAAAAATTCTATTTCATTTTCAAGGAACATAATAATTAGACAAAAGTTCAGCACATTGATATAATTAGAAAGGATTTGGAAGTTGTTCATTTGCTTTTCACTGCTCCCCTAGAGCAAATATTCAACATTTCCCTTGTTTATACTGTTCATTTGCTTAGCAAACTTTCTCAAATAATTAATAATGCCAAGATGATATTTAGCCTCACTTGTCCAAATAATCCCAGACTGCAAACAGGTGATGGTTGAATTAGGAAGGTTTTGCTGAGAGTACACCATCGGTTTAGCTGGTCTCTCCTGTCCTTGTGTGGTATTTACCTGGCTTCTTGGTGATTTGTCTGTTTCTCTTACTACTTAAACCCAGCAAAAAAAATAATAAAATAACAATCAAATGCAATAAAACAAAGCAAGCATTCAGCAGGTGAAATAAACATACATCCCATAGACTCTTTGTGTCTGTTCTGTTTTCTTCTTGTTCCAATCCTTCTATCTGATTAGTTTCTTTTCTCTCAGATTTTTTCAGAGTTCGTTCCTCCTGTCACTTTAACTTATAGGAAGTCGGCCCATAATGTTTTGCTTATTTTTCCTTATGAGATTCATTCCATGATTCAACATTTCAGTGCCTTCCGTGCATTGGAATTCAGAGATGCCAAAATGAGTAAGATTGAATCCAGGTGAAGGCGATATGGGAATTCATTGTACTATTCTTGACATTTTTCTGTGAAGTTGATTTTTTTTTTTTTTTTTGAGGTGGAGTCTCACTTTGTAGCCCAGGCTGGAGTACAGTGGCGCGATCTTGGCTTACTGCATCCTCCGCCTCCCGAGTTCCAGTGATTCTGCTGCCTCAGCCTCCTGGGTAGCTGGGATTACAGGCACATGCCACCACGCCCAACTAATTTTTGCATTTTTAGTACAGACGGGGTTTCACCATGTTGCCCAGGCTGGTCTCGAACTCCTGACCTTAGGTGATCCAACCCTACCCCTTGGCCTCCTAAAGTGCTACGGTTACAGGTGTGGATTTTTTTTTTTTTTTTTTTGAGACAGAGTCTTGCTCTGTTGCCCAGGCTGGAGTGCAATGGTGAGATAACTCACTGGTGCGTCCATCTCCTGGCTCAAGCGATCGTCCCATGTCAGCTGTCCAAGTAGCTGGGACTACAGGTGTGTGCCACCATGCCCAGCTAATTTTTTATTTTTTGTGGAGATGGGGGTCTTGCTATGTTGTCCAGGCTGGTCTCCATCTCCTGAGCTCAAGTGATCCTCCCACCTTGGCCTCCCAAGTTGCTAAGATTACAGGCATGAGCCACTATGCCTGGCTGGAAATGAATTCTTTATATCAGAGCTTGCACAAGTGGGCTGAAACAGCCCACATGCATGTTTATTTGGCTCATAATGTTTTGTTTTTTAAATTTTTGAATTAGTTGTCAACATTGAAAAATGAGCAGATTTCTTATAAATACCTGATTGTGGTATTTTCTTGAAAATATCAATAAAGTCTGTTAACACCAAATCAGAATTCTGCATGGCAACAATTGTCCCACCACCCGAGTTAAGTGGAGACTTTGCCCTTTAAGAGGGAGGTGGGCCTGTCTAATGACTGGCTTCTCTCATTGTGTCTGTCACTCCTAGGCCTGTCAGCATTTGTACTTAGAATTCTACTTTAGTATTAACTTGTACAGTTGTGAAAACTCCTGTGGACTTCCTTGTATGCCATACTGGACTATACTTATTCTTTTTGTTTGTTTTTTTGTTTTTAGATAGAGTCTTGTTCTCTCACCCAGGCTGGAGTGCAGTGGTGCGATCTCAGCTCACTACAGCCTCTGCCTCCTGGGTTCCAGTGATTCTCCTGCCTCAGCCTCCTAAGTAGCTGGGATTACAGGTGTGTGCCACCACACCTGGCTAATTTTTGTATTTTTAGTAGGGATGGGGTTTCATATGTTGGCCAGGCTGGTTTCGAACTCCTGACCTCAAGTGATCTGCCTGCCTTGGCCTCCCAAAATGCTGGGATTACAGGCATGAGTCACCATGCCCAGTTTCTTTTTGTTTTAATCTGAAAAAAAGGGAATATATTATCTGCCTTTAGAAACTTCATAGTATGGTGAGAAAGCAGACATAAACAGATGACTACATTTCAACATGGGAGTCCTTAGAAGATAATATTTGTAGAGGTCTTCCCCTTTCCCAAAGCAGTGTGGCCCACTGCCTGCTATTGTAAATAAAGTTTTATTGGAATGCAGCAGCACCCTTTCACATACATATAGTCCATGGCTGTTTTCTTGCAGAGTTGAGTAGTTGTAAAAGAGACTTATGTGGCCCACGGGCCAAAAATATTTACTATCTGGGCCTGTACAGGAAACGTTTGCTGACTGTTGCCGTGGCAGATCTGATTTGATTCCTGAGACAGCTCAATGGGATACTGTGATTGTGTCTGTTTTATACCACACACCTAGTAGGTAGCAGAGCCAGGACTCAGTCGAATAAGGTCTACACTTGGTAGTATGTTATGGAAGGCCCATTTCAGCCTTGTTACTGCCAGTGTGTGGCCAGGTTCTCACACCTGGAGAGTGAGTCTGTGGGGAAGAACTGGCCACTGGGCTGATGGAATAATATACATTTTGAAAGGTACCCGTTTTGACTACATTCCCAGCTCCCTCAGCATCTGGTCCCATGACTGCTTCTCTCTTTCCAAATGGGAGTAGGCTAATGCAGAGCAATGTGGTTGGTTGCAAGGAAGAACTTGAAACTGTTTGCAGAGCACTTTATGTAAAAGTAAGAAAGTGTGACTACTGATGTCCCATGGGGCTTTGCAGCTTTAACAATTGCCCTATGGATCATATCACCTTGAAGTATAGAATTTCTCTGGGGAATTAGCTCCCCTCCAGTCTCATCTTTTTAGACACTTGCCTACCTGCTCTCACACCCAGAGGTTTTACACTGCGCTGTACAGTGTCTATCAATATGTTTTTCCATATTCAAAAATAGTGATTTCAGGCCAGGCATGGTGGCTCATGCCTGTAGTCCTAGCACTTTGGGAGGCTGAGGCAGGAGGATCAGTTGAGCCCAGGAGTTTGAGATCAGCCTGGGCAACACGGTGAGACCCCACCTCTACAAAAAATTGTTAAAAATTATTTGGGCATGTTGACACATGCCTGTGGTTTCAGCTACTCGGGAGGCTGAGGTGGGATCACCTTAGCCCAGGAGGTTGAGACTACAGTGAGCTGTGATCATGCCACTGCACTCTAGCCTGGGCAACAGAGCAAGACCCTGTCTCAAAAAAAAAAAAAAAATAGTAAGGTCATGGTGGCTCATACCTATAATCTCAGCACTTTGGGAGGCCGAGGCAGGCGGATCACTTGAGGTCAGAAGTTTGAGAACAGCCTGGCCAACATGGTGAAACCCCGTCTCTAGTAAAAATACAGAAATTAGCCAGGCATGGTGGCACCTGCCTATAATCCCAGCTTCCTGGGAGACTGAGGTGGGAGAATCATTTGAATCCAGGAGGCAAAGGTTGCAGTGAGCCTAGATCGCGCCACTGCACACCAGCCTGGGCGACAGAGCGAGACTCTGTATAAAAAAAATAAATAAATAAAAAATCCAGGTGTGGTGGCTCACGCCTGCAATCCCAACACTTTGGGAGACTGAGGCGGGCAGATCACGAGGTCAGGAGTTCAAGACTAGCCTGGCCAACATGGTGAAACCCCGTCTCCACTAAAAATACAAAAATTAGCCGGGCGTGGTGGCGGGTGCCTGTAATCCCAGCTATTCAGGAGGCTGAGGCAGGAGAATCGCTTGAACCTGGGAGGCAGAGGTTGCAGTGAGCTGAGATCGCGCCACTGCAGTCCAGCCTGGGCTATAGAGTGAGACTCTGTCTCAGAAAAAAAAAAAAAAAAAAAAAAGGTAATTTCACATAAGAACCTGGACTTCTCAGTCTCTTGATAAACAGGGTGCTTTGGGCCCTCAGCACTTTCTTGTCACGTAGCTCTGGTCCTCTAGCACTGAACAGTGGCCACCCCCTTGACCTGGGACATGTGCTGATGACCCCTTCTGGCTGGTGTTACCTGTCATCTGGTGCTCACTTCTTCCATTGATCATATTGGCCTCCTTTGCAGGCATCTGAGATTTCAATGCCAGCCCGAGACACTTGGGGAGGTTGGCCATCTCTGGAGTACACCGTCTTCTTTCGCACCTCGCTGCCTTGCCTGTGCTGTGTTCCCTGCCAGCTGTGCCCTTCTTTCAAGTCACTTCCACACTGTAAATTGCAGTGACCAGCACCACCTGCAGAATTAGCTACTCCCCCATGGCAGGACCCCATAGCTAGTCAGGCATTGTGTTGTATCACAGGGACGAGCTCTATGCTTTTCTCCCTCTTTGAGGGTAGAGACTCACTTCTTTCCTTTGTATGCCCAGCACCTGGCACAAGGACTGGCACAGGCAGATCCCATGAGTGTTTGCTGGGTTGACACTGTAACCAGGAAAGAGATTAACGGATTTGTTCCCTAGTGAATTGCTGGACATTCTCCATAAAGTAGACAAAGGAAAGGGCCTTGTAGCCAAGCTTCCAGGCCAAGCTTCCAGGGACCGTGGCTGCATCCTTTTTGTCTTTTTTTTTTCTTTTTTTTCAAGACAGAGTCTCGCTGTGTCACCCAGGCTGGAGTGCAGTGGTGTGATCTTGGCTCACTGCAACCTCCGCCTCCTGGGTTCAAACAATTCTCCTGTCTTAGCCTCCCAAGTAGCTGGGACTACAGGCGCCCACCACCATGCCTGTCTAATTTTTGTATTTTTTTTTTTTTTTCAGTAGGGACGGGGTTTCACCATATTGGTCAGGCCGGTCTTGAACTCCTGATCTTAGATAATCCACCTGCATCGGCCTCCCAAAGTGTTGGGATTACAGGCGTGGGCCACTTTGCCTGGCCTGGTCCTTTTTCTCTAGTGGACACATATGGTTTCCCCAGACAACCCAGTCCTCATACTATTCCCGCTCCTAGCTTCCTTTCCTGTTCCCCGCAGCTGCTTCCTCTGCTCTCCCATTAGCATTCCTGTCCTGGCCCAATTTCGTTTCCTAGTGAAGTCACTTTCTCTCCCAGCTCCCACTTCACTTCAGAGCCCACTGCTACCTTGACCACCCTTAGCAGTGGACCCTCTGATTTAACATGTCCTTTGGGGAGAGGAAAGTTATGGGTAAACGTAGCGCCTGGCAGGAAGTCAGAGCGCTACAGATATCTGGTTACCTGCAGGGCCCACCACATTTTTCTAAACTCTAAGTGAACCTGCAATGCAGTGTGTGGTGTGTGTGTATGTGTGTGTGTGTTTTCCCTGTAACGAGTCCCAAACTATTTAGAAACATTTCATGAACTCTCTAATGTCACAAAAGTTAGAGTTGGAAGGAACTTGACAGATGTCGCCTAGGGTCTCATTTTGGGGACTCTGAAGTATCTTAGAACCGTGAAGTTCCCTTGCAGGGGTCACACATTTAGAGGCCTGCAGGGGCCAGGTAATGTAAATGACTGTCCTGGCCAGAGTTTATTTCATTATGCTGCTTGTGTCAGTTTCCAACACCTAAATACACATTGCATACCCAAGAATATTCTTCAGTTTCATAAAGAAATCTGTTGTCAGCCAGGGGCAGTGGCTCATGCCTGTAATCCCTGTACTTTGGGAGACTGATGCAGGAGGACTGCTTGAACTCAGGAGTTTGAGACCATCCTGGGCAATATGGCAGACCCCGGCTTTACCAAAAAATGTTATAAATTAGCTGGGCTTGGTGGCACATGCCTGTAGTCCCAGCTCCTTGGGAGGCTGAGGTGGGCGGATCACTGAAGCCCAGAAGGTTGAAGTTATTATGGTGAGCCATGACCACACCACTTTGACTCCAGCCTGGCCGACAGAGTGAGACCCTATCTCAAAAAAATAATAATGGTGATAATAATAATAGGACCTTCCCATAAGGCTGCTAGGAGAATCAAATGAATTCATCCATCTAAAACCCTTAGAACAGGGCCTGGTGCTTGGTAGACTCTCAGTACAAATTAGCTATGTGGAGAAGGAACACATCTCTTTCCTTAGGATTCTGGGAGATCTCATGAGCTACTTCCAACGTTTCTCAAGGCAGATTGGCAGATCATTTTTGGGAGGTGCAGATACTCAGAAGACACTTTAATTAGGTTACACATACATACCCATGCACGTTTTCACAAGTGCAAAGTCTTCACTCATACACTATGGGGAACTGGAATGGCTGGATGAGACTTGGTTGGAGTGCCAGAGTGGGAATGGGTTTAGGAGCTTGTCTGATGGATACAGAGATAGACTGAAATATATTTCAGCCTGGGAAGCGTGTTGTCACATAAGCCGCTGATTAGATTACAGAAGTGTAGCATTTACTTATCTTTACTATTTCAAATGGAAAAAAAATCAATATTTTCCAATTATCTTCAATGGGGTATTAAACTGACTTTGTCATATTTCGTTTCACCATCCCAGAAAGAGCAGGGGGAAGGGATCAGGAAAGCACATTGCAAGAGCAGATGACATCTCTACTGCAGAACACGGTCATGCCTTCTGTCCCTTTCAGCATTGTCTATTCAGAAATTCGGTCATTTACTCGTTCATCCATTTCAGAAATTTCTACTGATGCACACTCCATTCTAGGCACTATTCCAGGTGTGGAGAATTCACTGATAAGCCAGATAGCAGCCTCTGGTTTCATGGGGCTTATTTTTAGTTGGGGAGACAGACTACAAACATATTAATAAGAAAATGTCAGTAAGTGCCATGCAGAAGGTTAAGACGGAGGACTGAGGGCTGGGTCCCTCTGGAGAGGTGGGTGGTTTTAAGCTGAAATCTCATTGCTAAGAAGGATCCCTCATAAGACCAAGGGCATGAGTGCTCTTGGCCCAGAGGAGAGAGCTAAGGCCCTGAGGCAGGAAGGAGTCTTGGGTCTACGGAGCAGAAGAGGGATGTGGGACTAGGTGCAGTGGTGCACGCCTGTGGTCCCATCTGTGCAGGAGTCCACTTGGGTGTATCGCTTGAGCCTGGGAGGTCGAGGCTGCAGTGAGCTGTGATCACACCACTGCAGTCCAGCCTGGGCAATAGAGCAAGGTTCCTTCTCTAAATACAAAGAAGAAAGACTGCAGGGAAGAGGGCTGCAGGGAAGAGGGAGGAGAGGTCCAAAATATCCCGTGGGCCAGGCCATGCAGAGCCTGGTCAGAATGAGGCTTGGATTCTTTTCTGCATGCACAGGGAAACATTAGAAGTTCAGGCAGGCAAGTGGTAGGGTCTGGTTTTTATATGGCTGCCATAGGAAAATCCAGGCAAGAGTGGAGGCAGGGATACCTACTAGGTGGCTGTTGAAAAAGTTGGTCACATGCAGTGGCTCATGCCTCTAATCCCAGCACGTTGGGAAGCTGAGATGGGTAGAATTGCTTGAACCCAGGAGTTCGAGACCAGCTAGGCAACATAGTGAGACCTCATCTCTAGTAAATTAAAAAAAAAAAAAAAAAAAAAAAAAAGCTGGCCATGATGGCACATACCTGTGTCCTAGCTACTTAGGAGGCTGAGGCAGGAGGATCACTTGAGCCCAGTAGGTCGAGACTGCAGTGAGCCATGATCATGCCCACTGCACTCCAGCCTGGGCAACAGAGCAAGACCCTGTCTGGAAAAAAGAAAAAAGAAAAAGCCCAGGGGGAGTTGACGGGGCCTGGCTTGGAGAGCGGGATGATAGGAATGAGCAGGTTCCAGATCTATTTGGAAGCCCAAGTTCAGTTGAACTGGCTGAGATCCATGAATAGTCAGCAGTTTATGGGAACTAATAACTGCTAAGTACCTACTGTATGCAGGGCACTGTTCTGAGAGTTTTACATGTAGTGCCTTAACCCTGACAATAGACTTAAATGGAGTCAGGACTAATAGGACTCCCAAATGGGTAATGAGTAGCTAAGAGAGACGGGCTGACCCAGAGCCTCCCCTCTCAGCCGCCACACAGCATTGTCCCCAGGCTCTTACCTAATTATGAAGCTCCCAGAAGAACACATGGCTAAGCATTTCTAAACCAAGCAAATGCGCGTTAACGGTGTGCAGGTTATAAATAAGCATTTCTGTATGCCAGCTGCTGTTTGGGTTTGGAAAGGAAAAGAAGATCTTAGCATGACTTGTTTATCCCAGGTAATTTGGCAGTAAACTGGGCCCCAGAAGTCAAGTTACACAGAAAATGCAAAGGAAAAGTGACAGGGGTATCATATCAGGCTTTCCAAAAAGGAAGGTAACTTAAAGGCCCACATCAGCCTGGAGGCACACGTGGGGAATGAAGGGAAGGGGTGTTGCAGAGCCGGTGTCTGCCTGGCTTGCTTGCTTGCTTGCTTGCTTGCTTGCTTTTTTTTGACGGAGTTTCACTCTTCTTGCCCAAGTTGGAGTAATGGCGCAATCTCAGCTCACTGCAACCTCCGTCTACTGGGTTCAAGCGATTCTCCTGCCTCAGCCTCCATAGTAGCTGGGATTAAAGGCATGCGCCACCACACCCGGCTAATTTTTTGTATTTTTGGTAGAGACAGGGTTTCACCATGTTAGCCAAGCTGGTCTCAACTTCTGACCTCAGGTGTTCCGCCTGCCTCGGCCTCCCAAAGTGCTGGGATTATAGGTGTGAGCCACCACGCCCGGCCCTACCTGGCTTTCAAACAGTCCTGCTCTTTGTCTAATAGATTTCTGTTGTTTTAGTGGGATGTCCTTAAAGAAGTCCCCTCAAAACGGGTCCATGGCATCAAGATAAAGAAATAATAGGAGTCCAGGCGCGGTGGCTCACACCTGTAATCCCAGCATTTTGGGAGGCCGAGGCGGGTGGATCACCTGATGTCAGGAGTTTGAGACCAGCTTGGCCAACATAGTGAAACCCCGTCTCTGTTAAAAATGCAAAAATTAGCTGGGTATGATGTCGTACCCCTGTAATCCCAGCTACTTGGGAGGCTGAGGTGGGAGAATCACTTGAACCTCGGAGGCAGAGGTTGCAGTGAGGCGAGATTGCGCCACTGCACTCCAGCCTGGGCGACAGAGTGAGACTCTGTCTCAAAAAAAAAAAAAAAGGAAAGAAAAGAAATAATGGGAAAGTCAGGCATGCTGCTTCACGCCTGTAATACCAACACTTTGGAAGGCAAAGGTGGGAGATTGCTTTGAATCCAGGAGTTTGAGCCCAGCGTGGGCAACATAGTGAGACCCCTGTCTCTACAAAAGTAAGTTTTAGCCAAGTGTGGTGGCACATACCTATAGTGCCAGCTATTCTGGAGGCTGAGGTGGGAGAATGGCTTGAGCCCAGGAGTTTGAGACTGCAGTGAGCTATGATCACACCACTGCACTCTAGCCGGGACAGCAGAGTGAGATGTCTCATAAAAAAAACAACAAAAAAACAAAAAAAAAAAACAAAGGAAGAGTGGGAAAGTGGGAGATCTGTCTGCCTAGTTATGTACTGAGTTGGAAACTAGAGGCCTGATTTTTTTAGCCTGTACAGAGCCTTAAAATTTTTTAAATTATTAATCATTTAAAAATTAGAAGACTGGATTTATCACTTCTCTGGAAAATCTAATCCATCAAAACCAGGCCCACCTTTCTGTATGGAAACCAGCAGCTGTTTTTTTTTTTTTTTTTTAAGAGATGGAGTCTTGCTTTGTTGCCCAAGAGCTGCTCCCACCTTAACCTCCCAAAGTGATAGGATTACAGGCATGAGCCACTGTGCCCCTCCTGGGCAGCTGTTCTTAGGACACCTTGTCCCCATCCTGCCACCTTCCTCTGTTTACCTCACTCCAACACATGCGTATCTTTGCAAACACTATAGGTAGAAGCCAGAATCAAGGTTCAGGAAGCCGGCCAGGCGTGGTAGCTCACTCCTGTAATCCCAGCACTTTGGGAGGCCAAGGCAGGCAGATCACCTGAGGTCAGGAGTTCGAGACCAGCCTGGCCAACATGGCAAAACCCAGTCTCTACTAATTCAAAAATACACCGGGCGTGGTGGTGGGCTCCTGTAATCCCAGCTACTTGGGAGACTGAGGCAGGAGAATCACTTGAACCCAGGAGGTGGAGGTTGCAGTGAGCCAAGATTGTGCCACTGCACTCCAGCCCCAGGCGACAGAGTGAGACTCTGTCTAAAAAAAAAGGAAGTTGAAATGGGGGTATGGGGGTGGGGGTAGTAATGACAGGGAGTGCTCTCCTTCCTGGACTGGAAGAACGGTGTGCAGGCAGCAGGGTGGGGCAAGCACGCTGAGCATACTGGGTCAGCCGTTGGACTAATGGGTTGCTAACCCTTCCTTGCTTCCTTGTTGTGTGACCATGGGCAGTTTGCTTTGCTTCTGTGACCCATGCGGCTTTGTCATTGCAAATGGTAGGAAATCCCAAGAGCTATCACCCGGGGAAGAAGCTGACAATGGCAGGTGCTCAGAAAGCACTGGAGAAACTGACTCCCTTTGAAATCAGATCGTCAGACAACCCATCTGCACCTTCCTTTATCTTTTTTTTTCTTTTTCTTTTTCCTTTCTCATCTTCTCTAGCCATTTCATAAAAACTTTGCCCTCAAATAAATGAGCAGGTCACCAATAGCCTATTGGCTTCACTAAGGAACTGTTGGTTCAATTTCCAGAAACCGTATTTTGTCATCGTTTCATTCTTATCTCTCACACATTACTGATTGATCTCTTAAAAGAAGTCAGTTTGTCCTCCAAAAATATTGTGTTCTCTTTCCAGCAAGATTTGGGGTCCTGAGGTTCACGGAGGCTCCTCCATCTCCCTCTGACAGACCACCTGCCCCATCTTAGGTCTTGGATGGGAGAGTCTTTAGCATTTCTCATTATGTTATGTTTTTTACACATTTAAATCAGCCTTTGGACATTGCATATTTTAAGTTTGTTTTAGCTTTTTGAATAGGAAATAGATCCAAATAGATCATTCAAAAATAAAAATAAGACCAGGCACAGTGGCTCACGCCTATAATCTCAGCACTTTGGGAGGCTGAGGCAAGAGGATTGCTTGAGCCCACGAGTTTGAGACCAGCCTGGACAACATAGCAAGACTCCACCTCTACAAAAAGGTAAATAAGCTGGATGTGGTAGCACACCCTTGTGTTTTTTTTCTGTTTGTTTGTGTTTTTGTTGTTGTTTGAGAAGGAGTCTCCCTCTGTCACCCAGGCTGGAGTGCAGTGGCACGATCTTGACTCACTGCAACCTCTGGCTCCTGGGTTAAAGTGATTCTCCCACCTCAGCCTCCCGAGTAGCTGGCATTACAGGCACCTGCCACCACGCCTGGGTAATTTTTGTATTTTTAGTAGAGACGGGGTTTCACCATGTTGGTTGGCCAGGCTAGTCTCGAACTCTTGACCTCAGGTAATCCACCCGCCTCGGCCTCCCAAAGTGCTGGGATTACAGGCGTGAGCCACTGCACCCAGTGGTGGCACACCCTTGTAATCCCAGCTACTCAGGAGGCTAAGGTGGGAGGATCGTTTGTGCCCAGCAGTTCCAGGCTGTAGTGAGCTATGTTCACACCAGTGCATTCCAGGATGGGCAACAGAGCAAGACTCAGTCTCTAAAAGATAATAGTAATAGGAAAATAAAAATAAAAACAATATTAAAAAACATACCTTAAGAGTCCTTCACATGCCTCTCTGGGTAGTTCTTTATGCAAATAGAACCAATATGAGTATATATTTTGATTTTCCCTTTTTCTTAGAGAAAAGGTTACATGCAACATATACTTTCTGGTCTTGATTTTTTTTTCCACCTAAAATATGACCATCTTTTAAGGATATATAAGGAGTAGAATATGAGAAGCTTGCTCATTCTTTCAGCTTTACAGTGTTCAATTACATTGTGCGGATTCATCATATTTGTTCAGTGACTTATTATTTCTGATATTTGCTATTACAAATCATGATACAGCAAATACCTTGAGCATATGTTTGTTTCCTATTTGTGGACAGATGTCTTCACGGCTGATTCCTAGTAGTGATATTGCTAGCTCAAAGGAAAAATGCATTTGTGCTTTTGAGGGATTACAGGTGTGAGCAACCGGGCCTTGCCCCGGGAATAAGAAATAAGTTTTTTTTTTTGAGACCAAGTCTCGCTCTGTCGCCAGGCTGGAGTAGTGGTGCAATCTCGGCTCTGTGCAACCTCCGCTTCCTGGGTTCAAGTGATTCTCCTGCCTCAGCCTCCCGAGTAGCTAAGACTACAGGCACATGCCATCACGCCCAGCTAATTTTTGTATTTTTAGTAGAAACAGAGTTTCACCCTGTTGGCCAGGATGGTCTCAATCTCTTGACCTCGTGATCTGCCCGCCCGGGCCTCCCAAAGTGCTGGGATTACAGGTGTGAGCCACCGCACCCGGCCGGAAATAAGTTCTTAATCCAAAACTCTTGTGATGGGGAGGCCCTTACACTGGATTTCTTTACCTGCAGATTTCTACTGAGTTCCTTTTATTCTCCAAAACCTGACCTTTCATGCCAAGACTGAGCATTTTACCAGACTCGATGGGAGTGAGGGTCTAATGTCAGTGCTGGGCTCTTACCTCCACCCCCACCACTCCCCTCCCACCTGAAGAGGATAAATAGAGGGAGTGATTACAATATGAATAGTTTAATTAGGAATATCATGAAATTATATTCTGCATATATATTTTTATCATGTACTATATACATTTCCATATGCATCAAATATGCATGCATATTAGTCTACAGCAGTGGATTTAAAAAGCTATGTCCTGTAGACTGTACTTTACGGGTTGTTTAAGACTCTTTATCAAGGGTAATTTTGGCACTGATTTTCCCTTTGCCTGATGACTTCAGAAACTAACATCCAAGAAGATGCGACTCCCCTCTAAATGGTAGCGATGAAGATTATCTTCATCTAGAGCAAAGTGTCAGAATGTGCTAACCATTGAAAACGAATCCTATGTGCAGATAAAACCTTGCTGAAATCATAAGTGGGAGAATAGTATTGTAGTTACAAAATTCAATGCAGTCACTTCTTTTTTTTTCTTTTCCCCAGACAGACATCTGTTCTATAAAGTGAAGTATATTGGCCTTATTTATTGCTTCATAGCTGAAGCAGGCAGGTCACCCTGCAAAATTCAGAGGAACACCCCCTTAATTTTGCAAGTGGCATATATTGATATTAATGTCACCTTTTTCCACTTCCTTCTTTGAGTTGTTGTGAGAATAAATGAGATATAGGTAGGAAAATGCTCAGAGAAGCTAAGTGCGGTAGACAGGCACAGTGTAATCTGGTTACAGCACTTCCATCCTTGACAGGCAGGAGCTGTCTTCGCATCGAGCTAATCTGGAGGAGAGAGAAAGGCTCAGTGGTGTGAGGACTGGGCCAACCAGTCTTCTAGGGAGTTTAGATAATAAATGCTCTTAATTGAGTGAATTATCTTCGTTGGAAAATAAGCAAATTATTTTCCGATTTAATGAATTAAAAAGCTTCTAATTAACTCCAGTAGAAAGATTTGCTTTTATGTTTTATTTTATTTTATTCTTTTTGTTTTGTTTGTTTTTATAGAGACAAGGTCTTGCTATGTTACCTAGGCTGGTCTTGAACTCCTGGCCTCCAGTGATCCTCTTGCCTTGGCCTCCCAAAGTGCTGAGATTACAGACGTGAGCCACTACATCTGTCCTACTTTCACATTTTAGTAGTTAAGCTCTATGTTCTTTGCATTAATGTAACTGAACGACTGAACGCAGGTCTCATGCTTGCTGCTTGCAGAGTTCGGTTAATAAGAGTGAGGTCTGGTAATAAGAAAGTGAATTTATTAACCAAAACTAATAAAGGGAAGTGGTCAGATTCCTATCCAAAGTAACCACTTCCATTTTGTGGAGGAAGAAAACTCCAGTTTTCCCTTACAGGAGTGAGCCAGGCGCAGTGGCTCACTCCTGTAATCCCAGCACTTTGGGAGGCCTAGACAGGCGGTTCACCTGAGGTCAGGAGTTCGAGACCAGCCTAGCCAACATGGTGAAACCCCATATTTACTAAAAAAAATACAAAAATTAGCCAGGCATGGTGGTGGGCATCTGTAATCCCAGCTACTTGGGAGGCTGAGGCAGGAGAATTGCTTGAACCTGGGAGGCAGAGGTTGCAGTAAGCGGAGATCGCACCACTGCACTCCAGCCTGGACAACAGAGTGAGGCTCCATCTCAAAATAAATAAATACATACATAAATAAAAAGGGAAAACTTGATAAAGAAGGCATGCAAGAATTGGGCTGAGTACTATCTGTGTGTCTTGTTCGGGTGGCCATCTTGGGTCCCAGTCTACCTGGACATTGGGCTGGCGTCATCTCTACAATGGCCAGGTTGTTAACTCGCCACCGTGAAGTCATCTCTGCAATTTTGCAGCTGGGTCTCCAGGCTTGCTCCAAGATTAGCCGCTGGAACTTCTAAGAAGGCACATAGGCAAATACTAGTATACAGTTAGAGAAATGTGAAGACAGTATATACGGTGAGAAAGGGAGGGACACGGAGTCTATTTTAAGGCTAAGAGAAAAGGCTTCTGCAGTTTCCTTTAAGGTTCAATCTTGAAATCCAAGAGAAAGGGGAAAAAAAAGTTTTCAAATGCATTTTGAAGTTAAGCTGCCCAGTTACGTTAATATTTTGGTTTTTGTTTGTTTGTTTGTTTGTTTTGAGACAGAGTCTCACTCCTTTACCCAGGCTGGAGTCCAGTGGTGCGATCTCGGCTCACTGCAACTTCTGCCTCCGAGGTTCAGGTGAATCTTGTGCCTCTGCCTCTTGAGTAGCTGGAATTACAAGCATGTGCCACCATGCCCGGCTAATTTTTGTATTTTTAGTAGACATGGGGTTTCACCATGTTGACCAGGCTGGTCTTGAAGTCCTGACCTCAGGTGATCCACCCGCTTCGACCTCCCTAAGTGTTAGAATTACAGGCATGAGCCACCACGACTGGCCACATTAATGTTTTGTTTTTATTGTCCACCTTAATTTTTTAAACTGTTCTTTATTAGTATAACATAATTTTAGAGATGAAAAGCAACCATAAAGATGATTCAGCCTAACTCTTAAAGAAAAAAAAAAAAAACTATGGCCCATAGAGACCTAATGACTTATCCAAGGTCCCATAGCTGTCACTTGTCCCTCAGGACCAGATCCCCAGGAGGCTGTGTGGCCAGCAAAGCAAGGGCCTCAGTCAGGCGCTGGGATCTGCCGTGCTCACCCTGGAGGAGCTCTGCTCCCTCCTGCTGCCTGCTCTTGCCCTGGGCCCTGTGGGGCCCTGCAGGGCCCTGCTGGCATCTCACTGGCCTCTGCACTACTCCTGCTGCCAGGACACCCCAGTCTGTCAGTGGCCCAGACCCCAACCCGCTTTGTGCCTAGCAGCTCAGGGACAGTCCCTTCGCTCTGCATGATGAGGCCTGACTACCTGGCATGTCATTTTCCCTGGCCAGCCTTAGGGCTCACTCGGAATCCTTAGACTGACAGCCAGAGCCGTGTGGTCAAGGGTTTCTGGGAGCTGCTCATTCTAGCTCCTATCCCAGAGCAGCAAGCCTCAGGAGGTCCTGATAAAATTGGCCTAACAATCAAATCTCTTGATCCCTAAATCCTGGGGGTGTGTGTGTGTGTGTGTATGTGTGTGTGTGTTTAACTAATAAACTGGTTTTTAGAGCGTTCAGCAAAATTGAGCAGAAATTACAGAGAGCTCCCATATACCCCTGTCCCCACATACATCTCCCCAACTATCAACACCCCACACTGGGCTGGGTGTGGTGGTTTATGCCTGTAATCCCAGCACTTTGGGAGGCCAAGTGGGGTGGATCACATGAGCCCAGGAAATTGAGACCAGCCTGGGCAACATGGCAAAACGCCCATCTCTATAAAAAAAATTTTTTTTTTTTAAAGAACACCCTGTATTACAGTGGTACATTATGCTGGTCTCTTTTTCATCCTTAAATCCTAGGTTCTTTGTCTTAAGGCAAAAAAGAAAACACACACACACACACACACACACACACACACACACAATGAAGACAAAGGCAGGCATGTAGCCAGTTTCAGATTAGTTCATTCTATCCGGGAATCCTGGCCTCTGTTAGTCTACCCCAAGGCTTGTGGCTGGTAGTAACTCAGCATGACAGCTCACACACGGAGATAGCCCTGCCCTGTGTCTCCCTCTTCTCTGTCTCTCAGAACCAATTCCAAATTCCTGGGACTGGGATTCTGATTGGCTGCAGTTGGGTCAGAGGTCCATCCATAGCACAGCATACTGAGGTTCAGGGCGTGGGATTATGTATAATCATGGCTGCCCAGAGGCCCCACTGGGTGGACAGAGGGGAGAGGAAGAGAGAGGAGGGCAGTTTAGGGTATCATTATGAGCTGACCAGATAAACCAAAAGATGTCTTCTCCCATACCATGATACTGTATGATCCATGCCCTCCTGTAAATTCTCCAGTGGCCTCATTTCGAAATCCTTTTACACATTGGCCTTAGAGTCTGGCCGTGGCCAGCGGTTCTTCCTAGGCCTTGGCTCTTCCCTTTATTCACACTTTCTTGGCAAAAGCATCATCCCTTGAGCTTTATCACCAGCTGTGACCCCTCCCCTACCCCTCACTCACGTGCAGACTTGCTAGAAGTGACCATGTCCAAAGACGTGTCTTTTCTCTGAGACTCAGTCCCCGTTGCTTTCCTCTTGCTAAGCTGTCACTAAGCATTTTTTGCTTCTGTCTTCTGAGTGCTCTTACCTAAGGGGACACTGGTTGTGGCATTTTCACAAATAGCCACTGGGGAGTAAAGTTGGGCAGTTTAGGAGATACATTGACAATAATGCAGTGACTCTTGTTTTATATTTTCAAACCAAAGCAATCCATTAATTTTGCATCAAGGCATTCCTTTATAATGGACACTTCCATAAAAGTTGTGAAAACTGCATTCGAAACAGCATATTTAAACATTATGATGTCACTCTGTTGAATTTATGCACACCTTCAAATGTTAGTCTTCTAGCTCCCCCAGAAAAGCAGTAATTCTCTCTGAAATTGCCTATTATATGAAATGCAGGTGATTACCACTAATTCACATCTGCACTGTCACCTATGTGGTGGATTTGGGGGTTTGGTGCAGCACGTTGGTATGCTCTCATCAAAGGGTATGTGTGTGTGCACAGAGGAAGGCATTCTTGTGGAAGGCATTTTATGTAATTCCAAACAATTTAATAAAAATGTAATTCAAAGGGGAAAACTACAGTCCCTCAGCCCTTTCAGAGTACAGATAATGTTCCAGATTAAAGGCTGGAGCTTTGTTCATTATAGTCAAATAATGTAAGTGTGTGAATTACCATTTTCCTTGCCGTTGGTCTATTTCAAAAGTGTGCCATTTTCCCATTATAATAATAGGCTGCATTTTCTTAAAATCATTTGATTATGATTGGTCCCATCTATTCAGTTTGCAAATAAAAATCTTTTGTGTTGATAAACTAGCTGTTCTAAAACAGCCTTAATCTTGGTTCTGCTTTTGAACTGCGACAGGTCAGACTCTGCGAAAGGCCGAGAGAAGCTGGTCCTGCTCACGAGAGAAAAAGGAGGTAAATGTGTCCCTGGCGAGGGCTGATGGGAGGCAACTCTATTTGAAAGGACCTGAGGGAGCAGGGTGGCGAATAAGTGTCCCTAAATATACTCTTTTCTCTTGGGGTCCCAAGCTTGAATCCTGGAGCAAATGATAGTGAGCAACTAGACTTACCAACCCAGTGTCACTTGTAATAATCACTTGTAATAATCACTTGTAATAATCATCTCTGAGTGTATCAGTTAACTTTGTCTGTGTAACAAATCATCCCAGATTTTAGTGGCTTAAAACAACAACCATATATTTAGTTCTGGATTTGGTGGGTTAGCAGTTTGGGCTTATCTGGGCAGTTCTGCTGTTGGACCAGGCTCCGCATGGTGCTCACTCATGTTTCTGCAGTTCATGGCTGTGTCGACTGGGGGGTAGTTGAGTGTCAGGGTGCCTCAGTTCTCCTCCACACCTCACCTCTTAATGGTATACATACTTCTCATCTGCCAGCAAGCTAGGCAGATTTTTTCACATGGTGCTTCAAGGGCTCAAGAGTGCAGGAGTGGCAACTGCAGGACTTCTTGAGTCCTAGGCTTACAAGTCACACAGTGTCACTTCTACCACTTTCTATTCTTTTTTTTTTTTTTTTTTTTTTTTTGAGTCGAGTCACTCTCTGTTGCCCAGGCTGGAGTGCAATGGCGTGATCTCAGCTCACTGCAACCTCCGCCTCCCGGGTTCAAGCAATTCTCCTGCCTTAGCTTCCCAAGTAGCTGGAATTACAGGCGCCTGCCACCAAGCCCGGCTAATTTTGTATTTTTAGTAGAGATGGGGTTTCACCATGCTGGCCAGGCTGGTCTCGAACTCCCGAGCCCGCCTCAGTCTCCCAAAGTGCTGGGATTACAGGCGTGAGCCACCACACCCGGCCCCACTTTCTGTTCTTGAAAGCAGGTCACAAGGTCCCAGATTCAAGGGGTGGGGAAATAGATCTCACCTCTTGATGGGAAGAGCTACAAAATATTGTGGCCATTCTTGAAATCCGCTACCTTCCCCCCTCCCCGCCTCTGAGCCCACCTACTCTGTGCCAGGCACCAGGGGGACCAGGACTAGAGGTTAAGTGAAACACAGTCCTTGATCTCAGAGTATGCACTGTCTAGTTGGAAGAGAGCTACAGTACAATAGTTACAATACAGTGTGAGAAGTGCTATCACAGAAGGACAGAGAAAGTGAGATTTTAATACAGAAACCAGTCACCTGACTCTTCCAGCAATATCAAGAAAGCCTTTGCAGAAAAGGTGATGTGCAGGCTACTTCTTGAAGGATGACTAGGAGTTTTCCAGGCCAAGGAATCAGTACAGTCAAAGTCAGAGAGACATGAATAAGGAAGGTTGCAAGATCATGGTGCCTAAAGCAAGTGGGAAGTGGTAGCAAGGAGCCATAGGTTACTCCAGGGCCCTTTGATCATGTCCCAGGCTTATGAGAATATAAAATTGAGTCTTATTTAGTGGAGGTGGGACAGGAGTGCAGGGGAGATAAATTGTGTGGCTCATCAGAAACACTGACCAATCGAGAAATTCATCCAGACATATCTACCAACACTTTTGATTGTAAAGTGTCATCATTCCTATAATGAAAGGGCATTTGTCAGGCTCAGCTGGGTCCAGGGCCTCAAAAATGGCAAGAAGACCTGGTCTTTCTCCTTCCATCTCTGGGCTGTCCCGGCCAGCTCTGAGGAGTAAGCTGGGGCTGAACTGCACTCAGCGTCGTGTGAGTTACATGACCTTCACCTTCTCCTGTTGTTTCCTTCATCAGCTGTAACCAGAACAGCCAGTTTGCATTTTCTTTTTCTTTCAATCAGCCCATCTAGGATGAGGGCTGGACGAAGCCTTAGGAACTTCGCTGCTGCTGAAAAGATCTAAGTGTCGCCCAAGTGGGCAGTCTAGGGGCAAAGCCAGGGTGGATTTTCCCACTCCTTCTGGTAAGGAATCTTTCTCTGGAGGCAGAAGCAAGTGCCTGTCTTCCCACAGCATCCTTCCAGAGACCCTGAGGTAGAGGAGCAGGGATGGAAGTGAGCCCAGACCTGCAGGCCGCCCTCAGTTAACTGACCTGGGGTGAAGACCAGCCTGCAAGCCAGGAAAGAAACCTGAAACCCACCCCTGGCCTTTGGTCACAGAATAGCAGCATCCTATTTCTCCACATTAAGAAATTAACTGGGAAACCATGGAGCGGGGCGGGGGAAACTAGTTGAGATACTCTTCCCTTCTCTCTCTGTCTCTCTCTAGCTACGGGACTCCCCTAATTGCTGCTTTCCCAGCCACTCCCATTGTGCCCATCGCCCGAGAGCATTTCAGATCATTTCTCTCCTGGGAAGTGCTTGTAGTGAGAAACAGAGAGTGAAGCTGTTTATCACAATACCCAGGCTTAACCTGGAAAGATATTTCACTTGGTTTCAGGCCTTTTGAAAAAAGGAGAGTGCTAACTCTCTTAACAGAGCTTTTGTTCGGTTAGAAAAACAAAACAAAAAACCAACCCCAAACAATTATTTTAAAAATAAATAATTAAATAAATAAAGGCTTGGCGAAGTGGCTCCTGCCTATAATCCCAGCACTTTAGAAGGCCAAGGTGGGTGGATTACTTGAGCCCAGGAGTTCAAGACCAGCCTGGGCAACGTGGTAAAATCCCACCTCTACTAAAAAACAATTATTAAAAACAAAAAAACAAACAAAACAAAACAAAAAAAAACAGCAAGCTGCCAGGACTCTCGTCTGACAGATTATAACATGCCTTTTCCACCCACCTCTTCTTTCTGCATCCTATGCCCTCTCTCCTGACTTCCCAACCCTCTGTGCCTTACCCAGGATGCCAGGTATAGATCAAACTATGTCACCATGAAAGGCAAGGAGAAGACCAGCTGTCTCTTTCTCAGAGCTGGTTAGAACAAATGTTGTATTTCTCAAGGTGGTAAGGTGGTGTGGCCAGCGCACTCCCTGGAGGGTGAACACGTGGTGGTGAGGTGGTGTGGCCAGTGCACTCCCTGGAGAGTGAACACGTAGTTTCCAGCCTGGGTTGGGATCGGGTACTTCTTTGAGGGATCTTAAGCCACCATGACAAAGGGAGGGTGTGGCTGTTGTCAATGAACTCACCAGGCCAAATTCAGCCCAAAGATATGTTGTATCTAGCTCGTACCCTGTTATAATTTTTAAAAAGTAGGTGTCCACATTTAAAAGTTGTGGATTTTTTAAAATGTTTAAATCCACATTTAAAATGGTTAAATCCACATTTAAACATTGCCAACCACGGTACTTAGCAACATCTGGATATTTGAAAGCTCCCAGGTAGCCGAGTGTGGTGGCTCACGCCTGTTATCCCAGCACTTTGGGAGACTGAGGCGAGAAGATTGCTTGAGCCCAGGACTTCGAGACCAGCCTGGGCAACATAAGCAAGACCCTTTCTCTACAAAAAAATTAAAAAAA